>NC_000014.9:31732925-32035955 GCF_000001405.40 Homo sapiens
TTAGTACTTTTTTGGGTCCTAAGACAACTTTGCCTATCCCAAGCGTGAGGAAATTCTATGTTTTCATCTAGAAGGTTTTTGATTCTGGTCTAAGCCTATGATCATCTCAAATTAATTTTTGTGTATGGTGTGAAACAGAAGTTGAGGTTCACTTTTTCCTATACAGATGTCCAGTTTTCCAGAACCAAATGTAAAGATATTTTCCCCCATTTAATTGACTTAAAGCCTTGGTTGAAAAAAAATGTTTATATATATAGATAGGTAGGTAGGTAGATAGATAGATATCCCTCGTATGGAGTGGCTGCTTTTGAATTCTGTATGCTGTTGCCTGCCTCATACTACGTGTTCTTGATTGCTGTAGAGTAAGGCTTCTGGATTTGTTTGTAAAGATTATTTTGGGCATTTTAGATCATGTATATTTCCATAGCAATTTTAGAATTAGCCTGTTAATTTCTGCTAGGATTTTGCTAGGGATAATATTGACTCTATTGCTCAATTTTGAGAGAATTGCCATCCTAACAGTGTCGAGTCTTCTGATCCATGAATATTATATATCTTGTCATTTATTTAGGTATTTAAAAAATTCTCTCAGTAGTATTTTATAGGTTAATAAAGGTACATATTTTGTTGGTTTTATTTCTATTTTTTAATTTTATTTTTAATTATGTGTTTCTAATACAAAGAAACATAATTGAGTTTAGTATATTGACCTGTCATACTACATTTCTGAAATCACTTATTCTAGTAATTTCTGTAGATTCCATAGGATTTTCTGTATATGTAATCATGTCATCTAGGAATAGGAGAGCTTTCACTTTTCAGTATTTATGACTTTTCCTTTTCTTGCCTTAGTGCACTGACTAGGATTTTCAGTACTATGTAGAGTAGAAGTGGTGAGAATGTATTTACTCGTCTTGTATTGATCTCTTAGGAAAAGCATTTAATGTCCCATGACTAAGTAAATAATGTTAGCTGTAGTTATTTCATCGACATCATCCATCAGCTTCAGAGAGTTCTGTTCCTAGTTTGCTGAGAGTTGTTATTATTAATGGCTATTGAATTTTGTCTAATGATTTTTCTGCATTTGTTGAAGTGATCATCTAGCTTTTCTCCTTTATTCTGCTAATGTGATAAATTACATTAAATCAACCTTGTATTCCTGGAATTAAATCATTTTGTCATGATGTATTATTATTTTTATATTTTGCTAAAATCATTTTTCTATTATTTTAAGGATTTTCTGTCTATGTTCACGGGTGATGTTGTTCTATAATTTTCTTCACATAAAAGGCTTCAGAATCCAAATATCCCTTCACAAAGATTATCTGCCATATAATAATGTCCTTTTAAGCATGAGCACTTCTGTCTCTTGTCCTTCATTCACCCCAAGGATGACATTGGCTATTAAATGAAAGAAAGTGTCGAATTAGAGTCAGGACATTTGATAGCTGTTTCACCTTAGTATCTCCAATCTAACATAGAGAACAATCTCTGACTAGACCAGTGCACACAGTGGTTCTGGAAATGAAATGAGAAATGAGAAAGCTTCAAAAACCAAATTTCAAAATAAAAGAGTATTTCTCAAAAAAATTTTTTCTTCACATAATATCTTCATAACAGTTTATTGTTAAATTTAAGACTCTAGCTTTTTAGTTTCATATTTCATAAATTTCTTCATTTTAAGTTTCTTCTACTTTCTCAAGGTTTATTATAATTATTTTGTGCTTTTTAGTTGAATTTTTTGAATTATAAATATACGTGTCTATGAGTTTTCCCCTACATAAATAAGTAAATAAATATTGTATAGTATTTATAATCAAAGACATGAAATAGTAGCAAGAATACTATATACCTCAGTCACAGATAAGGTTCCAGTAATGGGTCTGTAGATATTCAGGGTTTCTGCTAGCTACTCCTCTTCTGTGAATCCTGTATGGTCTTTGTAGATCTGGCGTTTAACCTCCAGGTTATAACCAAGAAGACAAGTCAGTGATGATCAGATGACATTAAGTTTTATAGTCCCTACCATGCTAACTCTAGGCCCAAATTTGTTGACTTTACTACTGACATTTTGGACCAGATAATCCTGTATTGGGAGGGAAAGAAGATTGTCCTGTGTACTAGAAGGTGTTTAGTAGCATCTTTGGCTTCTGTCTTCTAACTGTCCATAGCAGCCTTACTTGTGACAATTAAAAATGTCTGTAGACGTTACCAAATGTCCTGGAGTAGGGTGAGACCAGAATTGCAACCTAGATGGCAACTACTGCTCTAGGTTGATTTCTTTTTGTCATTTATGTAGACCTAGTAGATTTCTATGTAATTTGTATATATATTAAATTACCTTTTCAATTAATAGCAAACCAGGAAGAACATGGCAAAGTCAACTGTTAGCTGCTTCAAACAGTAGAAAAATTACAGATTGGATATTGTCACTTGTACCTTATTTGGTATCACAAGTAGTATCTGAACCAAGGACGAAACATACACAGACTAAACATATGTGGAACCAAACACTATATGGTTCAAATAACTGAAAAGTATAGGGGATTGGTGTATGTCTATTTTGTGTCTGCTTCTTAAATGTTTCCCACCGTTTTATTAATCAGGGTGAAATACATTTAAAAAATTTTAAACATCAGAGTGAATGGCCAGGCGCGGTGGCTCACGCCTGTAATCCCAGCACTTTGGGAGGCTGAGGCGGGCGAATCACAAGGCCAGGAGTTCGAGACCAGCCTGGCCAACATGGTGAAACCCTGTCTCTACTAAAAATATAAAAATTAGCCGGGCGTCGTCGCGCATGCCTGTAATCCCAGCTACTCGGGAGGCTGAGGCAGGAAAATTGCTTGAACCTGGCAGGTGGAAGTTGCAGTTAGTCGGGATTGCACCACTGCACTCCAGCCTAGGCGACAGAGCGAGACTCTGTCTTAAAAAAAATCAGAGTGAATATAAATTCATAATCTTGGATAGAAAGACATATTACTTGTTTGTCATTTGTATGATAAATGTCTGAAATATGCTTCACAAACTGCTATGGTGGTGGCCCATAAAACATTATAAATAAATGGTAACTTGTTACAATAGGTATATATTTCAGAGGGAGTATATATTACTCAGTCTTCCTAACTTTTCCTCATTGTTAGAAATACAGTGGGGTTTTCTTTTTGGCCATTTTCCTCTCCATTATAAATAAGTGTTTGTCTGAAAAGTATTTTGTGCATAGAATTTTTTAAATATATAAAGCCAAATTGCTTCCCAAAAGGATTAGGCGACCTCCAAAGTTTTCTTGACATTGTTTTTTCCCTGCCACCCTAACTTAAGAAAACACTTTAATCATTTATTTAACATTAAAATGTGTAAAGTGTGCTAATCTTAAAATATTGTGCACACCTGAATAACTACTCTCAAGATCAAGATCTAGAACATTTTTAATATGTAGGAGGTTTCCTCTTGTGTCTTTATACTCAATACTCACTCTCAGTGGTAACCAGTATATGACTTCTTTAAATATTTATTAGTTTTGCCTGCCCTTGAACTTCATGTAGATAAAATCTTTTAATGTCTTCTCTCTTGCAGTGTAATGCTGAGATCCATCCATGTTTTTGCATGAATCCTCAGTGTATTCTTTTTTGTTGTTATATAGTATTACACTGTATTATGTACTACAAAATGTCCATTCTCCTGTTGACATCTGAGTTATTTCTAACTTGGGGCTATTATGAATAAGCTGCCATAAACATCCATGTGTATGTTTTATGGGATTCAGATGCACTAATTTCTTTTGTGTATATACCTAGAAATGTGACTGCTGGATTTTAGCTTAGGGATATGTTTAGTTTTAGTTGGTTCTGTCAAGCAGTTTTCTAAGGTAATTGTACCGATTTAATCTCCAACCATTCATATGAGAATTCCAGTTGTTCTACATCCTTATTAACACTTGGTTTATCTGTTTCTGTGATTCTTGCAGGTGTGTTTTGGTATCTCTTTGTGTTTTAAAAATGCATCTCCCTGTTGAGTACTGCTTATTGTCTACTTGGATATCCATCTTTGTGAAATGGTGGTTCATGTTTTTTGTTGATTTAAGATTGCATTGTTTGTTTTTTTCTTACTGATTTATAGGAATTCATGATATATTTTGGATATGCGCCCTTTGTCAGATGTGTTGCAGATATCAATCAATGGCTTGTAATTTCACTTGCTTAATGGAGTCTTTTGCTGTAAAATGCTCTTCTAATTTAGCTCAGGTTATCAAATTTTTCTATTCAGATTTATGTGTATTTTATTTAAGAAGTCTTTTCTACCTTATGAAAAATTCTGTTTTCTTCTAGAAGCTTGATTGTGTCAGCTTTTACATTTATGTCTATGATCTCACTCAAATTAACTTTTTGAATAGTGTGAAATAAGTGTCAAGGTTAATTATATTTTCCATATGGATGTCTAGTTGTTCCAGCACTTAATTACAGTGGTATCTTGGTTATAAATCAAGTGACCATATGTGTGATCACCACTCTAACCTTTGATAGCTGTCTCCCTAAGCATCCTACTTGTATATACTTATAACAATGTTTAAATAATTCGGGTTTGGCACAGTGGCTCACAGCTGTAATCCCAGCACTTTGGGAGGCCAAGGTGGGCAGATCACCTGAGGTTAGGGGCTTGAGACCACCCTGGCCAACATGGTAAAACCCCATCTATTAAAGATGCAAAAAAAATTAGCCGGGCATGGTGGCAGGTGCCTATTGTTCCGTCTACTCCGGAGGCTGAGGCACAAGAATCGCTTGCACCTGGGAGGCAGAGGTTGTGGTGAGCTGAAATCATGCCACTTCGCTCTAGCCTGGGTGACAGAGCAAGACTCTGTCTCATAATAATAATAAATTAATTATTTCTGTTCATGGTAGTCGCACTTACTTAACAGTTGAAGCTCTCCTTTCTTCCCATGTATAAGAGTATAGACAATTTGAACCAATAATTCTTCTATTTCTGAATTTTTTTGTTTTATTTATTCTTTCTTTGGAAATGGTTTTCATTTTTTATTTGTAAGCACACTTTTCACTTAAGAAATAAAAGTAATGGTTCAGTGCTGGCCTTTTACAAGTTTTGCATGATAACCTTCATATTTATATGTAACACTTGAGAATTTAAAAGCTTTTATGTTTTCAATAATAAACTTTTAAAATAGTGGTTGTCACTGCTTATATTATAACTCAACATATTCTGCACAAAGTATTTAATATGTTTAGTTTTGCTTACATTACTTCAACTTGTTTTACCTTCAGGTCATATCAAAAATATAGTGGGAGCTCTGGAAATTACTCAGGAAAGAGAATAATTTGAAAGTCAAGCTATTTGGAGGGCAGAGATAAGAGGTTGCCAGTTATATGGGTTTTATTAGGATTCTCTTCACCAGAGGCTACAACCTTACAGAACTGTGATCAGTGATTATGTCATGTGAATTTTTCCTTTTTGCAAACTAAGCTCTGTGAACCTAGATCTCAGATACATATGACTGGGGACTCTTGACAGTTCCTTTTCTTCCAGCTGTTTTATTTTATACTTTATTATTTGGTACACTTCCAGGTACTTTGAGAAACAGATTTAAATATTATCTCTCTATAAATTTTTTATACCAAAAGACAATGATTATCTGGACAGCCCAAGGCAGGAATATGTTACCTAATGCTCAAGGAGAGGAATTAACTTTAAATTCCAACATAAAACAAAAGGTTTTGACATCTCTGGTAGCAACTACTGTGTTTTTTAACTGATTAGGAATGATAATTTAAAAAATTTCCCATATGAAAAACTGTTTCTAAAATGTACTAAACTTTCTGATTTTTCTGTTTCCTTAGAGTTCTTCTTATAGTAGTGATTTATAAATTGGTATTTTTAAAAATTACATTTTATTGAATAGGTATATCCATTCCCTGTTTCATCAAGTTTCAGGGAGAAAATAGGGGAAAAGTCTGTTATATAGTATCTGATCATTTATAGTCAGCTTCAAAATTTTAGAGGCTTGAAGAATATGTCTATTATATATGAAACTGATATGCTAAATATAATAGACATATGTAGAGTGTAGAGTTTTTTATTTGTTTGTTTGTTTGTTTTGAGATGGAGTCTCATTCTTGTCACCCAGGCTGGAGTGCAGTGGCGCAATCTCAGCTCACTGCAACCTCCGCCTCCTGGGTTCGAGCAATTCTCCTGCCTCAGCCTCCCGAGTAGCTGGGATTACAGATGCCCGCCACCACACCTGGCTAATATATATATATATATTATATTCTATATATATATTATATTATATATATATATATTATATTCTATATATATATATTTTTTTTTTTTAGTAGAGATGGGGTTTCACCATGTTGGCCAGGCTGGTCTCAAACTCCTGACCTCGGATGATCCGTCCGCCTTGGCCTCCCAGAGTGCTGGGATTACAGGCATGAGCCACCGTGCCTGGCCAAGTGTAGAGTTTTTGAAAATATGTTGGTCAGTTAATTAGGCTAGAAAATAGAATGCATGTGAGTATAGGTATATGTGTATATGCATATAGAAATACTTCTAAAATTGGTTTTTAATAGACCTTTTAGAGCAGTTTTAGGTTCACAGCAAAACTGAGCAGAAGGTATACAGATTGTCTATATATCCCATGCCCCAACACATGCATAGCCTTTCCTACGATCAGCATCCTCCACCAGAGTGGTCTATTTGTTATACTTGATGAACCTACATTGACACATCTTTATCACCCTGAATCTGTAGTTTACATTAGAGTTCACTCTTGGTGCTGTACATTTTATAGGTTTTGACAATATATAATGACATATATCAACTGTAATAGTATCATACAGAATAGTTTCACTATCCTAAAAATCCTCTGTGTCCTGCCTATTGATCCTTCTCTCCCTCTGACCCCTGATATGCACTAATCTTTTTATTCCCCCACAGTTTTGCCTTCTCCAGAAAGTCGTAGTTGGATTCATACAGTATGTAGACTTTTCTGATTGGCTTCTTTCACTTAGCAGTAGCATTTAAGTTTCCTCCATGTCTTTTTGTGACCTTATGGCTTACTGCTTTTCAGTACTGAATAATATTTCATTGTTTGTGTATATCACAGTTTATCTAGCCACCCACTGAAAAACATCTTGGTTTCTTCCAAGTTTTGGCAGTTATGAATAAAGTTGCCATAAACATTTGTGTGTAGGTTTCTGTGTGGATATAAGTTTTCATCTATTTTGGGTAAATACCAAGAAACATGATTACTGGATCATATGGTAAGAGTATGTTTAATTTTGTAAGAAACCGCCTGTCTTCCAAAGTGGCTGTACCAATTTGCATCCCCACCAGCAAGAAATGAGCGTTTCTTTTGCTCCACATCCTCACCATCATTTGGTGGTGTCAGTATTCTGGATTTTGGTCATTCTGATAGATATGTAGTGGTATCTTATTGTTGTTTTAATTTGCATTTCCATGATGACATATAATATGAAACATCTTTTCATATGCTTATTTGCCATCCATATATCTTATTTGGTGAGATGTATTTAAGGTCTTTGGCCAATTTTTAAATTGGGTTGTTTGTTTTCTTGTTGTTGAGTTTTAAGAGTTCTTTGTATGTTTTGGATAACAATTCTTTATCAAATGTGTCTTTTGGAAATATTTTCTCCCGGTTTTTGGCTTGTCTTCTCATTCTTTTGACAGTGTCTTATGCAGAGCAGAAATTTTATTTTTAATGAGGTCTAGCTTATCAATACGTTCTCTCATTTGGTGCTATATCTAAAAAGTCATTGCCAAACCCCAAAGTCATCTAGATTTTCTCCCAGGTTTCATCTTTTGTAGTTGTATCACAATTCTTGGAGATTCTGTTCTGGTTCCCCTCATCCCCCCAGTCTTTTTTCTCTTTGCTTTCAGTTTTGCACCTTTCAACTGAGATATACTCAAGCTCAGAAACTCTTTCTTCAGCCATTTCCAGTCTACTAATATGTCCATCAAAGGCATTGTTTATTTCTATTGAAGCGTTTTTCTTCTCCAGCATTTCTTTTTATTTCTTAGAATTTCCATCTGTTTACATTATCTGTTGGTTTTTGCACACTGTTTACTTTGTCCATTAGAGCCCTTAGCATATTAATCACAGTTTAAAAAAATGTCTGGTCTGATAATTCCAGTATTATTGCCATGTCAGTGTCTGGTTCTGATACCCTGTATCTTCAGACTATGTTTTTCACCTCTTAGGATTCCCTGTACTTTTTTCTTCCTAGCCAGGCATGATGTATGGGTAAAAGGAATTGCTTTAAATAGGTTTTTAGTAAGGTATGGGCAAGTGCAGGGGGCAGGGGGAATATTCTGTAGTCCTATGAGTACATCTCAGTTTTTTAATGAGCCTTTGCCTCTGGAATGTGAAGTTCACTGGTGCTTCTCAGATCCCTGCTCACTGCCCTCCTCCCTCTTTAGGTGGGACAGAATGACTAGAGGGGGCTGGAGTTAGGTATTTCCCTTCCCTCTGGTATGTTCAGCTCCGATATAAACCCAGCAGGCTGGGTTCTGGTAAACTAGTTGCTTCTGAGAGTAGATCTTTGTAAGGGTAGAGTACTCCTGCATATTTCAAAATAGCTACTTCCCCCTTCCTCTTGCCAGAAGCACCAGCTTTTTCTCTGACATTCACCGTGAGAACCTGGCTGAGTTCATGCAGGTAAAACTCACAACAGTGTGGGGACCCCCATGTTACTGAGTCCTCCTAGAGTTTTTGACCCTCAGACTTGTCAACACTGAGCCTCCATCAATTTGTCATTTACAGTTTAAGTTTTTCTCCCATGGCACTCATTTCTGCTTGTAGGTTTCTACATGGATAAATTGTGGTTCTTCATATCTGCCTGTCTACCTGTCTAATTTTTGGGGCACTGGTTTGCCCTGTGACCTCACCTCTCTTACAGATCTAAGAAAAGTTGGTTTTTCAGTTTGTTCAGTTTTTTACCTGTTAGGACAGAGTTGCAACTTATAAGCTCCTTCCATGCCAGACGTGAAACCATCCCCAAACTGATTTTTTAAATATCCCATATCTTTATAAAAGTAATAGGAGGCAACCTAAAATAAAAATATAAAATCCTCTCCCTCCCCCTAAAAAAGCCTAAGACAGAAGATACACTTCAATAAATGCAGAGGAAGGAGATAGGAAACCCATATTAAAATATCCAGACAATAGATATGACCCTAATTTACCCAGAATTCTCAAGCTCCAGAGATCATGGCAGACAGAGATACTGTTAGAATTTGCCTAATTCTCCACTGGCACTATGAAACCAATTTTAACTATTGTGTACACACACACACACACACACACACACACACACACACACACACATCTTCCTTTCCCAGGTTCATGCCATTAGGACATCCACTTCTTATCTTTGTCTTTTATATTATCTGTTAAGTTGTATGCCAGTGACTTTCAAACTTGACTCTATGCCTGAATTACCTGGGATTCTTGTTAAGATGCAGATTCTGATTCAGCAGGCCCGAAGTGGGGTCTTAGATTTTGTATTATTAACAAGCTTCTAGATGATGCTATTGGACCATACTGCAAGTACCATGAAGGTTCTAAAGCAGCCACCAATATTTACTAAGAACTTTACCAGCTGGCCTGTAGTCTTTTCACATTGACCTGTGCCATAATCCTAGGTTATCTCTTTTATTTATTTTTCTGAGATGGAGTCTTACTCTGTCGCCCAGGCTAGAGTGCAGTGACATGAGCTCAGCTCACTGCAACCTCCACTTCCTGGGTTCAAGTGATCCTCCTGCCTCAGCCCTCCAAGTAGCTGGGATTACAGGTGTGTGCCACCAACCCAGCTGATTTTTTTTTTTTTTTTTGGTAGAGGTGGGGTTTCACCATATTGGCCAGGCTTCTGTTGAACTCCTGACCTCAAGTAATATGCCTGCCTCAGCCTCCCGAAGTGCTGGGATTACAGGCGTGAGCCACCGTGCCTGCCATCTCTTTTAATTATTTCATTTCAACTTCTATAAATTTTATTTTCACTGCATTTTTAAGCCATAATCTTACCTAGATTTTATCATTAGAACTCTCCCACCTCTAAATCCTGTATTTCAGGGTATTACTTTGATTTTATCTTTTAGCTTTCTTACTACCTTACTTATAGGGAGCTGGGTCTCTAACCTCAGTGAGATTTCCAGACCCTGACATCATTATTTTACCTGAGCCTAACAGTCTCCTTCTTACAGTATATTCTTTGCTGAACCTGAAGTTCACCTCCACCGTTTAAATGTCTTTCATACCTTCATCTTTCTTGTCTTTTGCTTACCCATCCCTGTATCAGAATTGCAGTTCAGCTTCTCCATTTCTTTAGCTAGGTTGCTGAATATATCTAACAGAAAATTATATTCTCCAGATTGGTGCCATTACAAATTTATGGTATTCATTCTCGGCTGGGCTCTTGTTTTTTTGTTTCATTTTGTTTTAAATTGAGACAGAGTCTTGCTCTGTCGCCCATGCTGGAGTGCAGTGGCGCAATCTCGGCTCACTGCAACCTCCACCGCCTGGGTTCAAGCAATTCTCTTGCCTCAGCCTCTCAAGTAGCTGGGATTACAGGCATGCACCACCACGCCCAGCTAATTTTTGTATTTTTAGTAGAGATGGGATTTCGCCGTGTTGGCCAGGCTGGTCTCGAACTCCTGAAGTCTGGTGGTCTGCCCTCACTGGCCTCCGAAAGTGCTGGGATTAGAGGAGTGAGCCACTGCGCTTAGCCGGTTGGGCTCTTAATGCTGCTGTTTTTTGACCCTAGACTTTCCTGGATGAGGAAGGCATTCTTTTGCATGCATCTGAAAAGTTTACCACTAGAGAGAAAACACTTTTGAGGAACTAAAGGAGATATTGTGTGTGTGTGTGTGAGTGCCCATGTAGAAATAAGGACGAAGTATTCTGGAAAATAGAAAATGTTGTTTAGTGTTTCTTAGCAGTTAACAAATGAAAGAGCCCCGCTCTTCAAGTGGCTCTTGCTATGTCTCTTGCTATTGTCAGGTTAAGCCATAACTCTCTGTTTCTCATCTTATGCAGTTTAAGGATAATATATTAGATGAATGCTGAAGAAAGTGTTAGTTATTTATCTAGGGGAAGGCTTAGCATCTAGATAGGGAAAGGATGAGGAAAAAGAGATATAAGGACAGCTTTTACCAAGAGAGATAATAGGAATGAAGTGAAAATGGGGAAAAAATGTGATCTCTTGGGTGAGAGAAGGTAGATTAACAAATGAATTTGAGGCTAAGTCACTCAGCCTTATGTCGTAGACATGAATATAAAGAACCTATTTTGTATTACAAATACTGTTAATAGATATATCATGGATTTTTACATTTTGTATTTAAACAGGCAGTTTGGAAATCTTCTGACTAAGCATTTTGAATAATTGATATTCAGAATATCATTTGTCATCTATGAAGATATTTGATGAAATGAATTTGCATTTAAACATTCGTGATGATTCTGAGTAGGAAAAATACACAGAAGAACAAAGCACTTAATTATGTTTCTTTAAAAATAAACGCCACAAAAAGCATTTAAAAATAAGATAAAATATAGTATGTAGAGAACAACTATATCTCAGAATTTAGATTATTTTGTAACTGTATACAGGATAATAGAATATGTATTTTAATGTATACATTATATTGAAAGATTTGTAGAATCTTTTTTTTTTTTTTTTTTTTTTGAGATGGAGTCTCACTCTGTCACCCGGGCTGGAATGCAGTGGCACAATCTCGGCTCACTGCAACCTCCGCCTCCTAGGTTCAGGTAATTCTCCTGCCTCAGCCTCCCAAGTTGCTGGGACTACAGGCATGCACCACCACGCCCAGCTAATTTTTGTATTTTTAGTAGAGACAGGGTTTCACCATGTTGGTCAGGCTGGTCTTGAACTCCCGACCTTGTGTTCCATCCACCTCAGCCTCCCAAAATGCTGGGATTACAGGTGTAAGCCACCACGCCTAGCCAAGATCTTGTAGAATCTTTAAAAAAAATCTTCAGACACAGCTTAAATATCACTCTTTTAACCCTTTGTAAATGAACTCAGTCTCCTTTCTTTCAAAGTTCCCTTTAGGTCTAGGTTATTTCTTTTTTTTTATTTTTATTTTTATTATTATACTTTAAGTTCTAGGGTACATGTGCACAATGTGCAGGTTTGTTACATATGTATACATGCGCCATGTTGGTGTGCTGCACCCATTAACTCGTCATTTGCATTAGGTATGTCTCCTAATGCTATCCCTCCCCGCTCTCCCCACCCCACGACAGGCCCTGGTGTGTGATGTTCCCCTTCCTGTGTCCAAATGTTCTCATTGTTCAATTCCCACCTATGATTGAGAACATGTGATGTTTGGTTTTTTGTCCTTGTGATAGTTTGCTGAGAATGATGGTTTCCACCTTCATCCATGTCCCTACAAAGGACATGGACTCATCCTTTTTTATGGCTGCATAGTATTCCATGGTGTATATGTGCCACATTTTCTTAATCCAGTCTATCATTGTTGGACATTTTTGTATTTTTTTAGTAGAGATGGGGTTTCACCGTGCTAGCCAGGATGGTCTTGATCTCCTGACCTCGTGATCCACCCGCCTTGGCCTCCCAAAGTGCTGGTGTTGATTTCTTTTTCAGCTAGTTTGTTATTGCTGTATGTAAATGCTACTGATTTTTGTATGTTGATTTTGTATCCTGTTACTTTACTGAGTTTGTTTAGTAATTATAAGAGTTTTTTGGTGGAGTTTGTGGGGTGCACGGTAACATATTCAGGCTTATGTACAAGGCATTTGAGGTCAGGGCATGGAAAAATACTGAGGCACTGTGTGTATGTTATTTGTGCATGAGACTAAAACTCCTTGACCCTGAAAACAGGACGGGAAGTTGAGTTCATGGTATGATAAGGAACGCTGAAAACAGCCTCCTAATAATGCAGTTTAAGTGTTTTTACAAGGCCACAGGTGTCTCACGACCCAGCCTCAAAAAAGCCATCTAGTGGATGTTTGTGGTTTAACAAGCCCTTTCTATAAGTAATTGGTGGGCGGATGCTGGGGCGGACTCTCTTAGAAAAGCTGCCCCTCACCCCGCTCAGCTGAAATTGTCTAAAAACTTCTTGGCATTCACTGCAAGCTATAAGCTCTGCAGAGTTAAGGGTTTTCTGTATAGAAAGTCATATCATCTGCAAACAGGGACAATTTGATTTCTTCTCTCCCAATTTGGATTCCCTTTATTTATTTTATTTATCTTGCCTAATTGCTCTGGCTAGGACTTCCAGTACTGTGTGGAATAAGAGTGGCAAGAGTGGGCATCCTTGTCTTGTTCCAGTTCCTAGAGGAAAAGATTTCAACTTTTCCTCATTCAGTAAGATGTTAGCTGTGGTTTTGTCATTTATTGCCTTTATCGTGTTTAGATACATACTTTCTGTACCTAATTTATTGAGAATTTTTATCACGAATGACTGGCAAATTTTGTTAAATGCTTTTTCTGTATTTGTTGAGATGATCATATAGTTTATGTTCTTTCTGTCAATGTGATGTGTCACAATTTGATACAAATGGTAAACCATCCTTGCATTCCTGGGATGAATCCTACTTGATCATGGTGTATCATCTTTTGAATGCACTATTAGATTTGGTTTTCTAATATTTTGTTGACAATTTTTACATCTATGCTCATCAGGGATATTGGCCTGTAGTTTTGCTTTTTTGTTGTGTTCTTGTTTGGTTTTGGTATCAGAGTAGTGCTGATACCAGACTCATAGAATGAGTTTGGAAGCATTCCTCCACTTCAGTTTTTTGAAATACTTTGAGAGGAATTGGTGTTAGTTCTTCTTTAAGAGTTTGAGGCCGAGCATGGTGGCTAACACCTGTAATCCTAGCACTTTGGGAAGCCAAGGTGGGTGGATTGTTTGAGCTCAGAAGCTTGAGACCAGCCTGGGCAATATGGTGAAACACTGTCTCTACAAAAAATATAAAAATTAGCCAGATGTGGTGGCTTGTGCCTATAGTTCCAGCTACTTGAGGGGCTGAGGCCAGAGGATTGCCTGAGCTTAGGAGGCAAAGATTGCAGTGAGCTGAGATTGTGCCACTGTACTTCAGCCTGGGTGATACAGAGAGAGAACCTGTCTCCAAAAAAAAAAAAAAAAAAAAAGAGTTTGATAGAATTCAGCAGTAAAGCGATTCAGTCCTGGGCTTTTCTTTTTTTTTTTCTGAGTCGGAGTCTCGCTGTGTTGCCCAGGCTGGAGTGCAGTGGCACGATCTTGGCTTACTGCAAACTCTGCCTCCTGGGTTCACGCCATTCTCCTGCCTCAGCCTCCTGAGTAGCTGTGACTACAGGCGCCTGCCACCACGCCCAGCTAATATTTTTTGTATTTTTAGTACAGACACAGTTTCACCATTTTAGCCAGGATGGTCTTGATCTCCTGACCTTGTGGTCCACCCGCCTTGGCCTCCCAAAGTGCTGGGATTAGAGGTGTGAGCCACCGCATCCGGCCTGTCCTGGGCTTTTCTTTGATGCGAGACTTTTTATTATTGATCCCATCTTATTACTCATTATTGGCCTGCTCAGGTTTGTTGTTTCTTTCTGGTTCAATCTTGGTAGGTTGTATTTTTCCAGGAATTTATCCATTTCTTCTTGGTTTTCCAATTTTTTGGCATATATTTGCTTATAGTAGTCTTTAATGATCCTTTGTATTTATGTGGTCTTGGTTGTAATTCCTCTATTTTCACTTCTGATTTTATTTATCTGGGTCTTCTCTCATTTTTCCTAGTATAGCTAATGGTTTGTCAAATTTGATTATCTTTAAAAAACGCTTTTTGTTTCATTCATCTTTTGTATTTTTTAAAGTCTCTATTTCATTTACTTTCACTCTAATCTTTATTCTTTCTTTCCTTCCAGTAATTTTGGTTTTGATTTGTTCCTTTTTAGTTCCTTGAGGTACATCAATATGTTAGGTATTTGAAATCTTTCTACTTTTTTTATACAGGTGTTTCTTGATGGTAAACTTTCCTCTTAGAACTGCTTTTGCTGTATTTCACAGGTTTCGATAGGTTGTATTTTTTTGTATTTGTTTCATGAAATTTTAAAATTTCCTTTTTAATTTTTTCGTTGACCCATTGGTCATTCAGGGGCATGCTGTTTAATTTCCCTGTATTTGTACTATTTCCAAAGTTCCTCTTGGTATTGATTTTTAGTTTTATTCCGTTGTGATCAGAGGAGATAGTATGTGTTTTTTCAGTTTTTAAAAATTTGTTGAGATTTGTTTTGTGGCCTAACATATGGCCTATCCTGGAGAATGGTCCATGTGCTGATGAGAAGAATGTGTATTCTGCAGCTGTTGAATGAAATGTTCTGTTAATGTTTGTTAGGTCCATTTGGTCTATAGTACAGTTTAAGTCTGATGTTTCTCTGTTGTTTTTTTGTTGAGATTGTTTGTTCATTGCTGAGAATTGGATGTTGAAATCCTCAACTGTTATTGTATTGGATTCAGTCTCTTCCCTTAGACTGAATATTTGCTTTGTACATTTGGATGCTTTGTTGTAGGTGTGTAGATATTTACAATTGTTATATCCTCTTCCTGCATTGATTCCTTCGTGATTATGTAATGACCTTTTTGGTCTTTTTTTAAAAGTCAATTTAATCTTATATAAGTATAGTTCTTCCTGCTTTGTTATTTATTTATTTATTTGAGACAGAGTCTTTCTTTGTTGCCCAGGTTGGTATGCAGTGGAGCGATCTCGGCTCACTGCAACCTCTGCCTCCCGGGTTCAAGCGTTTCTCCTGTCTCAGCCTCCTGAGTAGCTGGGATTACAGGTGTGCACCACCACACCTGGCTAATTTTTGTATTTTTAGTAGAGATAGGGTTTCACCATGATGGCCAGGCTGGTCTTGAACTCTTGACCTCAGGTGATCTACCCACCTGGGCTCCTAAAGTGCTAGGATTACAGGTGTGAGCCACTGCGCCCCACCCCTGCTTTGTTTTTATTTCCATTTGCATGGAATCTTTTTTGCATCCCATATCTTTAAGTCTGTCTTGGAATCTTTTTCATCCTATACCTTTCAGTCTGTCTGTCTTTACATGTAAAGTGAGTTTTTTGTGGGCAAAATATAGTTGGGATTTTTAAAAAGAAATCCGTTCAATCACTCTATATCTTTAATTTGGGAATTTAATAACAGTCAAGATTATTGATGATACATTGAGGACTTACTCCTGTTATATTATTGATTGTTTTTTGATTGTTTTGAATTTCCTTTGTTCTCTTTTTTCCTCTCTTGTTTATCTTTGCAGTTCGGTTGATGTCTGTAGTGATAAGGTTTGATTTCTCTCTTTTTCAGCTGTGTATCTGTTCTACCTGAATTTTATACTTTATACTGTTTTCATGAGGCAGTTATTGTCCTTTTGCTTCCAGATGAAGGATGCCTTTAAGCATTTGTTGTAAAGCTGGTCTTATGGTGATGAATTCCCTCAGTTTTTGCTTGCCTGGGAAATACTTTATTTCATCTTCATTTCCGATTTTTGCTGGGTATAGTATTCTTGTTTGGCAGTTTATTTTGTTTTCACAGTTTAGATGTATCATCCTATTCTCTTCTGGTGGGTGAGCTTTCTTCTGAGAAATCTTCTGGTGGTTTAATGACAATTTCCTTATATGTGGCTTGACAGTTTCTTTTCCCTCTGCTTTTCGAATTCTCTTTTTTTTCTTTCGTTTTTGATATTTTGATTGTAATGTGGCTTGGAGACTACCTTTTTGGCTTGATTCTATTTGGGGACTTTTGAGCTTCTTCATTTGAATGTTTATAACTCTCCCATGACTTGGGAAACTTACAACTGTAATTTCATTAAACATGTTTTTGGTGCCTTTTTTCATCTCTTCTCCCTCCAGTATTCCCATAATGCAAAAATTTGTTTGCTTAGTGGTGTCTCATAAGTCCTGTAGGTGTTCTTCATTCTTTTTTATTCTCCTTTTTTGTTCCTCCTACTGAGTTATTTCAAAAGACCTGTTTTCAAGTTCAGAAATTCTTTCTTCTGATGATCTATTCTATTGTTGAAGCTATTGATTTTATTTATCATTTCATTTATTGAATTCTTCAGCTCCAAGATTTCTGTTTGGACCTCTTCTATGATATGTATCTCTTTGTTGGGTTTTCACTCAGATAACAATTTTTTTCCTGATTTCTTTTTATTATCTGTCTTTATTCTTTTGTATTTCAGTAAATTTTCTTACAATCATTATTATTATTTTTTTTTTTTTTGAGACGGAGTCTTGCTCTGTCACCCAGGCTGGAGTACAGTGGCGCAGCCTCGGCTCACTGCAAGCTCCGCCTCCCGGGTTCACGCCATTCTCCTGCCTCAGCCTCTCCGAGTAGCTGGGACTACAGGCGCCCACCACCACGCCCGGCTAATTTTTTTTTTTTTTTTAATTTTTATTTTTTTTATTTTTTTTTATTTTTAGTAGAGACGGGGTTTCACCGTGGTCTCGATCTCCTGACCTCGTGATCCTCCCGCCTCGGCCTCCCAAAGTGCTGGGATTACAAGCGTGAGCCACCGCGCCTGGCCACAATCATTATTTTTAATTATTTTTCATGCATTTTGTAGATTTCCTTTTCTTTGAAGTCTCTTATGGGATAATTATCATGTTCTTTGGAGGCGTCATTTTTCTTTGCTTTATCATTCTTCTTTTGTCCCCATATTAATATCTGCAAAACTAGTGGAACAGTCACCTCTACCAATTTTTTATAGTAGCTTTGTAGGGAAAGACTTTTTCTTGTAGTTGTTTCCTGTCATGTTGGATGTGTAGGGTAATTTAGCTTTAGTTCTGGTTGTATATAGTAATGTGGTCTCTGTGTGGTATTTTTGGCTGTAATCAGCATGTATTAGTCCATTCTCATACTGCTATAAAGAACTACCTGAGACTGGGTAATTTATGAAGAAAAAAGGTTTAATCGATTTACAGTTCCACATGTCTTGGGAGGCCTCAGGAAACTTATAATCATGGTGGAAGGCAACAGGGAAGCATAGAACTTCTTCACATGGTGGCAGGAGAGAGAGAGAGAGTGAAGAGGGAAGTACTACTTTTAAACCATCAGATTTCATGAGAACTCACTCACTATTATGAGAACAGCATGAGGAAAACCACCTGCATGATTTGATCACCTCCCACCAGGTCCCTCCCTTGACAGGTGGGGATTACAATTCAAGATGAGATTTGGATGGGGACACAGAGCTAAACCATATCATTTGGCCCCTGGTCCCTCCCAAATCTCATGTCCTTTTCACATTTTGAAATGCAGTCATGCACTCCCAACAGTTCCCCAGAGTCTTAACTTATTCCAGCATTAACTTAAAGGTCCAAGTCCAAAGTCTCATCTGAGACAAGGCAAGTCCCTTCCGCCTATGAGCTTGTAAAATAAAAAACAAGTTAGTTACTTCCAAGATACAATGGGAGTATAGGCATTGGGTAAATGTTTCTGTTTGAAATGGGAGAAATTGACCAAAACAATGGGGCCACAGGCCCCATGCAAGTCTGAAACCTGGCAGGGCACCCATTAAATCTTAAAGCTCCAAAATAATCTTTGACTCCATGTCTCACATTTAGGGCATGCTGATGCAAGGGGTGGGCTTCAAAGGCTTGGCCAGCTCTGCCCCTGTGGCTTTGCAGGTACAGCCTCTGTGGCTGCTTCCACAAGCTGGCATTGAGTGCCTGTGGCTTTTCCAAGTGCACAGTGCAAGCTGTTGGTGGATCTACCATGCTGGGGTCTGGAGAATAGTGGCCCTCTTCTCCCAGCTCCACTAGGCAGTGTCCCAGCGGGGACTCTGTGTGGGGGTTTCAAACCCCATATTTTCCCTCTGCATTGCCCTAGTAGAGGTTTTCCATTAGGGCTCCACCCTGGCAGTAGACTTCCATACATCCTCTGAAACTTAGGAGGAGGTTCCCAAAGCTCAATTCTTGCCTTCTGTGCTCCTACAGGCCCAACTGCATGGAGGCCACCAAGGCTTGGGGCTTGCATTCTCTGAAGTAATGGCCTGAATTGTACCTTGGCCTCTTTTAGCCATGGCTGGAGCCTGGAGGAGCTGGGACACAGGGTGCCATGTCCCAAGGCCCCACCCACAAAACCATTTTTCCTTCCTAGGCCTCTGGCCTGTGCTGGGAGGGGCTGTCATGAAGTTCTCTGAAACGCCCTGGAGACATTCTCCCCATTGTCTTGGTGATTAACATTTTGCTCCTCATTACTTATGCAAATTTCTGCAGCCTGCTTGAATTTTTCCCTAAAAAATGGGTTTTTCTTTTCTGTCACATCATCAAACTGCAAATTTTCTAAACTCTTGTGCCCTGCTTCCCTGTTAAACATAAGTTCCAATTTCAGATCATCTCTTTGTGAACACATATGACTATATACTTTCAGAAAAAGCCAGGTTGCTTCTTGAATGCTTTGCTGCTTAGAAATTTATTCTGCCAGGTACCCTAAGTCATCTCTCTCAAGTTTAGAGATCCCCAGATCTCTGAGGCAGAGGCAAAATGCTACCAGTCTCTTCGCTAAAGCATAGCAAGAGTGACCTTTACTCCAGTTCCCAAGAAGTTCCTCATCTCCATCTGAGACCATCTTAGCCTGGACTTCATTGTCCATATTACTATCAGCATTTTGGTCAAAACCATTCAACAAGTCTCTAAGATATTCCAAAGTTTTCCACATCTTCCTGTCTTCTTCTGCACTCTCCAAACTGTTCCAACCTCAGCCTGTTACCCAATTCCAAAGTTGCTCCCACATTGTCAGGTTATCTTTATAGCAGTACCCCAGTATCCTGGTACCAATTTCCTGTATTAGTCTGTTTTCATACTGCTAAAAAGAACTACCTAAGACTGGATAATTAATGAAGAAAAAAGGTTTAATGAACTCACATGTTCCACATGGCTGGGGAGGTCTCAGGAAACTTACAATCATGGCAGAAGTGGAAGCAGGGACTTTCTTCATATGGTGGCAATAAACAGAGAGAGAGAAGGGGGAAGTGCCACTTTTTAACCATCAGATCTCGTGAGAACTCACTCACTATCATGAGAACAGCATGAGGGAACTGCCCCCATGGTACAATCATCTACCAATGGGTGGGGATTACATTTCTAGATGAGATTTGGGTAGTGACACAGAACCAAACCATATCACAGCGTCAGTGATGTCTGCAAATGACTCAGTAGCCTAGTGGTTTATGGAAGGAGTGGTGTGGCTTTTCTCACTGTGAAGCCAACTGAGTGGGCCGGTTCTCAGGCCCTGAGTAGGTACATGTAGTGTCCAGTGGCTCCACTGGTCACAGGGCCATGGTTGCCAGTGGCAGAAGGTGGCAGGTGGGCCAGGCCTCAGATCTGGGAGGTGTATGCAGCCTATGGTGGCACTGTTGATCAAAGAAATGGGGTTGCTGGTGGCAGTGGGTGCTGGCCCACCATTCCTCACACCCTGGGAGGCATGTATGTTGGCTCCCCTAGCCTGCTTTCTGTGCTAGACCACCGGGAGTATAGTACACAGTGTGGTACCTGGTGCCAGGATCATGGCTGTCCCATGGGTCTAGCTGAAGTCATAGCATTACAAGTATATAGGCATAGTGAAATGACAGTGGAGCCCCATGGATGTGGCAATGCAGGGGCTGTTGGTCCCAGGTCAGGATGAAGTCTAGAAGTGGCACTATTCCCAAAAAGGTGCTGTGCTAGTACACCTTGGGTCCTGGGGAGTGGGGGTTGCCAGTGTGAATTTTTTATCTGGAGCAGAGCAGCTGTGTGGACTAAAGGCAGCTTCCTATCCCGGGCTCAGGGCCTGTGACAACTGTGGGGCTGCCATCCTGAGTTTCTGTGCTTCACAGGGTTTTTGTCACTTCCTTGCTGAATTTCAGTGTTCTTCTTTAGACTATCTACTTGAAGTACAGTCATTTATTTGTTTTCGCCTTCACACCATGGTAAAGCTGAAAAATCATAAGTTAAATCATTGTAAGTCAGAGACCATATATACTTGAAAAATGCTAAGACAGTAGATTTTAAATGTTCTCTCTACAAAAAATGGTAACTATGAGAGATAATAGATATATTAATTATCTTGATATAGCCATTCCACGATGTCTGCATATATTAAAACAGCATGTTGTACTCCCTCTCCTTCTTCATAAAGAAGATGAATGTTGGGCACGTCTAGTCCACCATCTTGATGACCCCTATTCTCTTACCTAAATAGTTGGTGAGATAAATTTTTCACAGTAGAAGTATTTGAACTGACAAGAATGAGTAATAGAATTATTGTATCATCATTTTTTAACCCTTAATGAAAAAGTATAAGATCTAGGCAGCAATTATCACCGACTTCTAATATCACACACAGAGAGAAAATAATCTAAGTAGTTAGCATAAATTATGGAGTAGTCATGCCAAATATTTAGACCAGAATCTGATTAAGTCTCCAGATCTAACTACTAATTTGTAGGTAATACATGAAACAGAGAAACATGGTAAGTGAAACTATGAGAATGCAATAAGTAAATGTAGAGTATGGAAAATCCTGTAGGAGAAACAACCCAGTTTTTCAACAAATAAATTGTAAGAAAAAATTAAAGGAAAGATAATCTATAGATTTAGAAGATTGTGGGTTTTAAATTGATAATGTCAAGAGGGTTTTCTTTTTTTTTTTTTTTTTTTTTCTATTTGAGATCTTGCCAATAGATTCATTTTTATTTTTCTTGTTGCAGGCAAGCATATTAGGGGCTGGCTAAGCAAAAAAAAAATTTTTTTTATTATTATTATACTTTAAGTTTTAGGGTACATGTGCACAATGTGCAGGTTAGTTACATATGTATACATGTGCCATGTTGGTTTGCTGCACCCATTAACTCGTCATTTAGCATTAGGTATATCTCCTAATGCTATCCCTCCCCCCTCCCCCCACCCCACAACAGTCCCCACAGTGTGATGTTCCCCTTCCTGTGTCCATGCGTTCTCATTGTTCAATTCCCATCTATGAGTGAGAACATGCAGTGTTCGGTTTTTTGTCCTTGCGATAGTTTACTGAAAATGATGATTTCCAATTTCATCCATGTCCCTACAAAGGACATGAACTCATCGTTTTTTATGGCTGCATAGTATTCCATGGTGTATATGTGCCACATTTTCTTAATCCAGTCTATCATTGTTGGACATTTGGGTTGGTTCCAAATCTTTGCTATTGTGAATAGTGCCGCAATAAACATACGTGTGCATGTGTCTTTATAGCAGCAGGATTTATAGTCCTTTGGGTATATACCCAGTAATGGGATGGCTGGGTCAAATGGTATTTCTAGTTCTAGATCCCTGAGGAATCGCCACACTGACTTCCACAATGGTTGAACCAGTTTACAGTCCCACCAACAGTGTAAAAGTGTTCCTATTTCTCCACATCCTCTCCAGCACCTGTTGTTTCCTGACTTTTCAATGATCACCATTCTAACTGGTGTGAGATGTATCTCATTGTGGTTTTGATTTGCATTTCTCTGATGGCCGGTGATGCTGAGCATTTTTTCATGTGTTTTTTGGCTTCATAAATGTCTTCTTTTGAGAAGTGTCTGTTCATGTCCTTCGCCCACTTTTTGATGGAGTTGTTTGTTTTTTTCTTGTAAATTTGTTTGAGTTCATTGTAGATTCTGGATATTAGCCCTTTGTCAGATGAGTAGGTTGCAAAAATTTTCTCCCATTTTGTAGGTTGCCTGTTCACTCTAATGGTAGTTTCCTTTGCTGTGCAGAAGCTCTTTAGTTTAATTAGATCCCATTTGTCAATTTTGGCTTTTGTTGCCATTGCTTTCGGTGTTTTAGACATGAAGTCCTTGCCCATGCCTATGTCCTGAATGGTAATGCCTAGGTTTTCTTCTAGGGTTTTTATGGTTTTAGGTCTAACGTTTAAGTCTTTAATCCATCTTGAATTAATTTTTGTATAAGGTGTAAGGAAGGGATCCAGTTTCAGCTTTGTACATATGGCTAGCCAGTTTTCCCAGCACCATTTATTAAATAGGGAATCCTTTCCCCATTGCTTATTTTTCTCAGGTTTGTCAAAGATCAGATAGTTGTAGATAATGCGGCGTTATTTCTGAGAGCTCTGTTCTGTTCCATTGGTCTATATCTCTGTTTTGGTACCAGTACCATGCTGTTTTGGTTACTGTAGCCTTGTAGTATAGTTTGAAGTCAGGTAGCATGATGCCTCCAGCTTTGTTCTTTTGGCTTAGGATTGACTTGGTGATGCGGGCTCTTTTTTGGTTCCATCTGAACTTTAAAGTAGTTTTTTCGAATTCTGTGAGGAAAGTCATTGGTAGCTTGATGAGGATGGCATTGAATCTATAAATTTCCTTGGGCAGTATGGTCATTTTCACGATATTGATTCTTCCTACCCATGAGCATGGAATGTTCTTCCATTTGTTTGTATCCTCTTTTATTTCCTTGAGCAGTGGTTTGTAGTTCTCCTTGAAGAGGTCCTTCACGTCCCTTGTAAGTTGGATTCCTAGGAGTTTTATTCTGTTTGAAGCAATTGTGAATGGGAGTTCACTCATGATTTGGCTCTCTGTTTGTCTGTTATTGCTGTATAAGAATGCTTGTGATTTCTGTACATTGATTTTGTATCCTGAGACTTTGCTGAAGTTGCTTATCAGCTTGAGGAGATTTTGGGCTGAGACAATGGGGTTTTCTAGATATACAATCATGTCGTCTGCAAACAGGGACAATTTGACTTCCTCTTTTCCTAATTGAATACCCTTTATTTCCTTCTCCTGCCTAATTGCCCTGGCCAGAACTTCCAACACTATGTTGAATAGGAGTGGTGAGAGAGGGCATCCCTGTCTTGTGTCCGTTTTCAAAGGGAAAGCTTCCAGTTTTTGCCCATTCAGTATGATATTGGCTGTGGGTTTGTCATAGATAGCTCTTATTATTTTGAGATACGTCCCATCAATACCTAATTTATTGAGAGTTTTTAGCATGAAGGGTTGTTGAATTTTGTCAAAGGCCTTTTCTGCATCTATTGAGATAATCATGTGGTTTTTGTCTTTGGTTCTGTTTATATGCTGGATTACATTTATTAATTTGCATATATTGAACCAGCCTTGCATCCCAGGGATGAAGCCCACTTGATTATGGTGAATAAGCTTTTTGATGTGCTGCTGGATTCGGTTTGCCAGTATTTTATTGAGGATTTTTGCATCAATGTTCATCAAGGATATTGGTCTAAAATTCTCTTTTTTGGTTGTGTCTCTGCCTGGCTTTGGTATCAGGATGATGCTGGCCTCATAAAATGAGTTAGGGAGGATTCCCTCTTTTTCTGTTGATTGGAATAGTTTCAGAAGGAATGGTACCAGTTCCTTCTTGTACCTCTGGTAGAATTCGGCTGTGAATCCATCTGGTCCTGGACTCTTTTTGGTTGGTAAGCTATTGATTATTGCCACAATTTCAGAGCCTGTTATTGGTCTATTCAGAGATTCAACTTCTTCCTGGTTTAGTCTTGGGAGGGTGTATATGTTGAGGAATTTATCCATTTCTTCCAGATTTTCTAGTTTATTTGCATAGAGGTGTTTGTAGTATTCTCTGATGGTAGTTTGTATTTCTGTGGGATCGGTCTCTTTTCAAGGAGACTCCCTATATTTTAGAGTTACGTTGCTAAAATACATGTAGATGAAATGATATGATATCTGAAGGGTAAATGTGGAATGAGTAAATAAGACTGGGCATAAATTGATAATTTTTGAAACTAAGTGATAAATAGTACATGAGGGTTCATGTACTGTTTATTCTTTTTGCTTTTTCTTCTTTCATGTGTTTATATTTCCTGTAATTAAATGTAAAACAAAACAGAAGCCATGTGCTTAGATCATAACTCAAACCCTTTTTTTAGCCTTGAGGTTCAACCTAGTCTGACCTCTACTTACCTCATCTCTACCATGCTTACCCAAGTTCAGAGTACATTTATTTTCTTCCCTTTTTTTCAGATATACCAATTTCATTAACACTTTAGGGCCCTTGAACTTATGGCTGTTCTCTCTATCTGGAAACTTTACCCTTTAGATCATTAGTGTTTATTTCTCGATATACAGGTCTTATCTTAAATGTCATCTCAGAAGAGCAGGCTGTCACCATCACTATCATCTTATCTTATTTTCTTCAAAATGCTCATCATGATTTGATGTCTCCTTTTATATTTATTGATAGTTTCCATCCATTAGAGTGTAAGTTCCATGGTGGTGATGCTGTCTTCTTGACTATCTTGTTCACTGTTAACTTTGCAGTACTTCAAACAAGTACTTGGCAAATATGGTACTCAATGTTTATTGAGTGAATCAATTAAAAGTTCATAAAGCTGTTTAATTATAAGACATGATTAATCTTTTAATATATAACATCAGCAATATATAGTACAATTGCCTAGCAAAAGTATTTGAAATTCAGTTGGCATTTTCATTATTAATGTTTTCAAAGGCTCATGTGTGGGAAAATTAGCTCTTAGCAAAGCTTCAGAAAAATGTAGAAAATTCACAAAATGTCAAATTTTCTCTTAGCATTTATTTTAAAATACCTGCATTTTCCGTAATTAATGTCATGTCTTGTTTAAGGCTGTTTTTTATATCCAGATAAGCAGAGATTAAGTTTTATGTGTGTTTATATGTGATATGAAAATTGGGTAATAGTTCTTGGCTTGTTAATAATTATGAAATATTTTCAATTATATCTCCCATCAAAAAGGAACTGAGAAACACCTTAGAAATAAATGCATAGAAGAGATGAGACCATAAAATTATAAGACCTACTCTTTTTTAAAAAAATACATGAAATACTATTTTGTCATTCAAAATAACTACTGAGGGAAGTTGTCCATAATGGTTATTGAATAAAATGATCTGTTTTACTAATGAAGTAATTTTGCATTCTACTGTTTAGTATTGAAGATTCATGTAGGATGCAAAAACTCGTGGGTTCCCTTCTCCTGAGTGTTAAAGAAGACAAGCTTTTCCTCCATGGCACAATAGGGGATGAAGACTTAGGCTTGTTTTACCATAGCCAGGTGGACGGTTCCTCTTACCATCCTCCATGTATGGCACATAGGAGTCTTAGAACATACCCTTTCCACCAGAAACATCCCACTATCGACTTTAAAAAAAACAAAAAACAAAAAAAAAGGTCTCCTAAGTCCAAAGTGCTATAGATCTAGAAAATTCTTCAAATTTGGCTCCTTGCCAGGACAGTTTTTATTCTGAGAAGATTTTGTAATTTGTTTATTCTTTTTTAAATTTCTTTGTTTTTTTCTTTATTTAATACAGCTTTATTGTGGCTTGTCGTGTAGAAAACACTATGAGATTATAGGGGATAATATGGAGTTGCCTTTGATAATTTTATTTTTGGAACTTCTCTTTTGGAATTACCTTTATAATGAGTCAGTTACATATATGCCGCATATAGTCGTATCTTTTTTTCTAATGGAAGATAAAATTTTTATATTTATTAATTTTGAAATTATTTTTACTTGACAAATATTGTATGTATTTTTGGTATAGAACATGATGTTTTAATATATGTAGACATTGTGGAATAGCTATATAAAGCTAATTAATTACCTCATATACTTAGCATTTTTTTGTGGAGAGAACATTTCAAATCTGTTCTCATAGTAATTTTCAACTACATATGGTGTCCAACTTACAATGATTTGACTTATGATTTTTCAACTTTACCATGGTGTGAAAGCAATGTTCATCTAGTAGAAACTGTACTTTGAATTTTGATTCTTTCTTGGGGTAATGATATGTGGTATAATAAATATTCTCTTGTATCTTGTATGCTGGCAAGAGCAGCAAGCCATTCTGTTACTCACTTTCAGTATGGTATTCAGTACATTACATGAGATGTTCAACACTTTATTATATAATAGGATTTGTGTTAGATGATTTTGCACAACTGTAGGCCAGTATAAGTGTTCTGAGCATGTTTAAGGAAGGGAAGGCTAAGCTATGATGTTTGGTAGATTAGTTGTATTGAATGCATTTTGACTCACATTATTTTCAACTTAGTATGGGTTTTTTGGGACATAACCCCACTGCAAGTTAAGAAGCATCTCTATACAGTATATTGTTATTAACTGTAGTCACCACTAGAGTTGTACAATAGAGTTCCTGAACTCTATTACTTCTATTACTCTATTACTTCTGACTTTAGTGTGTGTGTGTGTGTGTGAGAGAGAGAGAGAGAGAGAGAGAGAGAGAGAGAGAGACAGGGTGTCACTTTGCAGCCAGGCTGGAGTGCAGTGGCACAGTCATGGCTTACTGCAGCCATGACTTCCCTGGGCTTCCTCCCACCTTAGCCTCCTGAGTAGCTGGGGCTACAGGTGTGTACCACCACACCTGGATAATTTTTGTATTTTTTATAGAGATGGGGTTTTGCTGCGTTGCCAGTCTGGTGTCAAACTCCTGGGCTGAAGCAGTCCGTCCACCTCAGCCTCCCAAAGTGTTTGGATTATAGGCATGAGCCACTGCACCTGGCCTTACTGCAATTTTGTGTACTTTGACCAACACTCCCCCATTCTTCCACTATAACTGCCATTCTATTCCTTCTATGAGTTCTACTTTTTAGATTCCATATATAAGTGAGATCATGCAGTGTTTGTCTTTTTGTGCCTGGCTTATTTCACTTAACATAATACCTTCTAGATTCATCCACGCTGTCATAAATGACAGGATTTCCTTCCCTTTTTCAGGCTGATTAGTATTCCATTGTGTATATGTACCACATTTTTGTTATCCATTGATACACACTTAGGCTGATTCTATATCTTGGTTATTGTGTCATATATTGATTAAAAAATTACAGTTTACAGTATTGCCTATTTACCAGATCTGGCTCCATCTACTTTTTACATTTTACTTTATTTATTTATTTATTTATTTAGAGCTAGGGTCTTACTCTGTTGCCCAGGCTGGAGTGCAGTGGTGTAGTTATGGCACACTCAAGCTCCTTGGCTCAAGTCGTCCTCCCACCGCAGCCTGCTGAGTAGCTGGGATTACAGGCATGAACCACCATACCCATCTTACTTTTTACATTTTAAAATTCAAATCCATTCTCATAGGAAAAAGGTTTGTTACCAAGATATTTGAAATATTACACTTTGTAAGTAGTTTTAAAAGAGGTGTGTGAAAAATGTTTTCAGCAGCCACAACACCATTAAATGATGTATATAGCCTTTCAAGCTTACAATATTTAAGAAGATAACACTTCTGAATTTTTTTTTGGAGATCAGTCTCACTCTGTTGCCCATTCTGGAGTGCAGTGGCACAATCATAGCTCACTGCAGCCTCCAACTGTCCAATTCCTGGGCTCAAGTGATTCTCCCACCTCAGCCTCCCAAGTAGGTGCATGCCACCATGCGCGGCTAATTTTCTAAATTTTTTGTGTAGATGAGGTCAGTGCTTTTCAATTTTTTAATTACAAAGAAAATATATATCCTGTATAGACTCAAGCAGCATCAATACAGAAATATATAAAGTAAAAGAGTGAAGGCGTCCCACCCCTGGCCTTGCCCACTCTCACCATTTGGAGTAATAACTCATAATTGCTTAGTAAGCATTTTCCCAGACTTTTCCTAGGTACATACATGTATGTGTGTTTACCTCAGTATAGGTTTCTCCCTTAGTAGTGAAGTGATAGTAGTCATATAGTTTAGCAACCTGCCTTTTTTCACTTAATAATATATTGTGATCAGTACATATAAATATATCTCATTCTGTTTATTGGCTTACTAGTATTTCGTAGTATTGAGTGACAGTAATTTACTTAATCATTATCTTATTAAGCAACACTGATATTTGATCCTAGTTTTCATTATTAAAAATAATACTGCATTCAGAATCCTTGTGTATGGGATAGCACTGATTTTGGATATATAGTTTCTGTGTTCATCAAAGAATCTAACAAAGCATGGATTATGAGTGTACATGTATGTACATGAGCTAAGTGAGACAAATTATTACCTATATGAATTTGATGTTTTCCTAGGTGCCTTTACATTGTACTAAGTTTTTTGGGGATCAGTTTTATAAATAATTTTTCAACAGAAACATATCAGAAAGTTTAGTTAATCATTCTTTAATTACCCAGGATGAAATTGAATTGTTGCTATAGCTAGGTTTTTGGGAAAAGGACAAATTTGCAGGTTCTTCAGAGAGCTTTGGTTTTTAAAATATAAGGTGAAAGTATCTTTTAAAAATCTTTTCTAACTATGTTGTAACTTGAGTATTGTGGATAGGCCTTGAGGCAAGTATAGTACTGCTCAATCATTTGGGAAGTTGAAATCATATTCAGGAACTTTCTTACTTAACTGAACTAGAATAGCTTTTAACATGTGATAGCACCTATAAAATTGATTAGGAAAGAAAAGCTTAGGATGAGTAGTTTTTGAAGGACATCAAATACCTTACTTGTAGCTTCATGGGTATTTGGCTTTACTTCACTTTGATGGTCATCACTAGACAAATCTTCCTCTTATATGGAAATCATGCCTAAAGCATATTCTAGTATAGAACCCAAGGCCTTCAAACCACCCAGTAAGTGTTAGTATTGATCTTGGATGCTTCATATTTATGTGAATGACTATGTTAGATGACATATTAAATGATTCAGTTGTTACAAAAATACAAATTTAGGAGTATTCATGAAAGCTTCATATACAGAACTTTGTTGCCATAATTGTTTGGCAATTTAAATGCATCCAGATCCAGTTTTTGGGAAATTGTTGCTCCTGCACATTGGGACTTCTGTGGCCCACACTGCTAATGGGTGTGGCATAGCCTTCCTTGAAGGCAAGAATACCAGTTAGTCTTTTTTTTTTCTAATGAAAAAACATTTTTACATTTGCACATCTGATTTTGGAGCACATGACTTTCAGATTCATAGATAATTGCTGCTGAGCTTAGCTTATAATGTTTGGCCAAATAATTTCTATCACAAGCCTGAGATTGCTGATTGAGAGGACTTAGCCAAGTAAGACTAACCAATAATTCTTGAGTTTTCTTCATAGATCCCTCATGTAGCTTATTGAATAGTCTTCATAAAACCATGAAAATATTAGTTATGCTCTGAGCTTCATCACGGGTCTATGTGAGAAATGTATATGCCTCTATTTCTTTTGGAGGATGATGGGAGTGGAAGAGGAACAGTGGGGATGAAGGTTACTGTTCTTGAAAGGGTGTACATTTTCTAGAAAGAATATAGGCTTTGATGCCAGAGGTCAGTAGCTTTGGTGGTTGGAGGGTGTGGAAGGTCTCTTTTGATTGCCTCTGTGTTTATCAAGAAAATAACATCTTTATTGCATCCATGTATGCCTGGCACTATGCTTAGCCTGAAGGTACTAAAGTAAATAAAACTTGTCCTTTGTCCTTAAAAGAGAGAGTTCACTATCTAATAAGAACAGAGAAGTATGGCTCTATTGTTAATATACACTTCTTCCAATTTTTTGGTTTGTGCCCAAGTTTTAGCTTTAGTTTTATCAATGTAGGTCTTTTTTTCCCCTTATGTGTTCATATGTCCTTGATTAGGGAGGAGAGAGATTGAAAGAAAGAGAAACACTGAGAGAGAGATTGAGGTGATTGATTTATTCAGACCATTAGCTAACTTACATTTTATGTTGGCAATCTGAATATATTTTTTGTTTTGATTTATTGTCCTATACATTAATATTTCAGAATTACTGAGAGTATGTCTTGTTTTCTGATGAAAAGTAGCTTGGTCAGAACTTTAATTTTATTTGCTCATTCATAACTAGTTTGTTGTGTTAAATACAAGAATCTAACATTAAATTATGCCTGTTTGATGCAGTTTTGCAAAAGTGTGCATTCGTCTTGTCAAAAATTATTTCAACTCTAGAAGAGAAAAAAAGAATTACATTAAAATGTGACTTACAATTTATAATCTAATTAACAGTCCAACTGATAATAAAGGTTTTTAAACTGACAGTCATGATATTTGAAATAAAAATGACTTATCTGGACACTGGTACTGAAACTAAGGCAGACAAAATATGCTCCAAATAGCACATTTTTGTCACGATAATCTTACTTGAGAAACCATAGATGATTGAGTTAGTTAGTTTTGATATAGAACACAGGCCTGTATTGAGCCCTATCATGATCCAATTATTTTTTCTTCTATTTCATGGCATGGCTTACACCTCAAACTCTGGCCTGCATTCTGTTATGTATGTGCCACTGGAGACAGGGACAGATGAGAGAAAATTAGAGTACAAGCTTTACTGGTTTATAGGTCTTTGTCATAATTTTTATTTGGGTAGGATATAATGATGCTTATGTAAGTAATATTAGTTTCAGTTTTATAGAGAGCAAACTGAGATGATTTTCACCAAGATTACAAGGGATGTACTAATTGGTTTCTTTATTGTATTCCTATCTCCACTTCATGAGGGTAGGGACTTCAGGGATCTTGTTCATTGCTGTGTCCCCAGTGTCTGCAACAGTGCTTGGCACATGTAAATGTTTGTATTAATTTCTGAGTCATGACTGAACTCCATAATGATTATCCCATTATTTATACTCAGACTTTACATATGCATATTAATGTGTGATCTGTAATATAAGATAAATATGAAGACAGCAGATACCTATTTAGGCAAGAACAACCTCTAGATACATTGCAACATTCACTTGCTCATCAGGGCAGAAGATTATTATGAGCAAGTCTAGATATAATGACCAATGTACTTAAATGAGAATGAAGAAACAGCTGCTCACTTAATGGTCTTTTAATGAGATGCATAAAATTTGGTCCATTCTCTTATTTCTTTACAATTTAGTGATCTTAAGTTTCTTAGATGTCCTTTAGGTATTTCCGAAGTAATTTTGTAGCTTAGCAAGTTGCAAAGTGCTGAAGTTGATAACATGGGAACTAGGTTGTTTTATGTGTTCATTTCTTTCTCCAGTTCTTAATCCTATTTCTCACCGATATCTTTATCATCTGCTTTGCAATTCTCATACATGTATTCCTTAATCTTTCTCAAAATCTTTTGTGTTATAGGTAAGGGCTCCTGCATTATTTAGTTCTCACTAGGACACCTACATATTACATTAAATTTATTGTTTTCTCTTCAGCTTTGTAAGTGGCAAGTCTATTTAACACGGGAAAGACATAGGTCACTAAAATGTAGGAATTTAATTGATATATTCAAAAAAAAGGTCTGACTTCTGCTTACTTCTTAGCTTCCATTTTTAGTCCTTTGTTATTTTAAAATTGTATTTTGGCCCAATGTTTCCACACTTCGTTTTAATCTTGAGAACTTTCCCTTTAATTTTCAAAAAGCCATTTAACTCCACTTAAGTCATCTAGGCACATGGAAAAGATATTTTTAAAATTACACATTCAGATCATTTTGTAATGTGATTACCTCACAAATGTACAAATATGTTCTTAGCATTTCGTTCTAAGTGTAAACATGGTACACTCATTGAGAGAAATTTTAATTTTGACTTATGATAACCTGGACCAAGGAGGATGGGGCCATATTAGGCTTGACTCTGCCTTTTAGCTGGTGTTCTAGGTGCTGAGGACTTGTCCCCAGGCCCACATGGCCACCTGTCCACATCCCGAATTTACAGATTCAAATCTAAAGACATAAGCTCACAGACAAATTAATCAAATACTTAATTCATAAAAGCAACAGGTTTTTTTTTTTTTGCCTTAAAACATCTAGCAGAGACAACATAAATCTGCCTGAATAGACTCAAAAATATCTAAATTAAATTTTGAAAATGTTTCTCTTTTATTTTACCAATGATTTTAAAGCTATCTTTGTTTACCAAAGATTACTAAAGTCATGTGAACTTGAAAAGCATTTGGGCTAATTAATTTTGACTACCTCTTTATTTATAAGCCAGTTTGGTACCATAAAGAATATATAAACAGACATGTACACATATGTATACACAAAAATACAGACAGACAGAAATAAGGATCTTACAGCTTTAGTTTTAAAACTTTAGCCATGAGTTAGGTAAAACTCACTAGTTTAAAAGGACAGTTGTCACTCTTATAAATGGAACAGGCTGAAATTTATATGTCTCATATGGCCCAAGCCCTTACTGAGTTATAGAAAAAAAGCAGGGTAGCAAATTTATATCTCAAAGCACACACAAATAGAATTTAAGTTTTAAAGGAGTTTGGTTGTGTTTGTTAGAGGAAGATTAAAAATGGATGCCAAAGTAACACAAAATCATAGGGATTTACCACAGGATTTTATGAGGAGACCAATTTTATTTAGAATGATAGTTTTTAACTTAGTCTGTTTTCCAACTGGACCATTGAGCGCAGGGTAGAGCCCATTAAATGGAGCACTGTCAACAAAGCATTTGCAGTTTTTAGGGCCTAGTCATTTAATTATGTGAAAAGCAGCCTCCGGTTGGAAGGCAGAACATTTAGATTTTTTAAAATAAAGGATTCTGCTTTTACTTGAACCCCCAGTGTCCTGAAAGAGGAAAACACCATGGGACCCAGCTGCACAATGTTTCCACAGTGTACTTTGCTCCAAAGAAATTTCTCTGAGTGTTTAAACTTCACCTGTCTTATCTAAATGCTCAAAGAAACAAGTAGCCCCATTATAGTAATACCCATTTACTATAAACAACTGCTGTCGGCCACCTCCAAAACTGCAGTTATCGCCATTGACTTATCAGCCATCACATACAACAAAGTCAAGTTTCTCTCTCACAACTGTAAAGTCTCAAAGTAATCTCTGGTACCCCAAAAGCCAGTGAGATCAGGTAACACAAATACAAATGAGAGTAGAGTTTTAGAATTGAGAAGAATCTGCCTACGATTCTTTAAATTCCACAGGAAGACCGAAGACCCCCAAAAGGGGTTGTTGGCACCTTTTCCTTTGTTCCTTATGGAGTCTGATTCATTAGAAGTTCCTCCCAGATTATTTTATGTGGTACTGAAGATGGCAAAGAGGAAGAAAGAGTAGGGAGAAGTAGATGGGAGAATAGTTCTTAAAAAAGGAAGCAGAGGGAACAAATACATAATTAAAAAAAAAAGATTTTAATCTACTGAAAAAAATTTTCTAACGGCAAAATCCAAACAGAAGATAAAAGTGCCCCCCTCAAAGCCCCATATATATATCAGCTTTAATTAAGCTGACTTCTGATCATAGAGCTCTTTTTAAAAAATCCATTCAAATCTCTTGTTATTAGATTTTAGCCAGGACAAACAGCTGCTATTTCTGGCTTATTTATTTATTTTATGTATTTTTTGAGACGGAGTTTCGCTCTTTCAGCTCTTGGCTGGAGTGCAGTGGCGCGATCTCGGCTCACTGCAAGCTCTGCCTCCCGGGTTCAAGCCATTCTCCTGCCTTAGCCTCCTGAGTAGCTAGGACTACAGGCGCCCGCCACCATGCCTGGCTAATTTTTTTGTATTTTTAGTAGAGACAGGCTACTAAACACCATCACCGTGTTAGCTAGGATGGTCTCTGTCTCCTGACCTCATGATCCGCCCGCCTCAGCCTCCCAAAGTGCTGGGATTACAGGCGTGAGCCACCACGCCTGGCTTATTTCTGGCTGTTTTAACCAAAGGTAACTTACCAAGTAGCAAAGCAGTATCCCCACAAGTTGAAATTCACACAAATATCAAACCAACAGGGACTGCTTCCCTGACTGGGAATTGAACCTAGGATGCAGCAATGAAAGCACAAAGTCTTAGCCACTAGACCACAGGGTGGATGTGTTTTTTTATTTTGTTTTGTGTTTTTTTTTGTAAATCTTGCAGGGAGGCGAAAGCAGGCAGTTTGATCATTTAAAGGATTTTTGGAAGGCTTAGGTGGGAGAATGGCTTGAGCCCAGGAGATGGAGGCTGTAGTGAGCCATGATGGTGCCACTGCACTCCAGCCTGGGCAAGAGTGAGAACATGTCTACATACGTACATACATGCCTTTACATACATGTTCCAGATCTGATCTCACCTGGCATACTGCTTAGCTAACTCCCTGAATATTCATGTTTCAACAGTGTTAGTCATTAGTCTTGGTTTAGAAAAAGTTTGTTGGATCTGCATTTTTATAATCTTAGTAATTTTATTGTCATTTATTTCTACCTTTTAGACTATCAGTCTTCCAATTACCTGTTTCATTGCCCTAAGCAGTTGTTGGCTAGACAACAAAGATGTATTTTGGAGACCCATCTTTTCAATGGGTGGTGTTTTTAACTTAGCTTCTGTTTCTTAGCTAAAATTCCTGAGTTTGGCAGGAGCCTATCAAGCAATAGGGCAAAGAAAATATTCTCATCTTAGATAGCTCTGAAGAAGAAGTAAGCCTACTTTACCTAAGGCTTTAATAAACACTTTATCCAGGATAGCTCTCTTTTAGCCTTTTGTGAAGAGTTTTTTAAAATAGGCAACAAAATGTTGAAATCTTTTTAGAAGCTTCTGCACATCAGTAAGCATCCTTGGATGAGACTAATGCAAGAGCTCTCATTTTGAAATGTATTTTCTTAAAGTGCAGCATTGTTTGGAACATTTCACTGCCTTAAAAGTATGCCATTTAGAAGAAAACCTCTGGTGCTTAACTACCAGTCCTTTGACCTGAAACTCTGTTGTGAAACAGGGTTGGAAAAACTTGGACCTAAACCCCCAGTACTGAGACAGGTGGAAGCAAAGGCATTTCTCTGCAGAGCTCTTTACCTGAATCTCCTGTCCAAAGACAGAGACTGAAACCCTCACTCTTAAAGGAAAAAGAAGCTTTGAAAAACAGTCTAAATCTAGACCTTCAACCAAAGAGTGAGAGGTATGAATTCAGAAGAACTTACCCAAAACACCCATTGAGACTTGTGAAGATGAAGAGTTCATCCTGGTACCAAGCATTGCTTTCAGAGAAACACCAGGTGGTTGGGGTGGGGGCCATGCAAAGGGGAAGGTTCACTCCGAGTCCTGCCGACTTATGCCATGTATGTCAATCTGAAAGGAAGAAACTAGGTAAAACTAATATAAGTAGAGAGTTTATTTGGGCCAAGCTTGAGGATTGTAACCCAGGAGCACAGATTCAAGATCAGCCGCAGTTACAAGTGGATGTTTAAAGGCAAAAAAGAGGACAGGGAGTGGGCCGATACAGAGTTGTTAGGAATTCTCATTGGTTTACACAAATAACATTGATTAGTGATGGTAATACATTGTTAAGCTATAGGGTATGGGCTACAGTGTCCGGCGCAACATATTATGTCAGTTTATAGCTACTTTATGACAATAGCAAGCAGTTTCAGGAGATGAATACATAGCTCATAGGAGAAGGAGGATGTGATTACAGTCTCCTTTTAATGTCTCTCTGGACTTGATAATTTTTAAAGAGTCACATTCCTCAGATAAAAGTTATTTTCTCAACCTTCAAGGAGTCATGATTGAATCCCCTCCTAGCTCCTTACCTAGAGGTTGGGGGGACAATCTTCTCAACAATGTTTCAGGAATGCATTAACTTTGTAAATTTTAATGTTCTTTATTGGTATAACTCATTCTTACATACACTAGAATGAGATGTGTTGGATGGCACTCAGTGTATATTGTGGTTCAGTATAAATTTAAATGAGGTTTTACAAAATTCAGCTAAGTTTTCCAAAGGAAATATGATCATTCCATTAAAAAAAAAGTTTGTTAAACATACCAAGTAGTTTGGAGCTTTCCTGTTCTTATATAAGGTAACCCTCTCCTTTTTTTTAAAAAAAAAAGCTTCTTTGTTATTTTGGTGCTTTTGGATAAAAATTCCTTTTGCTCACCTTTTCCTTAAATCCCTCACAAATATTTTTCAGTTTACACAAACAGATCATAGTCATGGTATTTTTTTTTCAGTAGTTGGAAGGAAACTTAGTGCTTACCTAATCTAAAATAGTTTATTTTACAGATGAGAAAACTAGGGTCCCGAGAGGTTAATTGGCTGTCCTGTGGTCACACAGCTAGTTTGTGACAAGAATGATTAGAATTTAGGTATGCCAGTCTCCCTAAACTGAACTTACTCCTTTATTTGATGAATAGATATCTGGATTCTTGTCTGTCCCTAGCTAGATTTATTGTCTTGATTTTTGCCAAACTTCCCATTTCAGTGCTTGTTTTTTTTAATAGTAATTAATATCTGAACCAGAATGTTAAATCTCAAAACTTCATTTTAATAGTTCATCCTGTAATTGCCTGGTGGGTTCATCTTGTCCACTGCCCAGACAGAGCTGATGTATCTATGCAGGGGAATTGCAATAGAGAGAGAGTTTAATACACGTAGAGCTGGCTAAATGGGAGATCAGAGTTTTATTATTACTCATATCAGCCTTCCCCAAAATTTGGAGGCTAGAGTTTTTCAACATAGTTTGGCAGGCAGGGTGCTAGGGAATGGGTGCCACTGATTTAGTTGGGGATGCAATCACTGGGGCGTGGAAAATGGTCCTTGTGTGCTGAGTCTACTTCTGGGTGGGGACTACAGGAAGAGTTGAATCATGAGTCTTTGGTCTGAGTGAAGTCATCTGGTTGTCAGAAATGCCAAAGTCTGAAAAGACATCTCAAAAGGTCAATCTTAGGTTCTACAATAGCGATGTTATTTACAGGAGTAATTGAGGAAGTTACGAAACTTGTGACTTCTAGAATGATGACTGCTTATCATTTACGCCTACATCTTAGCTGAATTCTACCCCTTTCATAATTCTAACCTTGTAGCCTTTCATTAGTTTTACAAAGGTGGTTAAGCTTTGGGAAGGCTTATATCATCTTTACTGTAAGATTAAACTAGAAACTAAATTTCTCCTAAAGTTAGCTTGGCCCATGCCCTGGAAAGACCAAGGGCAGTTTGGAGGTTAAAGGCAAGATAGAATTGGTTAGGTCAGATCTTGTTCACTGCTGTAATTTTCTCACTGTTATAATTTTTGCCAAGGCGGTTTCAGTACTTAAAATAAAACTGCATATAGAGCTACAATTTCTCTCAGTTGATTTCTTATTTGCTATGATTTAATCTTTACATTTAAAAATAATATCTATTGAGTCAGTTTCAAAAATATGTTCAAAAAGCTGTGGGTGTTTAAAAATATTTTAAAGTATTATATCTTTTCTTAGTCTTTATAGGTTATTTACTTTGATTTAAATGATTACTCCATGTAATTTTCTTGTATAGATGGTTGGTAGAATTATACTGATTTAAAACAAAACCTGAATTTAATGGTAGATTATTAAAAGCTAAAGTATTCTTCAACCTCACAAAGTCAGGAAATTTACACTCTAGATTTCCATGGTAACTAGGATACTTGCTTTACAATACAAAAGACTCTCAAAGGATCATGTAAGGAAAGAATACTTACCTACCATTAAAAACATATTCAGAAATAAACGTTCTTATAATGAACCAGAATAGGAAAAAAAAAGGAAAGCAAATGAATAATTCTTCTATTTCTAACTTACATTGTGTAATAATTTTCTATGGGTATACAAGTTTTATTTTATATATCTATTTTATCCTACACTGAAGAAGTAATATAATAAAGCTCCTATGTTCTTGAGGTTATGAGGATGTGTTAGCAGAACTCTTCAGGGATTTGAAGAACAGTGATGCTGTGCTGCATTCTGTGCAAGACTAGGAACATGACTTGAGTCACACAGACCAGGATCTAAATCCCATTCCTAATCACTCACCAACAGCCTAACCTTGGACAACTCTTGTAACTTCTCTAATCCTCAGTATTTTTGTCTGTAAAATAGAGATATTATGCTGATTTACAGTGTTGTACAATTATGTATATACAGTATATCTAATGTCAGCCTTATAATAGGCTCTCAATAACTATTAATTTCCTTGTGCTCTCCTTTACCTATTACCCCACTTCTTCCATTTACCAGCCCATTTCCACCCGAGGGACCCTAAGGCTCAAAATTAGGATGTGACCACAGATGGCAGGTAGGTGGAACTGAGGAATAAACTTGGTTGGGATAGTTCTTCAGATCATCCCTAGCATGCAGTATGCTAGTCTAACGCAGTAATGTCCTTCAAGTGCTCTAATACCTTAACCACTGAACAGTGTCTGTAGATACTCTTAGGGGGCTTCAGAAAGCCACTTCTATGACAGCTATACTCCTGTCCCTTTAGGACCTTGAATCTTCCCAAATACAAGTATTTTTTTCTAAAGATTTTCTTAAAATTTTCTTAAGACCTTTAGTAAAAGTGTATTGTAGCTTTATATTTTTCTTTATTGGAGTGCTACACATCTAAATATATTTTATAAGCTATTCCAAATTAGGTTAATACAGTGATTGATTACTCCTACTGGAAAAAATTTGAAATTTCAGCCTTTGAGGTAGAGAAGATTTTGATAAAATTTATTTTGACAATTTCTTTAAAATATCTTGATTCTTAAGCAGGTTTGTAATATATTAGGCCTTTTTGGTAGCAGTCCTGTCCTTCAATAACATCACCTTCCTAGGTTATGAACATCTGTATATATAAGCACTTGGCCTAAAGCAGGACTTTAGAGAACTTAGAGAGGTGTTTCTATAATTAACTGAAATACTGTTACTTGTGTGATAGTATCATTATTTTTATATTTGAAGCTTTACTATTTCAACTGTACTGTGGATTTACATAGCCATCTGTGGGCTAGCTGGGGAACTGATAATGTTTTAAATATTAGTTCAGAAAATAGATTCAGAATTACCAAAGATTGACCCATGTATCAACTTTTGGATAACAAGACCTCTGTGAGTTGATGGTGTCTTCAGATCGTCAGGGCCAGCCTGCTGTGTACCTCTGCAAGGAGGACAACTAAGAAAAAGGGAGGTGATAAAGGGAAAGAAAAGGAGTAAGTTTCTTCTTTTATCTCTTAAAATTGTCTGCTGTTACTTTTTGAACTCATAGTGACTTTAGAGGGGTTTATTTAGATAAACAGCCTCCTCTCCCACACCCTTTTTTCTTTTAGAAAGAAAGACATTGTAAAAAGGATTAGAGAACTTTTTATCATTTGGGAAGAAAATGAAAAGATTAGGGAAGAACATTTATATAATTATTATAACTTGAATAATATGTTTTCATTTTATAACTGGGTCAGCTCTTACCTGAACAATCTCAAGGATGTTTATTGTATATTGTATCATTTATTTCCACAAGTCTGTAGGCCATCAACTAAAGTAAAAATCTTTTTATTATTCAGATTTTTATTGTGGCATTTATATTTAAATAATTTCTCCTGTGTAACAATTTTCTTCTTGCAATCAAAATAAAATGTTGCATGATTTTACATATAGGCCACTGGGTAAAACAAAACACATGCCTCAGATGTAAAGAAAAACACTTTCTGCTCAATTTTAGATTTATGTTGTACATAAAAGGTGCCTCACATGGCAAAAATTTTAATTTTAGTTGTATAATAAAATTTTAAGGGGCAACTTGACTCATAGAATCATTTGGCAGATATTGAATGAACACTGGTTAGATATTGTGGAGGTATGGATCTGGAGGGAGAGTCCAGAGATGGATGTAAATATTTTCTTCGTTTAGGGAGCATAAACTGAAGTTGAGAAGATAGTTACATATAAAAAAATTATCCCAGAATCCTTAGAACTGGAAGACCCATTCAAACCCTGGAAGTTAGTTGAATAACGATCCTAGGAGCTTGGTAATTTGCCTGCAAAATTTGTCCACCAGGTTAGCTGCATCTCTATACCAATAGTGGCATGCTTTCATGCTCTGGGATTCTGAGTTAAGCATGAGTAATGTTCTGTTTGCTAGTAGGGTAGGACTATACCTAACTGACGTAGAAGAATCAGGAAATTAGGAGCAAACAGCAAACTTGATTATAGAATAGAAGTAGCAACAGGTATATGGCCAGAATCAGATACAAGGACACTATCTTGAGATCCACTAAGTATAAGTCAAGTAGGCATGAGACTCAAAACTGAGTAGTCAGACAAGAAGGATAGCAGCAAGGTCTGGTGCAGCCTAACTTGCTTTAAGAAGTTGTCCTGTCACTTATGGCATATTCCAACCACCATATGAGTGGGCTACCTGGACACAGCCCACTTTTGAGCTGTTCAAACCAATCTAGATCTCTTTTACTTCATGATTTCTCTATTTGTTCTTTGGTTACACCTTTCCATGCCCTTAGGATTTTAATTCTTCTTGGCCACCACTTTGACTCCAGCAGAGCTCTCTGTCTTAGCAGTGATTTTCTTCCCTGATTCTGTGTGGCTGAGTTTACACCACTGCTGATGTTATTTTCATCTGGCTCACATTGGCCTTGCTAGCAGAATAGAATGGCTGGGATATTCTGCCATTGCTTTGGAGAAGTGTAAGTTGACCCTATGGTCCTTAGACTTGGCTTATGTAATGCTAATGATAGAAACTGCTACTCTGGAAACTGATTGTGGGAAACTGCTTGTGGTAAACTGCTTGAACCAGCTGAGAAGCCTAAAATGGAACTATTGACCATACATTCATTGGACCCTTTCTGTTCATCATGTAGAATTCAACCTATTTGCACTTGTGTTCCCAGAATCTTTCAGAGTGAGACCTGATTGCTGCTGTTTTGATCTGTTTCTTAAGTGTCCCTAAAAGATAGAGACCCGAGTTCTTTTCCTATTCATAACACCATATTCTTTATAACGGATGTCCTGAAAAAGACAAATTACCTTATCTGCCCAAATATAAAATACAATTTTAGTTCCCAGTCATTCCTCAGAAAAGAGGGAATTGCCTTTATTTGAGTCTTTGAGTTATTCTCAGATTATTAGACATTATTTTGAGTGTAAAATGTAAAATATTATTTGAGGAAAACATGTTAGCCTAAAATTACCATTGTCAGCATTAGTTTGGGCTATTTCCCTTGATAAACCCGTGATGTAATCAATCATGCCCTCTCCCCTCCATAGAGGTTGGGCCTGGGACTCAAAGTTTCAACCCTCTAATCACAACATTGATTCCCCTGGAAACCAGTCCTCATCTTGAGGCTATGTAGGTGCCCCCAGCCACCAGTCAACTTATTAGAATACAAAAGATACTCTTATCACTCTAGTGATTCCAAGGATTTTAGGATTTATGTCAGTAAATGAGACAAAGACCAAATACATATTTCACAATATTATAAGGACAAATGAAGAAAACAACTATCTCAATATTGAATGGCTTTGCACAACAGCTCACTGAATGCATTCTATTTGGATCCAAAAGTGGCTGGGCATGGTGGCTCATGCCTGTACTCCCAACACTTTGGGAGGCCGAGGTGGGCGGATCACCTAAGGTCAGGAGTTCAAGACCAGCCTGACCAACATGGTGAAACCCTGTCTCTACTAAGAATACAAAAATTAGTTAGGCATAGTGGCACATGTCTGTAATCCCAGCTACTTGGGAGGCTGAGGCAGGAGACTCGCTTCAACCTGGGAGGCAGAGGTTGCAGTGAGCCGAGATCATGCCATTGCACATCAGCCTGGGCGACAAGAGCAAAACTCCATCTCAAAAAAGCAAAACAAAACAAAAGAAAGCAAAAAAACAAAAGTGCCATATCTCACATTAGAGGGTAATAATGGTCATGTGTTACTATGTACAAGAGACATCTAGCAGGGAGCCTCTCTTGGCTGACTCAAGTCTGAACTGTTGCGCCTGATCTGTACCTCATCCTACCCTTCTCAGCTGTCTTGGCCACTTGCTTTGTTTTTGATTAATTCATTATGCTGTCTATATCCTTCTTAATTTGATGCACATATTTGATTTCCTGGCTACCTTGATGAACTTTCTGCTGCATTACTGCCTCTCTATCCACAGGGCATCTCTGGAGTACCTTGGTAACTCCAATTTCTAGACTAACTGAGTCTACCCTGCTGAAATCCTTTGAGTTTGGAGCCTGAAAGAGAACTGAGAAACTTTTACCAAAGGTAGGGTTACCATGAAGCTAATAAAGCTTAAGTTCAGGGTTCTACATCTGCATAGGATCCTGGGATATTCTGGGAATTTAGAATGTTCTAGATGGGGAGAGACAGCCAGGTTATGGTCAGGAAGGTCAGGAAACATTTCTATATAAGCATTTCTGTTCAAAGAGTTCTCAGAGAAGGAATGTGAGTCTCTAAGCCTCCAGAAATTTATGGTAATTTCTTTTCGTGTTCTAAGTAAATATTTACTTTTGTACCTAAGTTTTCATTTATAATTTGGTATTCTTATTTTAAGAGATGACCACTCAAATTGTATATGCTTCAGGCCACACAAAATCTGGATCCACCACTGGGTTTTACTAAATGAGATGCTTGGGTGTTTTGCTAGTTCTTATTTCCCTATACTTAGTAAAATATAATTTATACAACAGTAAGTAGAATCTAGAGCCTCCCCAAATCATTCTAAAATCATTGCTTTCGTGGCTCCTTTACAAGAGAACTGGAACTGTCACCAAACCAAACTAGATCTGTTTGACTGCACAGATGAGTTTGCCTTCACACACAATGGGAAGCCAAGCACTGAAGCACCAGATTTTTACACTGAGAAAGGTTTATTGCAAGTCGACTGACAAGGAGACAGAAGGAAACGCTCAAATCTGTCTTCCCAAGCTGACTGGATCCTGCCATGGAGTCATGCCAGGACTTGATCTGATTGGATCCTGAATCCTGCCATGCAGTATCCACCTCTTAATTCAGTCCTTACTCCTTAGTCCAAGCACTTAGGTTCTGCCCATTTGGTTCATCTTCATGTTCAGGTTATGTGACCTTCAAACTGGGGGTCCAACAGCAACTGAAAAACAGCCCATAGCTTTGTTACATAAAAGTTTACCAGATTGGTCTAATACAGTTCCAAATCGCCCCTTTATTATGTCCATTCCTCAGTATTGAGGGAAAAGGGGTGACAACCACTCTAGCTAGTTCCTGCTGGTTAGATAGTAGACCTTGGTTAGAGAAATGAAATTGTTTAGTGCTCAGGATTATGTTTCAGAAGAAGTTACTTCAACCCAGTTCTAGGACAAAGGAATAAAGAGTTAGCAACCTGAACATTGTTTGTTTCAGAGAACAAGGGAAAGAAATCTCAGATTTTATAGCAAAAGTTCACACCCAGGTTCCCAATCAGTTCTCTTTGTGCAAATGAAGGATTGAAACTTGTAACTTGCTTAGTTCTGATTGATTGATACAGCTCAACTCTGATTGACTGGTTCAAGTGAGCCCCAAAGGTTCTATAGATTAAAATGTGTGAGTTTTGGAAGAAGAGTATGTGTATAACTTGTAGTCAGCAAATGGCTACATGGCTCTATTTAAAATTTAGGCTCAGTCAGCTACTCAGGATCCATCTTGAAGGACTGGCTCAAACCTGTTGGCAGATAGCATTGCATCCCATCATGGTGCCAGAGTGGTTGACTACCTGCTCCAGGTCCATCTGGTCCCTTGTAGAGATCCTTGAGGCAGGGCAGTGGCCAATTGAACGACTAGAGTCTTTTACTTATGAGAGGCACTCAAATGTGTGCTAAATTTGAACCAAAGTCTCTTGGGTTAAGTTGGTTCCTGTTTCCAGCTAAAATGAGTTTAAAGTCTTAAGGATTGAGTCGGCACAATCCTAGTGGGAGTCGCTTGCAGACAGCTGTTAAAATAGGCTAGAACAATTTTAAAGAGCAGCCAAATGCTTAGCCCAAATATGAGGAGGATCATTAAGACTTGTAGGGTGAAACACAGAAGGAATCTTATACCAGGGTTAAGCCAGCTGAAAACGTCTGGACATTGGAAATTCCACCCAATAAGTCCAGCCAGGAGTCTTTCTGAAGGTGTCCCTTTCAGAGATTTGGCTAACATTATAACCTCAGATGTTCCCAATTCACCTGAGTGGTAGTATTTACCCAGATACAGCAGCAAGTATTAGCGATAGCAGAAACACCACCCTGTGCAGTGAGGTGTTAATCTAAAGCAGTGTGGTTGTCTAGGATCACACAAGCAAGGGAGTCTAGGGGAATCTCTGTTGTGCCCTGATGGCATGAGTGGTGAAGCAGGCAGCTCTATTAACAGTGCAGAAAAGTTTCTGACCATTCCAAACAGAACCTAGTCCAAACCAGGACCTCAGAAACCTTCCTGTGCAGCTCCTTCACTAGAGTTAATCCCTTTCAGCAAATCACATCCATGAGTGGCCTCCAACTATAATCCATGGGGTCATTGTCAGTGTTGGCGTGTGCCTCAAGACTCTCAGGTAGCTCTTGGAGAGCAGGAGGCGTAGAATTAGTGAAACTGACTGAATAGATGGGAATTTGCATAAGATCTGTCTGTGGCCAGATCTCCTGGTGAGGACAACTCAAGTATTATTTTCCCCTTTTTTGGGAGAAGGATATGTGGGCCTGACAGGTTTCTAAGAAGTCCTTTCCCAGGAGGTGAATGGGGGCTGAACAGACAAAAACAAACAAACAAACAAGCCAAAAAAAACAATGTGGTTTCTCCTGACTGGATGAATTCAGAACTCCAGAGAGAGGGTGTTGAATGCCCACCAAGGTTAAAAAAGACTAAGGAAAGGGCCTAGGGCCAAGGCAGGCTAAATGCCACTCGGGTCTTTGTTATTGGGCTTTTATTATTCTGTTGGTCTGTTCCACCACCCCAGTGGATGTTAATAGGCCAAATTTTATAAACATTTTGAATAATTTGCCCTGTAAAATGAGTTCCTTAGTCACTGTGAAGCTCTTGAGAGACTTCCCAGGTTGATATAATTTTTCCAGTAAGGTTTAACTACTGCCATTGCTGTGACCTATCAAGAAGAAGGTGTTAACCCAGTTTGAAAACATGCAAATCATAATTAGTACGTGCTGGTTTCCTTGTGAGGCAGGGAGCTAAATAAAATCTTGTTGCCATACTTTAAAGGGACCACTCAGCAATGGGAAGTGGCCCATGGAGGCATGCAACAGTTTGCCAGTAGTGTATTGTGGACAAATTTTACACAGATACCAAAGTCATGAACAACCGTGAAGGCATACCTGACATCTTTATAAATACTGGCTGTTTTACCTTTGGCTAAAAGACATGACCTAGTAAGTGCATGCAGTTCCACTTATTAGGCAGACTTGGCCTTAGGAAAGGTAAGTAAAGTGGCAGGATTGGGCAAGTTATTACACCAGGTGATGGTAAGATGAGGATAGAAAGAGAACCTTATGGGTCAGGCGTGGTGGCTCATGCTTGTAATCCCAGCACTTTGGGAGGGAGAGGCGGGTGGATTACCTGAGGTCGTGAGTTTGAGACCAGCCTGACCAACATGGAGAAACCCCATCTCTACTAACATTACAAAATTAGCTGGGCATGGTGGTGCATGCCTGTAATCCCAGCTATTTGGGAGGCTGAGGGAGAATCTCTTGAACCCGGGAGGCGGAGGTTGCAGTGAGCCGAGATGGCGCCATTGCACTCCAGCCTGGGCAACAAGAATAAAACTCCATCTCAAAAAAAAAAAGAAGAAGAAAGAAAGAGAACCTCATCATTTGCTAGCTGGCTTATGATGTGACTTGAAGAGAGCCGTGACAGAGTATGGAATGGAGATAGTGAGAGGTAGCCCCATAACTATCTTCTCTATGGCTTTTACAAGGAAGAGACAGCATCAACTGCTCTGAGACAAGGGGTCATAGTATCCTAAAGGTCTAGTTTGTCCCCAATTCTGATATTACACTAGTAATATCAGATTTAAAAAGGGGAAATCCCCTGAATGTCCTCAGAGCATCCCTAGTCTGGATTGTGAAAAGAGGGCTGAGGGACTCCATTGGGATTTAGTTATAACCAACTATTGGAGGAACTTAGGAAGATTCAGTTCAATCTACAGATAGATAACAAGGACTTGAAGACAGTGCACAGAGTTACAATCTAATAACAGATGTACTTTTGCTTTCCTTAGAAGCATAACTTTTTCTCTCCACAGTGATCATCTAAGAAATCTCAGATTTAGAATCTTTTGCAGCTGGGAAGCCAAACCGAGGCAGGTTTTTGGAGTTTACTTACAGTCTTAAGGTTCTTGGGCCTGCCAGGAAGTGACAGTTTTCATTCACTCCCTGAAAAGCTGGGAACTCCTGAAGCCAGGCATTTTATTCACATTCTTAAATATGACATTTCAGTCCAAACCTTAGTAATATAACCAATGTTTCCCATTGCATCTTGCTTATAAAGAGAGAGCACATTTTTTTTTTTTTCCCTGAGACGGGGTCTTGCTGTCTTACCCAGGCTGGAGTGCAGTGGCGAGCTCTTGACTCACTGCAGCCTCTGCCCCCCAGGTTTAAGCAATTCTCCTGCCTCAGTCTCCAGAGTAACTGGGATTACAGGCATGTGCCACCATGCCTGGCTAATTTTTTGTATTTTTTTTTTTAGTAGAGATGGGGTTTCACCAAGTTGGCCAGGCTAGTCTGTGAACTCCTGACCTCGTGATCCACCCTCCTTGGCCTCCCAGAATGCTGGAATTACAGGCGTGAGCCACTGTGCCCGGCTGAGAGAGCAGATTTTTTACTGAACTTACATTACATAAAAATAAGAATACTCATTAATGGTTTCTAAATTTTGTAGGAATCAAGTTGTGAGAAAAAGCAAATGCTCCCACCCTTGTTCACAAAGGATATGTTATCAAATTATTGCAAACTCTAAATAACTTATGACAGAAAATTTCCTAAGTCTAGAAAACAAAACATTTAAGTCATAACAATTAAGTTATGACTTAACGATTAAGACTTAAAAATAAAGTCTTAACAATTACTTAACTTCAAGTAGTTTTGTTTTTCTCAGTCTTAATTAATAATTTTGGACTATAGCCAATTGCAAGTGCTTCCAGAGAAAAATTTGAGATAATAACTGTGGATAACAAAAATTCAGAACAGCCACAGTCAAAGATCTGATGAGAGTTTGTAACTAACAAAGAAATCTAGGTATTTCGGTAGCATATAACTAATTTCACATCATGACATATACCCCAACATATCCGAATTTTAGGAATCTTATACAATTTTGGAATAACTTTTAATAGCACATTTACACAAATATGGCTTAAAGGAAATTCAACAGCATTCCTTATTTGACAGTGCTTCCCATATTATTTACCAAATAAGCTTAATCATTTAAAATCTCTGTAAGATGAGAGATGCACCCTTTGAGGCTCTCCAGGGGGCCCACCTGTAAAATGTCAAAGTTAATTTTAGGCCAAGAAGCTTGATTTAGGATTTGGATCCTGGGAGAACCTACGAAAGACATCAAAAAGTTCAAAGTACTTCCTTCAACAGAATCATAGGTCACTGCCAAATAGTAGTTACTCATTTAACCAGAGTGACAATCAAAAGACTTCAAAAGCAATACAGAAAGTTACATGAATGTAAAAACCTTAACTCTTTTAAACCTCAGTCTTCCTAAGCAATCTTTGTTTCCTAGGCCAGTTACTTTGAGCAGGGGAATACATTTAGTAACAGCATAGGAAGTCCTGGTTACATGAAATAATTCAGACATTTAAGGCCTGGTTACATGAAACAGTGCAGACATATAAAACTACAGAACCAATTTATACTGGGATAAAATATTGCTTTTCTAGACCTTCAAGATAAATCTGAAACCAGAGAAACTAGACAGTTCTCAGGAAGAAATGGGGCAGAAAGAGAAACTTATTTGTAATTCAGAGAATGGCTATTAAAGAAACAGACTTCAGAATTAAAAATCAAAACCTCTTGCAATCTTACCAGGAGCAAATTGATGTCTTAAGACACTCTTGTTATTTTAACATAGAGGGCCAAAATTATAAGTTCTGTGCTTTAATATCAACATTCACTGCCTAGAAAGACTTTTTAAAATTTCTTTTAATTATAGCCAACTTATTCACACCCCAAGTTTCTTTCTTAAAATTTCTATTTATTAACCTTTTCATGACTTACTCAGACCATCTATGACATGCTTAGACTTTCTACCTTTCCCTATAATTCTCTTTCTTAAATAACCAGTCATTTTACTTTAGGACAAAGATTTACTACACATGATTCTTTCTTATACAATATTATTCTCTTTTCTTTATATCCATAACTTTCTTACGTCTCTCTCCCCTTACTATTAGTTCCTTTTTATCTTGTTTCTGTTTCCTTTCTAAATCCATATTGTGAAGCTTCTTTTAAATAACCTCCAAATTTGACAAAATAATTTTTTTCTCACTGAAGAACATATTTTATGTGTTTCTTATAATTTTTTCTTATTAAAAACACACCTGGCCAGGTGCAGTGCCTGACGCCTGTAATCCCAACAGTTTGGGAGGCCGAGGCAGGCATATCACGAGGTTAGGAGTTCAAGAGCAACCTGAGCAAGATGGTGAATCCCCATCTCTACTAAAAGTACAAAAATTAGCTGGGCATGGTGGTGGGTGCCTGAAATCTCAGCTACTCAGGAGGCTGAGACCGGAGAATTGCTTGAACCTGGGAGGCGGAGGTTGCAGTGAGCTGAGATTGCGCCGCTGCACTCCAGCCTGGGCGACAGAGCAAGACTCTGTCTCAAACAAACAAACAATCAAACAAGAAACACCTTTTGGCACAGTTCATTTGAAGAATTATAAATTAGAATTTTTAACTCTTAGTAACCTTAAATTTTATTAAAAACATAGAAATCTTGCTGGGTGTGGTGGCTTACACCTGTAATCCCAGCACTTTGGGAGGCCAAGGTAGGCATATCACCTGAGATCAGGAGTTTGAGACCAGCCCGGCCAACATGGTGAAACCCTGTCTCTACTAAAAATAGAAAAACATTAGCCAATTGTGATGGCGGGCACCTGTCATCCCAGCTACTGGGGAGGCAAGAGGATGGTTTGAACCTGGGAGACGAGGTTGCAGTGAGCCAAGATTGTGCCACTGCACTCCAGCCTGGGCGACAGAGTGAGACTCCGTCTAAAAAACAAACAAACAAACAAACAAAAATAAACATAGAAATCTTGAATTGCCTATTGCATATCAGTCTTTTATAAATAAGAACCATTTTATAATTATTAGAAAAACATGTTTTCCTATAGCATAATTTTTAGAGACCAAACATATTTAGTCTTTCTATTAAATTTAAGAAGTCAAGGAGAGACCTAATTTTGGTCCTTTCATGGCCACCATTTTGTCACCAAACCAATTGGGTCAGTTTGCCTGTGCACAATGGAAATCCAAACACCAGAGCACCAGGATTTTACATTGAGAAAGGTTTATTGTGAGTCAGCTAACAAGGAGACAGAAGGAAATGCTCAAATCCATCTCCCTGAACTGGGGGCTGGTCAGCTTTTATAAGCATAGGGTAATGAGGTGTGATCTTATTATATCTTGCAACGAGGTGATGCCAGGAAGCATGATCTGATTGGATCCTGCCATGGGGTATGCCAGGGCTCAATCTGATTGGATTCTGGATCCTGCCATGTGGTGTCCACCTCCTAATTCAGTACTTACTTCTCAGTCTGAGCACTAGATTCTGTGTGGTCATTTGCTTGGTTTATCAGCAAGCCTTTATAGAAAGCCTACTATGTGTGATGAAGGTACTGGCCCAGGTGTTTTTCAGGTACATTAAATTCAATTCAGAGTCATTTGAAATGAATTGCCTTAACTGTGAAGTATTTTTTGTTCCTTGGAACCTTAATAGCAGTTCTTTTTTTTTTTTTTTTTTCTCTGAGACAGAGTCTTGCTGTCACCCAGGGTGGAATGCAGTGGCGCAGCCTTGGTTTGCTGCAACCTCTGCCTGTTGGGTTCAAGAGATTCTCATGCCTCAGCTTCCCAAGTAGCTGGGACTACAGACACCCACCACCAGGCCCAGCTAATTGTTGTATTTTTAGCAGAGACAGGGTTTCACCATGTTGGCTAGGCTGGTCTCAAACTCCTGACCTCAAGTGATACGTGTGCCTTGGCCTCCCAAAGTGCTGGGATTACAGGCATGAGCCACCACACCTGGCCAATAGCAGTTTTCTTTAAAGAAATAAGAAATTGAAAGTAACATGATAAATATGAGTAAGTGCCAGGGAAAAACAATGATAAATTATTGGCACCAGTCATTTGATGTTCTCTGAAACCCAGAGACGTGTCAGTCTGCCGGTGCTAGGAGTTTTAGTGCCAAGAATGTAAAAGGAAAATGATCCTTCATCTTTTGGGGTAAGTTTTGTCAACCTGAAGTAATCAAAAGGATCAGAATCCAGTTTTAAAGAGTTTATTAACGTGAAAGGCTAGGAACGGCCATCCAGGAAACACAGACTCCAGAGAAATGGAGTCAGCACTCTGAAGTTAAAAGTTAAGGTCTTGCATATAGGAAGAAAACAAAGAAATTTAACAGGATCACAACATTTTCTATATAAGACTGATTTATGAGTTATAACAATTTAGTTACAGTTCGTTTTCTTTTTCCCTATGGCTTGTTTTCTTTACAGCTGGTTTTCATTTCCTTTCCAATTTAAGAATATATTTAATATTCTATCTTAAGACAATGTGATAGTCATGAAGTCATGAAGTCTTTGTATGAGAAAGGTTAAGAGGGAAGTTAATGTATAAGGAAAATCAACAGAGAAGAGGGAAGGAACCTTCCCTGACACCCTTTATTCATTTTACAAAACATTGAAACATTGTAGGTAAGGAAGAAGGCTAATCTGTAATCAGAGAAACAGAGTTATAGCTTTCTAGGTTACATTTGCCTGTCATGTGACTCAGGCCTCATGATCACATTTCTTTAAGGGCTCAAAATAATGTAAAGCTCCAGCAGCTTAGATTTTCAATTATTTTATTTCACAGTTTCATAGATGGAGGTCATGGGTAGTCTCGGGGTAACTATTTTTCAAGCCAAAGAACCCTGTATTGAGAATGAATTCATTATGTTCATCATTTCATCAGTCTATTAAAGTATGTCATTATGTCAATATCAAGTACATGTGTTTGGGAAATTAGGATTCCTAAAAAACAAATCAACATATAATGTCAGATACTGAGGAATGTTTTGAAGAAAACACGATGTCAGGGAAGGAGAGAGTTTAATGGTTATGGGAATGCTATTTTATAAAGGCTATACTGGCTTTTTTGCTATTGCTTGAATGTAGCAAATATATTCCTATTTTAGGGCCTTTGCACTTATTATGGCTTCTGGCTGGAGTTCTTTCCTTCAGATATTTGCATCAGTTGTTTTCTCAGTTTATTCAGGAGTCTGACCACCCTGTCTAAAGTAGCACCTTCCACCATTCAATTCTTTCTCCTTACTCTACACCGTCTGACCTTGGGGACCAAAGAGATTCAAATAAATTCTTTGATAAATCCTTTGCTGTCTGAACTCTTCATACTTGCTATCTGAAATTTGGTAATTGAAGAGATTTTCTAAAATATTTATTCTTATTTGATCTGGATATCTAAATCAGGGACCAAATAATTTTGTATAGTAAGGCAGGGGTTCCCAACCCTTAGCCCACAGACCAGTACCAGACCATGGTCTGTTAGGAACTGACTGCACAGCAAGAGGTGAACAATGGGTTAGTGAATGAAGCTGAGCTCTGCCTCCTGTCAGATCAGCAGTGGCATTAGATTCTCATATGAGCACGGACCCTATTGTGAGGGATCTAGGTTGCACACTCCTTGTGAAAATCTAATGATAAATGTAAATCGCTTGAATCATCCTGAAACTGTCCCCTGCTCCCATCCATGGAAAAATTGTCTTCCACAAAATGGTCCCTGGTGCCAAAAAGGTTGTGGACTGCTGTAGTAAGGGATACCTGTAGTTTTCTTCACAGCACTTATTACTTCCTGATTTGTTTGTCTGTCTATCTGTCTATCTATCTTTCTGCATGTCTCCTTCACTAAATTGTCAGTTCCATCATGGTTGTGATTTTATTATGTTTATTGCTCTATTACCATCACCTGGAACAATGGCTGGCACCCAGTCAATTCTCAATTCATGTGTGTTGAATAGATGTGTTGACATATGAATGAATCTGTTTGACCCAATATCATCTACACTTTTTATTTTAAAAGTATGATTATAGGCCAGGCACGGTGACTCATGCCTGTAATCCCAGCACTTTGGGAGACCAAAGTGGGAGGATCACTTGAGCCTAGGAGTTTAAGACCAGCTTGGCAACATGGCGAAACCCTGTCTCTACAAAAAATACAAAAATTGACCAGGCATGGTGGCACACGTCTATAGTCCCAGCTATTAGGGAGGCTGAGGTGGGAGGATCACTTCAGCCCAGGAGGTTGAGGTTGTAGTGAGCTGTGAGCATGCCACTGCATTCCAGCCTGGGTGATAGAGCGAGACCCTGTCACAAAAATGAATAAATAAATAAATAAGTAAAAGCATGATTATATGGAAAGGACATATTACATGTTATTAAGTTTTAAGGAGCACAATATGAAATTATATACAGTTTCCACTTAGGTTTAAAAAAATCAAGTCTTTGCATGTGTTCATTTAGCCATTCATTCCTTGAAAGAAAACGTCTTGAGCGTCTCCTGTTACCGTTTTATAGGAAGACAGATCATGAAACAACAGTAAATGAATGATAACCTTCTCTTCACTCACTGCTCTCTAGCCATATTGATCTTTCAATTTCTCAAAGTTAGCAAGCTCTTTTCTGTGCACATTTTACTGTCTTCACAGGGCTTCTTGTATTATAAAGCTGGTGATTATGTATTTATGAGGATAGTTATCTGCCTGATATCTCTGTCTCTGTATTGTAACTTCTGTGAGGGCAGGAATCATGATACCATTTAATCGTCAATACCTAGCTCAATGCCCAATACATAGTAGGTATTCAGTAAACATTTCTTGGGCAAATGAATGAACAGGTGATTAGGGGAAGTATGTAGTAGAAACACTTTAATGAGAGTTAGTGGAGCTTTCCCCAAAGAAATGAATTTTAAGCTGGGATCTGAAGAATGAGGAGAAATTAGGAAGTGAAGAAGAACAGGCAGAGTGTTCTGGAGCTTAAGCTTAGATATTATCCTAAAGGCAAGAGAAGAGTTTTAAACAAAATGTAGCACTATCAAACTTCCATTTTTCAGTGTTGTTAGGAACAGACTAGATAGGCAGTGCTGGAGCCAGAGAGGCTGGTTGGGAGGCTTTAATAATAACAGATGGTGGTGGCCTCACTTGGGTTCTTGGCAGTGGAGAAAGAGAGAAGTGGGTGTGTTTGAGAGATTTTTAGAAGGCAGAATAACTGATTGGGGATAGTGAAGGAAAAGGAAGAGTTATTGTCATTCCACGTTTCTGCTTTACAATTGAGAAGATCCTTGGGCCATTAATAGAGACTAGGGACTCAGAAGGAAGAAGTATCTGAGGAGTAAAGAACCTGAGGTACCCTTGAGACCTATCTAAATGAAGGCTGAGCAGTAAGGACTTGGTTATATAGGTGAATATTCTGGGTATAAATAAATGCCTTGAAAGAAAGAATCAAAATGTTAATAATATTGGGACTCAAGTTATATTAAATTTTTTATTATTAAGTTTTGGGTTTCATTATTAGTGTATTTTTGTGAAGGAAATATAATAAACTTAAAAAAATTATATTAGCATGGGAAATGCAAAATTTAAAAAAAGGTGACAAAAAGCTAATATCTTCTTTAGGCAAAATGTGGGCTACACCCAGTAAAAATAAGTGAATGGTCCTGAATAGAAGCCTACTGAGAAGTGAGTTCAACATTAACGTGTGTGTATGCGGATGAGTCATCTGGAAATTTAAACTTGCCATTCAAAGAAGGCCTCCTAGTGGAAGGGCCTGTCATTTATTCATCCATGTATCCTTAGGACTCAGCACAGTGCCTTGTACCTAGCAATGGCTCAAGCGATAGCTATGATTTTATATTTGTTATTAACACATTAATTTTGTTTACATCACTATTCAACATTGAATTTTTATACAATGATATAATCTATGTCATCTTTTTAGGTAGATTGGGGTCAACTGGACTACTTAGTTGTAGACATGCCACCAGGAACTGGAGATGTGCAGTTATCAGTCTCACAGAATATTCCTATAACAGGTAAATCTTCAAAGTTTAAAGTAATTTGTACTTTTTTTGATGTGTTGTTATTGCTATACCAAAAAACAAACTCCATGTTAGGCAAATATTTTGCCTTAAAAATATTCATTCACTTATAAATTTTTCATTAGAGATCAGAAGCATAAATTATTCAAAATATTACCAGAATAAGTATATTTATAAAACCATGAGACTTTTGTTACTAGGAAGAGTGAAGTCTGTGGTTCTTGTTCTTGGGAGAAAGAATTTGTCCAAGAGACAATTTTAGCAAAAAGAACAGAGAATTTATTGAAGAAAGTACATGCCAAGAAAGGAGCAGGCTGGAAAAACAGCAGTAGTAGCAGCAAGGGTTCAGTAGTAGCAGCAAGGGTTAAGTAGTAGCAGAGACAGTATGCTCTGAAAGAGGAGGCAGAATGGGCTGCTGGAAAGAAAATGAGCCAGCAGCCCTGAGAGTTCAACATTGCAGTTTTCATTGTGTTGGACTCTTTCTTTAAGTTCCTGCCTGTCTCAAGTCTCTGCCATTGTCTTTGGCTAGTTTCCCACTTCTGCTTTAAGTCCCTACCTTGTCCCTGACTAGTTCTTGCCACAGTTTTGTAGGATTCTCTTACTCTGAGTTGATGCACATGTGTGTGCCCAGTGTTGGATATGAAGTCTACTTAATGGCATTGTTGCTCCTTACCGCCACCCCAGGAAGGTGGTAAAGTGGTTAAATCTGTACTTACTGTGCCTGTGTATCTCTTAGGAATTTCCCCTTTGCCCTCTTTCTCTTCATATCAGCATGTACCTAGCTACATTCTGACAGGTTAACTGTAGAGTGAGCAATTACTGGGCATCTTAAGGGGTATTTCAGGATGTTCCTTTCTGCATAGGTATTTCCCCTCCTCTCTGTTCATACCTAGCATGCAGGTTTTGGGTAGTCTCTGGGATGTGAGATTTTCTAGTCCTCCTTTTCTCAGGGGCTCTCTCTCCTGCTCATGTCTAGCTATCTGTCTGCTCTAACACTTCACAGAGGTGGTAGTATAAATCTGTGTTCTAGAAAAGCAGTAGCATTTAAGTATTTTTTAGGCAGAACATGACTGGTTCACTGCTGTGCAGCATTTATACTACTGGTACATGACAGGCACTCGGTAAATATTTATTGAGTGAACACTGGATAAGAATAAATATTAGGGGCTGAGTGCAGTGGCTCACGCCTGTAATCCCAGCACCTTGGGAGGCCGAGGTGGGTGGATCATGAGGTCAGGAGATCGAGACCATCCTGGCTAACATGGTGAAACCACATCTCTACTGAAAATACAAAAAGTTAGCCAGGTGTGGTGGCGGGCACCTGTAGTCCCAGCTACTCGGGAGGCTGAGGCAGGAGAATGACGTGAACCCAGGAGGCAGAGCTTGTAGTGAGCTGAGATAGTGCCATTGCGCTCCAGCCTGGGCGACAGAGTGAGACTCTTGTCTCAAAAGAAAAAAAATAAATAAATAAAAATAAATATTAGGAAAATTGGCTTTTTGGTAAATACAACTATGGGAGAATTTTATAGTCTGCTAATTAATATTAAAGTCAAGAAAGCAATAAACATAGCTTATATCAAATACATACTACTTCAATATGGTAATGCATATCTGTTTTATGATACGAAATTTAAATATTAGTACAGTAGTTACCCTTTATTTTGAATCTGTTTCTGAAGATTTTCCTAGATTCCACTAAAGAATAGTTGCAAATCTATAAATAAAAGATTTCTGGGAAAATAATGGAATTTTAAAGTATCTTTGCTAATTAGTTATATACTGATTACCAAACAATATCATTGATATTTAATGATCAAAAGTTTAGAATCTAAGTTTTTGACAAAATATACGTGTTGTTTGGAAATATCAGTATAGCCTCATTAATAGAGATACTTTTGCTGTTTTAACATATTTGTAATCTTAATTGAGTCTGAGACTTTTTCTTTGATAAGGCAGGCTGTAAAATATGAGATGGGAGTAAAATGATATATGAAAATAATTCATTTTTTCATACTGTGATTTTTCTTTTTTTTTTTTGTCTTTTTCCTTTTTAAGGTATTTATAGTTTTAGGATCTTTTATATTTACAAATTTTAAGAATATTTACCAAATGTTCATTTTAAAAAAATGTGCTTCTGATACCTTGGAATGCCTTTTGCAAGCATACAAAATACTTGCATTATTCATATAGATAATACATTAGTAAAATTGGGCTAAATTCTCATTTATGTCTTGAGTAGTGACTTGGCACCTTGAAAAAGTTTAATTTACCTCACACAGATAAACTGATGTTGCCTAAGCAGTTTTTTTCTCCACTTACTTTTCTTTAAGCCCCTTTGGACAAGATTTATGATTAAATTACCCTATTTTAGTTTGTATTTATACTCTAACACCAGCATTGCATATAGATAGAGGTTGAGATTTTCTTCCCCATTCTTTCTTACATCCTAACATTTAACCAGTATATTTCCTTTTTCCTTTCCTCTGATGAAGAGTCTGCCATGTAATAGGCAGTTAATATTACATGAGAGTAAGACATAGTCTTTTTTTTGTTGTGGTGGTGAAATGTGCAGAGCAGTTAAGTAGTACTAATAATATATTGGCATTGTTGTGCAGCCATCACTACTGTCCATCACCAGAGCCTTCATCTTCTCAAACTGAAACTCTGGAGCTATTAAACAGTAACTCTCTGGCCGGATGTGGTGGCTCATGCCTGTAATCCCAGCACTTTGGGAGGCTGAGGCAGGCAGATCACGAGGTCAGGAGATCGAGACCATCCTGGCTAACATGGTGAAACCCCATCTCTACTAAAAATGCAAAAAATTAGCCTGGTGTGGTGGCAGGCACCTGTAGTCCCAGCTACTTGGGAGGCTGAGACAGGAGAATGGCATGAAGCTGGGAGGTGGAGCTTGCAGTGAGCCGAGATCGCGCCACTGCACTCCAGCCTGGGCGACAAAGTGAGACTGTCTTAAAAAACAAAAAAACAAAAAACAGTAACTCTCAATGGATCCTCCATTCTCCCCAGCCCCTGATAACCACTATTCTTAATTTATTTTTTACATTAAAGGAAGACCAAGCAAGAAAATATATTTTGAAAGATTGCATTAATGCCAGATGTAGTGGCTCATGCCTGTAATCCCAGCACTTTAGGAGGCCGAGGCAGGAGGATCACTTGAGCCCAGGAGTTCAAGACCATCCTGGGCAATATAGTGAGACCCTATCTGTACAAAAGAATATTAAACAAAAAAAGTTAGCTGGGAGTGGTGACGTGCACTTGTGGTCCCAGCTACTTAGGAGGCCGAGGCAGGAAGATCACTTGAGCCCTGGAGGTCGAGGATGCAGTGAGCTGTGTTCATGCTATTGCACTCCAAACTGGGTGATAGAATAAGACCCTGTCTCAAAAATAAATAAAAATGAAAAAAGATTTAAACAAACCTAAAATTTATTTTATGATTTATTAATAAACCATTATATCAATAAATTTTGATTCATATGCAAGGTAAATGCCTAGCACTATAGAGAAGAAAAGGATAAGTAAGTCTATTCCCTAGACAAGAGTTCCTTACCTTTTTTGACTTTCAAAGTTTTTATGAGAATTTGATGAAAACTCTGGATTTTCTCCAGGAAAATATATTTATATATGGTATACAGAAACACTAATTTTGTATATAAATTTAGGAAGTTTACACTCCTCAGGTTAAAAGCCCCAGCTCTAAGAGATAGAGCATGGTGAGGAGCAGGAGAGAGTGGCTGGTAAGAAAAGGACATGTATGACTGTAATCCACAGTATGAGAAGTGCTTATGAGACATCTAAACCCAGGCTATGGGGTTTCAAAGGAAGAGAATGTGAGATTAAGGGGAATACGAAACACTTCATGGAAGTGGACCTTGAAGAATAAATATGATACATTGTAGAACATTCAGGATTGCTCCATACCTTGCTTTCTTTGCTTGTTCTTTAATAATTTAATCAATAAAAAGCACTAATTCTTTATGGACAGTAGATTTCTGTATGAAATGGTACCGCGGCGATTGCCTGTTAATAATAAACTGCCATTGGATGACAGTCTTCCATATATTAATTTTCAAATTTAATTCTTACAGGTGTTATATGATTTCTATTTTCTTAAATCTCAGAAGGGTTTAGTGGCTTTCATAAGATAACACAATTACAGTAGATCATAGCTAAGTTTCATATTCATTTTGACAGAGTTTAAAGCTTATGCTGTTGACCTCTATATCAAACTGGCCTAATGTAAAACCCAACAATATTTGACTCATTAATTTTTCTGAGTTTAGCCCTAATCCATTAAAATTCACTTAGGTTGAAATTATTCTAATCTAGGTAATCCCTGATAAAAAAATAAATTTATCTGTGAATATGCCTAAATTTGTGCACCCCGATGGGATGAATATCCAACTCGTTATCTGGATTGGTGCTTACTACATTCAGTAATTTTTTTGAGTCCTGAAAGACTACTTTGGGCCTCTTTAACTCACACATTCCAGGAGAATTCTGGAAGTAGTCTAGAAGCAGTTTTCTTCATCTTTTAGGAGTATAGCCCCAAGTGATTCTTGAAGAGACCAGTATTATCTTTGTGCTGATTCATATGCCTTGAACATATGGCCCATTTTCAGACACCCTGGCTGTCTGTATAGAGTTGTAGCAGGCAGTGTTAGTACATTCATGTTGTGGTTATTAAGTCAGTATTAAAATGGATAACAATGAAAGACTAGATTTCCTACACTGAAGTTGTATTAATTTGAATTAATTTTATAATTATAAAAAATAGCAGCAAGGAAATGCAGATAAACAAAAAAAGAAAAAAAAAGTAGCAAACAATAAAAATGTCCTACCAAAAAGGATGTTGAAGGGAATTTGGGGAGCATGTGATTGTGTCTATGTGTGTGTTAAAGCCTTAGTTCCTGAGGTTTGGGTTTATTCAGGCCAGTGTCATTTCACAGATAGCATATCTAAAAAGGTACCAAAAATGATTCAGCTCCCAAGATTTAGAGGGAATGGCACCAACCAAAGAATTGCTGGCCTGGCTGAATCATGACTTTCATAAATTTACAGAACCTGTAACAGCCTGTCAAAATCATGTCTGCTCTTTCAGACTTAGCTAAATTGTATGTTCTCTAATTATAAACCCAGTTTTTCTTTCCTTATCATTGACTTTAGAACTCTTTTAAGATACTCTGTGTTCTTCTCCCTTTTCTTATGTCCCATATCCCATAAACAACATAAGCTCTTTAGATTCTCATTTGAATATCCTTGTAATTTGATCTCTCTCTCCTTCCCAGTAAACACCTTCATATAATTTGGGATCCCTCTAGAAAAAAACCCTTTGTACTCACTACTCCCACCTTCCTTTTACTTTCCAGAATATGTCTTTACAGCACAGTTGATCCTCACTTAGAATGCCTTTCCTCCCCAGTCAGTGAGTACTCAAATCCTGTGTAATCTTTAAAAGCTATTTAGCTCAAATGTCTACTCCCCGCCATCTTCCCCAAACCCGCATTTAGGAATCACTTCCCCCTCTTTGGAAATCACATAGCATAATATTTGGATTATTCCTATAGCACTTCTGATGTTCTTCATTCAAAACCTGCATACCTATGTTATCTTCTCCAGCAGACTGTTAACTTCCTGGAGGGCTAGGCTGTTTTTCTTTCATCTTTGCATTTCTCAGGGTGCCAAACTCAGTGCCTTTCTGCAGCTACTCAGGAAATGTTGAATCAATGAATGAGTGTTTTATCTGTGACTGTATTATCTTTCCAACTAGGCTGGAAGCTGCTTGAATGCAAAAATTTTTTCCTATTTATCATAGTATCTTTTAAAGTACCTTGGCCTATAGCTTATGCAATTAATATTAACTGAGTCAATGACAAAGCTAGTCTGACTAGCTATTACTGTTTATGTAGAAGGATTTGTGCCCCCTTATCTTTCTTTTTTTTTTTTATTTTTTTTTTTATTTTTTCCCAATGCTATCCCTCCCCCCTCCCCCGACCCCACCACAGTCCCCAGAGTGTGATATTCCCCTTCCTGTGTCCATGTGATCTCATTGTTCAATTCCCACCTATGAGTGAGAATATGCGGTGTTTGGTTTTTTGTTCTTGCGATAGTTTACTGAGAATGATGGTTTCCAATTTCATCCATGTCCCTACAAAGGATATGAACTCATCATTTTTTATGGCTGCATAGTATTCCATGGTGTATATGTGCCACATTTTCTTAATCCAGTCTATCATTGTTGGACATTTGGGTTGGTTCCAAGTCTTTGCTATTGTGAATAGTGCCGCAATAAACATACGTGTGCATGTGTCTTTATAGCAGCATGATTTATACTCATTTGGGTATATACCCAGTAATGGGATGGCTGGGTCAAATGGTATTTCTAGTTCTAGATCCCTGAGGAATCGCCACACTGACTTCCACAATGGTGGAACTAGTTTACAGTCCCACCAACAGTGTAAAAGTGTTCCTATTTCTCCGCATCCTCTCCAGCACCTGTTGTTTCCTGACTTTTTAATGATTGCCATTCTAACTGGTGTGAGATGGTATCTCATAGCGGTTTTGATTTGCATTTCTCTGATGGCCAGTGATGATGAGCATTTCTTCATGTGTTTTTTGGCTGCATAAATGTCTTCTTTTGAGAAGTGTCTGTTCATGTCCTTCGCCCACTTTTTGATGGGGTTGTTTGTTTTTTTCTTGTAAATTTGTTTGAGTTCATTGTAGATTCTGGATATTAGCCCTTTGTCAGATGAGTAGGTTGCGAAAATTTTCTCCCATGTTGTAGGTTGCCTGTTCACTCTGATGGTAGTTTCTTTTGCTGTGCAGAAGCTCTTTAGTTTAATTAGATCCCATTTGTCAATTTTGTCTTTTGTTGCCATTGCTTTTGGTGTTTTGGACATGAAGTCCTTGCCCACGCCTATGTCCTGAATGGTAATGCCTAGGTTTTCTTCTAGGGTTTTTATGGTTTTAGGTCTAACGTTTAAATCTTTAATCCATCTTGAATTGATTTTTGTATAAGGTGTAAGGAAGGGATCCAGTTTCAGCTTTCTACATATGGCTAGCCAGTTTTCCCAGCACCATTTATTAAATAGGGAATCCTTTCCCCATTGCTTGTTTTTCTCAGGTTTGTCAAAGATCAGATAGTTGTAGATATGCGGCATTATTTTTGAGGCCTCTGTTCTGTTCCATTGATCTATATCTCTGTTTTGGTACCAGTACCATGCTGTTTTGGTTACTGTAGCCTTGTAGTATAGTTTGAAGTCAGGTAGTGTGATGCCTCCAGCTTTGTTCTTTTGGCTTAGGATTGACTTGGCAATGCAGGCTCTTTTTTGATTCCATATGAACTTTAAAGTAGTTTTTTCCAATTCTGTGAAGAAAGTCATTGGTAGCTTGATGGGGATGGCATTGAATCTGTAAATTACCTTGGGCAGTATGGCCATTTTCACGATATTGATTCTTCCTACCCATGAGCATGGAATGTTCTTCCATTTGTTTGTGTCCTCTTTTATTTCCTTGAGCAGTGGTTTGTAGTTCTCCTTGAAGAGGTCCTTCACATCCCTTGTAAGTTGGATTCCTAGGTATTTTATTCTCTTTGAAGCAATTGTGAATGGGAGTTCACCCATGATTTGGCTCTCTGTTTGTCTGTTGTTGGTGTATAAGAATGCTTGTGATTTTTGTACATTGATTTTGTATCCTCAGACTTTGCTGAAGTTGCTTATCAGCTTAAGGAGATTTTGGGCTGAGACGAGGGGGTTTTCTAGATAAACAATCATGTCGTCTGCAAACAGGGACAATTTGACTTCCTCTTTTCCTAATTGAATACCCTTTATTTCCTTCTCCTGCCTGATTGCCCTGGCCAGAACTTCCAACACTATGTTGAATAGGATTGGTGAGAGAGGGCATCCCTGTCTTGTGCCAGTTTTCAAAGGGAATGCTTCCAGTTTTTGCCCATTCAGTATGATATTGGCTGTGGGTTTGTCATAGATAGCTCTTATTATTTTGAAATACGTCCCATCAATACCTAATTTATTGAGAGTTTTTAGCATGAAGGGTTGTTGAATTTTGTCAAAGGCTTTTTCTGCATCTATTGAGATAATCATGTGGTTTTTGTCTTTGGCTCTGTTTATATGCTGGATTACATTTATTGATTTGCGTATATTGAACCAGCCTTGCATCCCAGGGATGAAGCCCACTTGATCATGGTGGATAAGCTTTTTGATGTGCTGCTGGATTCGGTTTGCCAGTATTTTATTGAGGATTTTTGCATCAATGTTCATCAAGGATATTGGTCTAAAATTCTCTTTTTTGGTTGTGTCTCTGCCCGGCTTTGGTATCAGAATGATGCTGGCCTCATAAAATGAGTTAGGGAGGATTCCCTCTTTTTCTATTGATTGGAATAGTTTCAGAAGGAAAGGTACCAGTTCCTCCTTGTACCTCTGGTAGAATTCAGCTGTGAATCCATCTGGTCCTGGACTCTTTTTGGTTGGTAAACTATTGATTATTGCCACAATTTCAGAGCCTGTTATTGGTCTATTCAGAGATTCAACTTCTTCCTGGTTTAGTCTTGGGAGAGTGTATGTGTCGAGGAATGTATCCATTTCTTCCAGATTTTCTAGTTTATTTGCGTAGAGGTGTTTGTAGTATTCTCTGATGGTAGTTTGTATTTCTGTGGGATCGGTGGTGATATCCCCTTTATCATTTTTTATTGTGTCTATTTGATTCTTCTCTCTTTTTTTCTTTATTAGTCTTGCTAGCGGTCTATCAATTTTGTTGATCCTTTCAAAAAACCAGCTCCTGGATTCATTGATTTTTTGAAGGGTTTTTTGTGTCTCTTTTTCCTTCAGTTCTGCTCTGATTTTAGTTATTTCTTGCCTTCTGCTAGCTTTTGAATGTGTTTGCTCTTGCTTTTCTAGTTCTTTTAATTGTGATGTTAGGGTGTCAATTTTGGATCTTTCCTGCTTTCTCTTGTAGGCATTTAGTGCTATAAATTTCCCTCTACACACTGCTTTGAATGCGTCCCAGAGATTCTGGTATGTGGTGTCTTTGTTCTCGTTGGTTTCAAAGAACATCTTTATTTCTGCCTTCATTTCGTTATGTACCCAGTAGTCATTCAGGAGCAGGTTGTTCAGTTTCCATGTAGTTGAGCGGCTTTGAGTGAGATTCTTAATCCTGAGTTCTAGTTTGATTGCACTGTGGTCTGAGAGATAGTTTGTTATAATTTCTGTTCTTTTACATTTGCTGAGGAGAGCTTTACTTCCAACTATGTGGTCAATTTTGGAATAGGTGTGGTGTGGTGCTGAAAAAAATGTATATTCTGTTGATTTGGGGTGGAGAGTTCTGTAGATGTCTATTAGGTCTGCTTGGTGCAGAGCTGAGTTCAATTCCTGGGTATCCTTGTTGACTTTCTGTCTCGTTGATCTGTCTAATGTTGACAGTGGGGTGTTAAAGTCTCCCATTATTAATGTGTGGGAGTCTAAGTCTCTTTGTAGGTCACTGAGGACTTGCTTTATGAATCTGGGTGCTCCTGTATTGGGTGCATAAATATTTAGGATAGTTAGCTCCTCTTGTTGAATTGATCCCTTTACCATTACGTAATGGCCTTCTTTGTCTCTTTTGATCTTTGTTGGTTTAAAGTCTGTTTTATCAGAGACTAGGATTGCAACCCCTGCCTTTTTTTGTTTTCCATTGGCTTGGTAGATCTTCCTCCATCCTTTTATTTTGAGCCTATGTGTGTCTCTGCACGTGAGATGGGTTTCCTGAATACAGCACACTGATGGGTCTTGACTCTTTATCCAACTTGCCAGTCTGTGTCTTTTAATTGGAGCATTTAGTCCATTTACATTTAAAGTTAATATTGCTATGTGTGAATTTGATCCTGTCATTATGATGTTAGCTGGTGATTTTGCTCATTAGTTGATGCAGTTTCTTCCTAGTCTCGATGGTCTTTACATTTTGGCATGATTTTGCAGCGGCTGGTACCGGTTGTTCCTTTCCATGTTTAGCGCTTCCTTCAGGAGCTCTTTTAGGGCAGGCCTGGTGGTGACAAAATCTCTCAGCATTTGCTTGTCTATAAAGTATTTTATTTCTCCTTCACTTATGAAGCTTAGTTTGGCTGGATATGAAATTCTGGGTTGAAAATTCTTTTCTTTAAGAATGTTGAATATTGGCCCCCACTCTCTTCTGGCTTGTAGGGTTTCTGCCGAGAGATCCGCTGTTAGTCTGATGTTGTGCCCCCTTATCTTTCTTACCATCCTGCTGATTCATTCCTATGAGTGCCTCACCCTGACTGCTTCTCACCCAAGTGTTTTTTCTGTGTATATGTTAAAGGAAGCATTTTTCAAGGAAACGTGCATTTTATTTTATTTCCCCTCTGAGAGAAAACTACTTTCATTTTAGGTATTTATTTATGGTTTTTTTTTTTTTTTTTTGCTGTGCTGTATATAATATCCATGTGGTCAGTTGATGCCTTTTAGTATTCCCTTTGTTTTAGTGTGTGGGATAGTAGTGTGCATGTGGGCATTTGCTATTTGATTACTTGCAGGCTCTATATTAAATTACTAATGAGAATAATTAGTATTGTTCCATTGTAATACAGTAATTAGAAATTATCTTATTTATGCCAGGTGCGGTGGCTCACGCCTGTAATCCCAGCACTTTGAGAGGCCGAGGCGGGTGGATCATGGGGTCGGGAGAACGAGACCATCCTGGCTAACACGGTGAAACCCTGTCTCTACTAAAAAAACAAAAAATTAGCCGGGCATAGTGGCGGGCGCCTGTAGTCCTGGCTACTCGGGAGGCTGAGGCAGGAGAATGGCGTGAACCTGGGAGGCGGAGCTTGCAGTGAGCGGAGATCATGCCACTGCACTCCAGCCTGGGTGACAGAGCAAGACTCCGTCTCAAAAAAAAAAAAAAAAAAAAAAAAAAGAAATTATCTTATTTACTTGAAGTGTTGTTTAGTAAGGTGCTAAATACCTTTCTAATTCTCTCTCCTTACCTGTGGAAAACTTGCTTAACTCCACAGACTTGTAAGGATCAAATAAGATAATGAATGTAAAGCCTCCATCTAAATGTATAGTATTTTCTAGAAACTACAGGAACACTATCAAAAAGTTTTTTTGTGGGACAGGGCAGTTAGTAGAGAAATGTTGTGAATTAGAAAGAGCCTTTCTATCAATTTTGCATTTCTATAAGCTATGTTGAGAATAAAATCAGATGTTTTATACTTGGGAAGAGACAATCTTTTGGAAAATATGTAGAGGCAGACCTGTCCATACAGAAAGTGCAGTATTCTGAGAGAGAATTTTGATATTAGCTAGATACAAGATACAACCACCCCCACACACACAAAAAAATCCTTTTTTATAGTGTACATGTAGTTTCTAGAAAATACTATACATTTGGATGGAATATTTACATTCATTATCTTATTTGATCCTTACAAGTCTGTGGAGTTAAGTTCTCCACAAGTAAGGGTAGATAATCAGAAAGATATTTAGTACCTTACTAAACATCCCTGCAAGAAATAAGGTAATTTCTTAATTAGCAACTCTTTGTATATGCTCCATCTTGTTACATAAAATGGATAACAACCTCATTACAGGTACACCTTGGGAATATTACAGGTTTGGTTCCAGGCCACCTCAATAAAGCAAGTATCGTAATCAAGCAAGTTGCATGAACTTTTTGGTTTCTCAGTACATACAAAACTTACATTTACACTATACAGTAGTCTGTGAAGTGTATACAACATTATGTCTTTAAAAATATACATTCCTTAAATATTTTATTGCTAAAAATGCTAACAGTCATTCAAGCCTTTATCAGGTCATGCTCTTTTTGCTGGCAGAGTGTCTTTCCTTCGTGATTGTGGCCACTGAGTGATCAGGGTGGCAGTTGCTGACGGTTGGAGTGGCTGCGACATTTTCTTAAAATAAGACAACAAAGAAGTTTGCTGCATCAACTGACTCTTCCTTTCAGGAAAGATAGCATGTGATGCTGTTTGATAGCATTTAACCCATAGTAGAATATCTTTCAAAATTGTCTTCAGTCTTCTCAAGCCATGCTTCTGTTTTATCAACTAAGTGTGTGTAATATTCTAAATCCTTTGTTGTCATTTCAACAGTGTTCACAGTATCATCACCAGAAGTAGATTCCATCTCAGTAAACCACTTTCTTTGCTAATTCATAAGGAGCAATTCCTTATCTGTTCAGGTTTGATAATGAGATTTCAGCAATTCAATCACATCTTCAGATCCCACTTCTAATTCTAATAATTCTCTTGCTGTTTCCACCACATCTGCAGTTATTTCCTCCACTGAAATCTTGAACCCCCAAAAGTCATCTGTGAGGGCTGGAATCAACTTCTTCCAAACTCCTGTTCATCTTGATATTTTGACCCCTGCCCATGAATCACAAATGTTATTTGGTACAGTGAGAATACATACAACATAATATCGATTAGGATTGCCATCCTATTATATGGGTGTGGTTTGTGGCACCCCACAACAATTATAATAGTAACATCAAAGATCACTGATCACAGATCACCATAACAGATATAACCTTAATGAAAAAGTTTGAAATATTGCAAGAATTACCAAAATGTGACACACAACCACAAAATGTGTCTATGCTGTTGGAAAAATGGCACGGGTAGACTTGCTTGACACAGGTTTGCTACAAACCTTCAATTTGTAAAAAATGCAGCATCTTTGAAGTGCAGTAAAGTGAAGTGCAATAAAATGAGGTATGACCATGTAAGAAGAAACTTTAAATTAAAAAAGAACTTCTTACTTGTGTTAAATATTTTTCCTTCTTTGTTTCAACTGAAGTGCTGTGTATGATATCTGAAGACTGTCTCAATTTGACTTCAACTCTTGGAATTAAGTAAAGACTTCATGCTTCATATGAAATATGTGAAGCATGTTTTCTCTTTTTAAGGATTGGAGAGTTTTAGTAATTTATTTATATTAAAGTGCTGTATTAGTCAGAGTCCTAGCAGGAAACAGACGGCAAACCTTAAAATGAATTAATAAAACAAAGTTTAATGAAGCAACTAGTTACAAAGGAGTGAGCAGCATTAAGGAAACCAACCAGAGATGGTGACATACCTAGGGACTAGTGACAGTACAAGTTGTTATTGCCCTTCCACTGGAAAGGGCAAGGGAGTGAACTGTCTTAGTGGAACTTGGAGCCTGCTGGAGCCATGGAAAAGGGGCTGCCTGATAGAAGAAGCTATGGCTCTTGCCAGAACTGCTACAAGGCAGGAAGGAGTGGTGGGTGAGGTAGGTAATAAAACTTCAAATTCTTTCTCCTCCCACAGTCTCATCTCCTTTTGTCCCTCCTGATAGTGGATCCCCATTGAGAGCCAGAAGGCAAGGAAACTTAGGTGATACAGTCCACAGAGGTCAACTCTTGGGGGACTGATCAGGGCAGAGGGCATTTGGGCAGAGTTTGAGGGGCACAGAGGGAGACTACAGCAAGTGGAATAACTAACACAACATTGCTCCTTCATGGTTATAATTGTGAATTAACAGCTTGAGATAGATGAAGTACAAAGAAAGAGGACAGAATTTCTGCCCTCTAAAAGATTGTAAGCTAATTTAGACACCAGTAGTACAGTCAAATTAGTGAAAATTGATACTGTCACAAAGCAAAATTATACTGTCATTAAACCTACAAACAGAATATTTATGTTGTAGATGAGCAGTGATGCAAGCATATTTTGTGTAATGGGGAGTAATAGATGGAAGAGTTTATTTTGATAGGTTAGTTAGAAAAAAGTTCCCCTTCACTTTATTAAGTAAAGATTGATATAGGAATGAAACTTTTGGAAATTGTTCTTATAATAGAAGGGACAAAGACTGAGCAACTGAGAGGGAAGCTATCATGATCCCTTCTTTGTTCCCTCTGTGTTCTTCCAGGGAACAGCAGAAGTGGTACAGGACACAGCTAGACAGTCCTAGTGTAAATCCTGTTTTGATTTCTTATCTCCTGGAGAGAGAGAAGCCACTGTGTATGACAGTAGTCAGCTAGTTAATATGTTGAATATTCATGGGCTCAAGAAAAGTTGCCCTAACAGTTTGGTGTGATACCATTGCTGTGGTTTGACTGTGTCCCACAAAAGTTCATGTGTTAGAAACTTATTTGCTAATGTAACATTATTAATAGGTGGGGACTTTAAGAAGTGATTGGGTCATCAGGGCTCTATCCTCATGAATAAACGAATGCCCTTATCCCAGGAATGAGTTAATTCTCAAGGGAGTTAATTAGTTCTTACAGGAGGGAGGGAGTTCTCTCCAGAGCAGGTTGTAATATAATAAAAACAAGTTTAACTTATTCTTAAGATCTCCTTAGCACACGATTTACTTGCCCTTCTTCTTCTTCTTCTTCTTTTTTTTTTTGACAGAGTCTTGCTCTGTCACCAGGCTGGAGTGCAGTGACATGATCTTGGCTCACTGCAGTCTCTGCCTCCTGGGTTCAAGCAATTCTCCTGCCTCAGCCTCCTGAGTAGCTGGGACTACAGGCGCGTGCCACCATGCCTGGCTAATTTTTTTGTATTTTTAGTAGAGACCGGGTTTCACCATGTTGGCCAGGATGGTCTTGATCTCCTGACCTCGTGATCCACCCACCTGGGCCTCCCAAAGTGCTGGGATTACAGGCGTGAGCCACCGTACCTGGCCGCCCTTCTTTTCTACACAATGTCATGACGTAGTGGGAAGGCTCTCCCCAGAAGTTGCTGCCATGCCCTTGGACTTCCCAGTCTACAGAGCAATGAGCCAAATAAACTTATTTTCCTTATAAATTAATTACCCAGTCTCAGATATTGTGTTATGGCAAAAGAAAATGAAATAAGACAATTGATAATGAGGTGATGTCCTTTCTACCTGTCTAGGACCTTTCCTATCTGGGCCCTGCTGATAGAAGGAAAGCCAGAGGTCTTTCTGTCTCTCATTCATTTAAATGAGATGAGATAGGAGTTTTAAATTAAGACATTGTAATATTTCAGTCATTGTTTAAAGTGAAAGGCATTTATTGTTTGTGAAAGGTGTCAGGCCTATTGTCACAGTGACTAAACTTCCATTCACTCATCAAAAATTCTTGAGAAAAAGTTAAACTTGCCTACCCTGATATTTTTCCTTCCATCAGCAGTTTACTTAATCAGTTATCTCTTTTATGGTAACCCTCTTTGACTGTCAGTTTGGACAATGGTTTCTGTAATGAAGAAACCTATTGGGGATTGGAGGATCAGACAGAAACTTATTGTTGCCAAGTTAAATAAATGAATGACCCATGCACCATTACTTTAAATAGTTTCCTTGATTGTTTGGCATTTACTCTTCCAAAGCAAAAGGAACATAGTAATTTCACTTAGGTAAACTAAATAAAATCTTTTATTTTTTTAAATAACTATTTTTTCACTTCCTATTTTCAAATTTGCTAGAGTAGTTCCTTAAAGGCATCTAATGCCAGTGTTTTGGAAAACATTGAAAATTCAAAGAAAAACATTTGGCTATTTTGGATTTTAGTGCTGTGTTTCCCCTAAAACTTTGTAATTTATAATGACCTCAAAATGTAGCTCTAAAAATAACTTTGCACCTTAAAGGTTCAGGAATTAGGACATTACGTTTCCTAATATTAAGGAATATTAAATCTTCATTAATGTTTTCAGTTTCCAGAACAGCACGTTAAAGGAGGCAATCAATTTTGGACTTTTTTCAAGCACACCGTCTTTCCATGCAAATGTTGGGCAGAGTTGTAATTAATAGATACTTGGCAAGAGTTGCATGATGTAGAAAGAGTTATTGTTGTATTCATCAAGTTAAAAAATTCTTTCTGAAATAAATTGGTTTTGTTGTTACACAAATTGTAACCAACTACTAGAAACTGCATTCCAGGGTTTCATCTTTTAAGACATTCCTGGAAATTCAGTTTGAAACTTCAGCCCTGGTTAGATTGGGAATCAAATTTATAAAATCAAATATAATGCCATTTACTAAATGCTTTCTATCTTTCTTTTCTTTTCCTCCTTCCTTTCGTTTCTTTCTTTGGGATGGAGTCTCTCTATATTGCACAGGCTGGTCTCAAACTCCCTGGTTCAAGGGATTCTCCCACCTTAGCCTCCCAAGTAACTGGGATTACAGGGATGCACCACCACACCTAACTCTCAATCTAAATTTAAGAAGAAATAAACTCTTTAGGGCTCTTGTATTTGGCTGAACATATATGAAATACAAAGGAAGGGACATAATTTCTGCCCTCTATGAGTTTGTAAGCTAATATAGACACTAGTAGTACAGTCAAATTAGTGAAAATTCATACTATCACAAGGCAAAATGGTACTGTCATTAAATCTATGAACAGAATATTTATATTGTAGATAACGAAGTATATTTTAAGTAGTGGGGAGTAGAAGTAATAGGTAGATGTTACAGTATATCAGTTAACAGTTCAAAAAATAGCTTGAGAATTAATAACTTCTGAAGTATGACATGAAAAGGAGCAGGATTTTAAAAGCTTCCCCAGATGATTCTTATTTAATCAGCTTTCAGAATCACTTGTCTAGACCAACCCATCTGATGTTTGAATTCCCTGAATACCTATCAAGAGGTCATCTAGCCTGTATTTGAATAGGAAGTTTCTGAGATAGTTCATTCAGTTTTGTCGTTTAAGAATTCTGGTGCAAAAACAGGCACATAGACCAATGGAACATAATAGAGAGCCCAGAAGTAAGGCCGCACATCTATGACCATTTGATCTTCAATAAGGCTGACAAAAAACAAGCAATGGGGAAAAGACTTCCTATTTAATCAATGTTGCTGGGATAACTGGCTATCCATAAGCAGAAGATTGAAGCTGGAACCCTCCCTTACACCATATACAAAAATCAACTCAAGATGGGTTAAAGACTTAAATGTAAAACCCAAAACTATCAAAACCCTGGAAGACAACCTAGCAATACCATCCTGGACATAGGAATGGCAAAGATTTCATGACAAAGATGCTAACAGCAATCACAACAAAAGCAAAAATTGGCAAAAGGGATCTAATTAAAATTAAGAGCTTCTGTCCAGCAAAAATAAACTATCAACAGAGTAAACAGACAGCCTACAGAATGGGAGAAAATATTCACAAACTATGCATCTGAAAAGGTCTAATATCCAGCATCTATTTACAAGACAAAAAAAAACATTAAAAAGTGGGCAAAGGACACGAACAGACACTTTTCAAAAGAAGGCATGCATGCAGCCAACAAGCATATGAATAAAAGCTCAACATCACTGATCACTAGAGAAATGCAAATCAAAACCACAATGAGATATCATCTCACACCAGTCAGAATGGCTGTTATTAATACAAAGTCGAAAAATAACAGATGCTGATGAGATTGCAGAGAAAAGGGAACACTTATACACTGTTGGTGAGAGTGTAAATTAGCTCAACCATTGTGGAAAGCAGTATGGTGATTCCTCAAAGAGCTAAAGACAGAACTATCATTCAACCTAGCAGTCCCATTACTGGGAGTATACCTGAAGGAATGTGAATCATTCTGTCATAAAGACACATGCACGTGTACATTTGTTGCACTACTACTCACAATAGCAAAGATATGGAATCAACCTAAATGCCTATCAATGGTAGACTGAATAAAGAAAATATGCTATATACACACCATGGAATACTGTGCATCCATAAAAAAAGAATGTTCCTTTGCGGGGACATGGATGGAGCTGGAGGCCATTATCCTTAACTACCTAATGCAGGAATAAAAAAACACCCCATGTTCTCACTTATAAGTGGGAAGTAATAATGAGAACACATGGACACAAAGAGGGGAACAACACACTGGGGCCTCTCAGAGGGTGAAGGGTGGGAGGAAGGAGAGGAGCTGAAAAAAAGTAACTATTGGGTATTAGGCTTAATACGTGGGTGATGAAATAATCTGTACAACAAACCCCCATGACACAGGTTTACCTATATAACAAAACTTCACATGTAACCCCGAACCTAAAATAAAAATTAAAAAATTTTGGGGGGCATTTCCTTCATGATATGCCAGACAGATAAAATTCCTTAATGTCTTAAAGTTCAGTGAAGAGTATAATGACCAATATGTGGTCAGGTTCTTACTAAAAACCACTTTTAAATTCATTAAACATTTATATGTAGAAAAAAATACAAATCCCACAGTTTAAAAAGTTGTGCACTTGGTCATAGATGTTAGAAATTTGATCAGGATCTGAAATGTAGCTCTGAAGAATGCCTTCACATCTTAAGTATGACAGTATTTGGAAATAGATCAAAGCTTTCCATATAAAGTCTCTGTCTCTATTCCTTTATTTCCTGAAAAATACCTGGTTAAATAAAGTTAGGGTAATGGTAATCAGAGAGCAGCAGTTCTCCTCTCTGGAGTTTTTTTTAGAGAAAGAATATGTATAAAAAGGAATGTGTTCTGTTATTAAAAGGTCTTTGGTATTGGTTTGCTGCAGTCATGAGCAAGCTGAGCTATATGTGCATCACAATTTAAAATGCAAAATATTTAACCTTAGAGTTCAACATGAACAAACACTGGAAACCAAAATAGTTTTTTCAGTTGTAGAGCCATATGTGTACAAGTAAGCTCCCCAAGGTGTTTGCTGATCAGTATAAAGATAGATTCAAGACTGGAAAAATACAAGGGTTTTATCTTTTCTTTTTTCTGTTTTATTTATTTTATTATTTTTTTGAAGGATTTTTCTTATTATACTTTAAGTTCTAGGGTACATGTGCACAACGTGCAGGTTTGTTACATATGTGTATACATGTGCCGTGTTGGTTAGCTGCACCCATTAACTCGTCATTTACATTAGGTATTTCTACTACTGCTATCCCTCTCCCATCCCCCCACACCACGACAGGCCCAGGTATGTGATGTTCCCCACCCTGTGTCCAAGTGTTCTCATTGTTCAATTCCCACCTATCAGTGAGAACATGCAGTGTTTGGTTTTCTGTCCTTGTGATAGTTTGCTCTGAATGATGGTTTCTAGTTTCATCCATGTCGCTACACAGGACATGAACTCATCCTTTTTTATGGCTGCATAGTATTCCATGGTGTATATGTGCCACATTTTCTTAATCCAGTCTATCACTGATGGACATTTGGGTTGGTTCCAAGTCTTTGCTATTGTGAATAGTGCCACAATAAACATATGTGTGCATGTGTCTTTATAGCAGCATGCTTTATAATCCTTTGGGTATATACCCAGTAATGGGATGGCTGGGTCAAATGGTGTTTCTAGTTTTAGATCCTTGAGGAATCGCCACACTGTCTTCCACAATGGTTGAACTAGTTTACATTCCCACCAACAGTGTAAAAGCATTCCTGTTTCTCTACATACTCCCCAGCATCTGTTGTTTCCTGACTTTTTAATGATTGCCATTCTAACTGGTGTGAGGTGGTATCTCATTGTGGTTTTGATTTGCATTTCTCTGATGACCAGTGATGATGAGCATTTTTTCATGTGTCTGTTGGCTGCATAAATGTCTTCTTTTGAGAAGTGTCTGTTCATATCCTTTGCCCACTTTTTGATGGGGTTGTTTGTTTTTTCCTTGAAAATTGGCTTACGTTCTTTGTAGATTCTGGATATTAGCCCTTTGTCAGATGAGTAGATTGCAAAAATTTTCTCCCATTCTGTAGGTTGCCTGTTCACTCTGATGGTAGTTTCTTTTGCTGTGCAGAAGCTCTTTAGTTTAATTAGATCCCATTTGTCAATTTTTCCTTTTGTTGCCATTGCTTTTGGTGTTTTAGTCATGAAGTCCTTACCTGTGCTTATGTCCTCAATGGCGTTGCCTAGGTTTTCTTCTAGGGTTTTTATGGTTTTAGGTCTAACATTTAAGTCTTTAATCCATCTTGAATTAATTTTTGTATAAGGTGTAAGGAAGGGATCCAGTTTCAGCTTTGTACATATGGCTAGCCAGTTTTCCCAGCACCATTTATTAAATAGGGAATCCTTTCCCCATTTCTTGTTTTTGTTAGGTTTGTCAAAGATCAGATGGTTGTAGATGTGTGGTATTATTTCTGAGGGCTCTGTTCTGTTCCATTGATCTATATCTCTGTTTTGGTACCAGTACCATGCTGTGTTGGTTACTGTATCCTTGTACTACAGTTTGAAGTCAGGTGGCGTGATGCCTCCAACTTCGTTCTTTTGGCTTAGGATTGACTTGGCGATGCGGACTCTTTTTTGGTTTCATATGAACTTGAAAGTAGTTTTTTCCAGTTCTGTGAAGAAAGTCATTGGTAGCTTGATGGGGATGGCATTGAATCTATAAATTCCCTTGGGCAGTATGGCCATTTTCACGATATTGATTCTTCCTATCCATGAGCATGGAATGTTCTTCCATTTGTTTGTATCCTCTTTTATTTCATTGAGCAGTGGTTTGTAGTTCTCCTTGAAGAGGTCCTTCACATCCCTTGTCAGTGGGATTCCTAGATATTTTATTCTCTTTGTAGCAATTGTGAATGGGATTCACTCACGATTTGGCTCTCTGTCTGTTATTTGTGTATACGAATGCTTGTGATTTTTGCACATTGATTTTGTATCCTGAGACTTTGCTGAAGTTGCTTATCAGCTTAAGGAGATTTTGGGCTGAGACGATGGGGTTTTCTAGATATACAATCATGTCATCTGCAAACAGGGACAACTGGACTTCCTCTTTTCCTAATTGAATACCCTTCATTTCTTTCTCTTGCCTGATTGCCCTGGCCAGAACTTCCAACACTGTTGAATAGGAGTGGCGAGAGAGGGTATCCCTGTCTTGTGCCAGTTTTCAAAGGGAATGCTTCCAGTTTTTGCCCATTCAGTATGATACTGGCTGTGGGTTTGTCATAAATAGCTCTTATTATTTTGAGATATTTTCCATCAATACCAAATTTATTGAGAGTTTTTAGCATGAAGGGCTGTTGAATTTTGTCAAAGGCCTTTTCTGCATCTATTGAGATAATGATGTGGTTTTTCTCTTTCGTTCTGTTTATGTGATGGATTACGTTTATTGATTTGCATATGTTGGACCAGCCTTGTATCCCAGGGATGAATCCAACTTGATCATGGTGGATAAGCTTTTTGATGTGCTGCTGGATTCGGTTTGCCAGTATTTTATTGAGGATTTTTGCATCGATGTTCATCAGGGATATTGGTCTAAAATTCTCTTTTTTTGTTTTGTCTCTGCCAGGTTTTGGTATCAGGATGATGCTGGCCTCATAAAATGAGTTAGGGAGGATTCCCTCTTTTTCTTCTGATGGGAATAGTTTCAGAAGGAATGGTACCAGCTCCTCTTTGTACTTCTGATAGAATTCGGCTGTGAATCTGTCTGGTCCTGGACATTTTTCGGTTGGTAGGCTATTAATTATTGCCTCAATTTCAGAGCCTGTTACTCGCTATTCAGAGATTCAGCTTCTTCCTGGTTTAGTCTTAGGAGGGTGTATGTGTTCAGGAATTTATCCATTTCTTCTAGACTTTCTAGTTTATTTCTGTAGAGGTGTTTATAGTATTCTCTGATGGTAGTTTGTATTTCTATGGGATTGGTGGTGATATCACCTTTATCATTTTTTATTGTGTCTTTTTGATTCTTCTCTCTTTTCTTCTTTATTAGTCTTGCTAGCAGTCTGTCAATTTTGTTGATCTTTTCAAAAAACCAGCTCCTGGATTCATTGATTTTTTGAAGGGTTTTTTGTGTCTCTATTTCCTTCAGTTCTGCTCTGATCTTAGTTATTTCTTGCCTTCTGCTAGTTTTTGAATGTGTTTGCTCTTGCTTCTCTAGTTCTTTTAATCGTGATGTTAGGGTGTCAATTTTAGATCTTCCCTGCTTTCTCTTGTGGGCATTTAGTTCTATAAATTTCCCTCTACACACTGCTTTAAATGTGTCCCAGAGATTCTGGTACGTTATGTCTTTGTTCTCATTGGTTTCAAAGAACATTTTTATTTCTGCCTTCATTTCGTTATGTACCCAGTAGTCATTCAGGAGCAGGTTGTTAAGTTTCCATGTAGTTGTGTAGTTTTGAGTGAGTTTCTTAATCCTGAGTTCTAATTTGATTGCACTGTGGTCTGATAGATAGTTTGTTGTGATTTCTGTTCTTTTACATTTGCTGAGGAGAGCTTTACTTCCAACTATGTGGTCAATTTTGGAATAAGTGTGATGTGGTGCTGAGAAGAATGTATATTCTGTTGATTTGGGGCGGAGAGTTCTGTAGATGTCTATTAGGTCCTCTTGGTGCAGAGCTGAGTTCAAGTCCTGGATATCCTTGTTAACCTTATGTCTTGTTGATCTGTCTAATGTTGACAGTGGGGTGTTAAAGTCTCCCATTATTATTGTGTGGGAGTCTAAGTCTCTTTTTAGGTCTCTTGGGGCTTGCTTTATGAATCTGGGTGCTCCTGTATTGGGTGCATATATATTTAGAATAGGTAGCTCTTCTTGTTGAATTGTTCCCTTTACCATTATGTAATGGCCGTCTTTGTTTCTTTTTATCTTTGTTGGTTTAAAGTCTGTTTTATCAGAGTCTAGGATTGCAACCCCTGTTGTTTTTTGTTTTCCATTTGCTTGGTAGATCTTCCTCCATCCCTTTATTTTGAGCCTATGTATGTCTCTGCATGTGAGATGGGTCTCCTGAATACAGCACACTGATGGGTCTTGACTCTTTGTCCAGTTTGCCAGTCTGTGTCTTTTAAATGGGGCATTTAGCCCATTTACATTTAAGGTTAACATTGTGATGTGTGAATTTGATCCTGTCATTATGATGTTAGCTGATTATTTTGTCCATTAGTTGATGCAGTTTCTTCCTAGCATCAATGGTCTTTACACTTTGGCATGTTTTTGCAGTGGCTGGTACTTATTGTTCCTTTCCATGTTTAGTGCTTCCTTCAGGAGCTTTTGTAAGGCAGGCCTGTTGGTGACAAAATCTCTCAGCATTTGCTAGTCTGTAAAGGATTTTATTTCTCCTTCCCTTATGAAGCTTAGTTTGGCTGGATATGAAATTCTGGGTTGAAAATTCTTTTCTTAAAGAATGTTGAATATTGGCCCCCACTCTCTTCTGGCTTGTAGGGTTTCTGGCGAGAGATCCACTGTTAGTCTGATGGGCTTCCCTTTGTGGTTAACCCGCCCTTTCTCTCTGGCTGCCCTTAGCATTTTTTCCTTCATTTCAACCTTGGTGAATCTGATAATTATATGTCTTGGGGTTGCTCTTTTCAAGGAGTATATTTGTGGTGTTCTCTGTACTTCCTGAATTTGAATGTTGGCCTGCCTTGCTGGGCTGGGGAAGTTCTCCTGGATAATATCCTGAAGAGTGTTTTCCAGCTTGGTTCCATTCTCCCCATCACTTTCTAGTACACCAATTACATGTAGACTTGGTCTGTTCACATAGTCTCATATTTCTTGGAAGATTTGTTTGTTTCTTTTTACTCTTTTTTCTCTAAACTTCTCTTCTGGCTTCATTTCTTCAATTTGATCTTCAATCACTGATACCCTTTCTTCCACTTGATCGAATCGGCTACTGAAGCTTGTGCATGCATCACATAGTTCTTGTGCCATGGTTTTCAGCTCCTTCAGGTCACTTAAGGTCTTCTCTGCACTGTTTATTCAGTTAGCCATTCGTCTAATCTTTTTCAAGGTTTTTAGCTTCCTTACGATGGGTTCAAACCTCCTCCTGTAGCTCAGAGAAGTTTGTTATTACTGACTTTCTGAAGCCTACTTCTGTCAGCTTGTCAAAGTCATTCTTTGTCCTGCTTTGTTCCGTTGCTGGTGAGGAGTTGTGATCCTTTGGAGGAGAAGGAGTGCTCTGGTTTTTAGAATTTTTACCTTTTCTGCTCTGGTTTCTCTCCATCTTTGTGGTTTTATCTACCTTTGGTCTTTGATGATGTTGACCTACAGATGGGGTTTTTTTGTGGATGTCCTTTTTGTTGATGCTGATGCTATTCCTTTCTGTTTGTTAGTTTTTCTTCTACCAGTCAGGTCCCTCAGCTGCAGGTCTGTTTGATTTTGCTAGAAGTCCACTTCAGACCCTGTTTTCCTGGGTTTCACCAGCAGAGGCTGCAGAACAGCAAATATTGCAGAACAGCAAATATTGCTCCCTGATTCTTCCTCTGGAAGCTTCGTCTCAGAGGGGCACCTGGCTGTATGAGGTGTCAGTCGGCCCCTACTGGGAGGTGTCTCCAAATTAGGCTACATGGGGGTCATGGACCCACTTGAGGAGGTGGTCTGTCTGTTCTCAGAGTTCAAACACCATGCTGGGAGAACCACTGCTCTTTTCAGAGCTGTCAGACAGGGACGTTTAAGTCTGCAGAAGTTTCTGCTGCGTTTTGTTCAGCTATGCCCTGCCTCTAGAGGTGGAGCCTACAGAGACATTTGGGCCTCGTTGAGCTGTGGTGGGCTCCACCTAGTTCCAGCTTCTGGCCGCTTTGTTTACCTACTCAATCCTCAGCAATGGCAGACGCCCCTCCCCCAGCCAGGCTTGCCTCCTTGCAGTTGGATCTGGGACTAGCAGTGAACAAGACTCCGTGGGCAAGAGATCCGCTTAGCCAGGCGCGGGATGTAATCTCCTGGTGTGTAGTTTGCTGAGTCCATTGGAAAAGCACAGTGTTTAGGTGGCAGTGTCCTGATTTTCCCGGTACAGTCTGTCAGGGCTTCCCTTGGCTAGGAAAGGGAAATCCCCCGACCCCTTGCACTTCCCTGGTGAGGCGATGCCCCGCCCTGCTTCCACTTGCCCTCCTTGGCCTGCACCCACTTTCACACCAGTCCCAGTGAGATGAACCAGGTACCTCAGTTGGAAATGCAGAAATCACCCATCTCCTGTGTGGATCACACTGGGAGCTGCAGACCGGAGCTGTTCCTATTCGGCCATCTTGCAAGGGTTTTATCTTAACTTTACTGGAGACATCAGAAGGAGGAAGCAGGGAGGAGAGAGAAGGAGAATGAAGACAGACAGACAGACAGACAGAGACAGATATGCACGACAGAGCTGTCTGATTCTGATTCCATCCTAAGCGCTTTAAAATCCATGAAGGCCTCTTTTGTCCCCAGTGGTTCCTAAGTGAACTCATTCTGGATAGCTCTTGTTAGTTCTTTTTTTTTTTTTTTTTTTGAGGTGGAGTCTTGCTCTGTCGCCTAGGCTGGAGTGCAGTGTAGTGGTGTATCTCGGCTCACTGCAAGCCCTGCCTCCTGGGTTCACGCCATTCTCGTTTCAGCCTCCCAAGTAGCTGGGACTACAGGCACTTGCCACCACGCCTGGCTAATTTTTTTGTATTTTTAGCAGAGACGGGGTTTCACCATGTTAGCCAGGATGGTCTCAATCTCCTGACCTCATGATCTGCCTTCCTCGGCCTCCCGAAGTGCTGGGATTACAAGCGTGAGCCACCGTGCCCAGCCAGCTCTGGTTAATTCTTTATAGCGTCATTAAGATGAAGTGACTTGAAGCCCATTTAACTGTTCACTCCATTATACTGAAGAGCCAGTATTTGTCACTAAACAGCAGATATGTATCCAGATTTCTTTGGCGAACTTGTATTCTTTTTTGCTATACACACACACACACACACACACACACACATACATACATATATATATATACACACATACATATATACAGATATATATATATACACACACATACATCCATACACACACACACACACATACTTTAAGTCCTGGGATACATGTGCAGAACATGCAGGTTTGTTACATAGATATACATGTACCATGGTGGTTTCCTGCACCCATCAACCTGTCATCTACATTAGGTATTTCTCCTAATGCTATCTCTCCCCTGGCCCCCAACCTCTGACAGACCCTGGTGTGTGATATTCCATTCCCTATGTCCATGTTTTCTCTTTGTTCAACTCCCACTTATAAGTGAGAACATGTGGTGTTTGGTTATCTGTTCCTGTGTTAGTTTGCTGAAAATGATGATTTCCAGCTTCATCCATGTCCCTACAAAGAACATGAACTCATCCTTTTTTATGGCTGCATAGTATTCCATGGTGTATATGTGCCACTTTTTCTTATCCAGTCCATCATTGATGGGCATTTCGGTTGGTTCCAAGCCTTTGCTATTGTGAACAGTGCTGCAATAAGCATACGTGTGCATGTGTCTTTATAGTAGAATGATTTATAATCCTTTGGGTATATACCCAGCAATGGGATTGCTGGGTCAATGGTATTTCTGGTTCTAGATCCTTGAGGAATCCCCACACTGTCTTCCACAATGGTTGAACTAATTTACACTCCCACCAACAGTGTAAAAGCATTCCTATTTCTCCACAACCTCTCCAGCATCTGTTGTTTCCTGACTCTTTAATGATTGCCATTCTAACTGGCATAAGATGGTATCTCATTGTGGTTTTGATTTGCATTTCTCTAATGACCAGTGATGTTGAGCTTTTTTTCATATGTTTGTTGGCTGTATAAATGTCTTCTTTTGAGAAGTGTCTGTTCATATCTTTTGCCCACTTTTTGATGCAGTTGTTTGTTTTTTTCTTGTAAATTTGTTTAAGTTCCTTGTACATTCTGGATATTAACCCATGTCAGATGGATAGATTGCAAAAATTTTCTCCCATTCTATAGGTTGGCTGTTTACTATGATGATAATTTCTTTTGCTGTGCAGAATCTCTTTAGTTTAACTCCATCCCATTTGTCAATATTGGCTTTTTTTTTTGCCATTGCTTTTGGTGTTTTAATCATGAAGTCTTTGCCCATGCCTATATCCTGAATGGTATTCCCTAGGTTTTCTTCTAGGGTTTTCATGGTTTTAGGTCTTACACTTAAACCTTTAATCCATCTTGAATTAATTTTTGAATAAGGTGTAAGGTAGGGGTCCAGTTTCAGTTTTCTGCATATGGCTAGCCAGTTTTCCCAACATCACTTATTAAATAGGGAATCCTTTCCCCATTGCTGGTTTTTGGCAGGTTTGTTAAAGATCAGATGGTTGTAGATGTATGGTGTTATTTCTGAGGCCTCTGTTCTGTTTCATTGGTCTGTATCTCTGTTTTGGTACCAGTATCATGCTGTTTTGATTGCTGTAGACTTGTAGTATAGTTTGAAGTCAGGTAGCGTGATGCCTCCAGCTTTGTTCTTTTCGCTTAGGATTGTCTTGGCTATATGGGCTCTTTTTTGATTCCGTATGAAACTTAAAGTACCTTTTTCTAATTCTGTGAAGAAAGTCAGTGGTAGCTTGATGGGGATAGCATTGAATATATAAATTACTTTGGGCAGTATCGCCATTTTCACAACATTGATTCTTCCTATTCATGAACATGGAATTTTTTTTTCCATTTTTTTGTGTCCTCTCTTATTTTCTTGAGCAGCGGTTTGTAGTTCTCCTTGAAGAGGTCCTTCACATCCCTTGTAAATTGGATTCCTAGGTATTTTATTCTCTTTGTAGCAATTGTGAATGGGAGTTCACTCATGGTTTGGCTTTTTGTCTGTTATTGGTATATAGGCATGCTTGTGATTTTTGCACATTGATTTTGTATCCTGAGACTTTGCTGAAGTTGCTGATCAGCTTAAGGAGATTTTGGGCTGAGACGATGGGGTTTTCTAAATATATAATCATGTCATCTGCAAACAAAGACAATTTGAATTCCTGTCTTCCTATTTGAATACCCTTTCTTTCTTTCTCTTGCCTGATTGCCTTGGCCAGAACTTCCAATACTATTTTGAATAGGAGTGGTAAGAGAGGTCATCCTTGTCTTGTGTCATTTTTCGAAGGGAATGCTTCCAGCTTTTGCCCATTCAGTATGATACTGGCTGTCGGTTTGTGATAAATAGCTCTTATTATTTTGAGATACATTCCATCAATACTTAGTTTATTGAGCGTTTTTAGCATGAAGTGGTGTTGAATTTTATCGAAGGCCTTTTTGCATCTATTGAGATAATCATGTGGTTTTTGTCATTCGTTCTGTTTATGTGATGGATTATTTTTATTGATTTGCATATATTTAACCAGCCTTGCATGCCAGGGATGAAGCCGACTTGATAATGGTGGATAAGCTTTTTTATGTGCTGCTGGATTCGGTTTGCCAGTATTTTATTGAGGATTTTTGCATTGATGTTCATCAGTGATATGGGCCTGAAATTTTCTTTTTTTGTTTTGTCTCTGCCAGGTTTTGGTATCAGGATGATGCTGGCCTCATAAAATGAGTTAGGGAGGACTCCCTCTTTTTCAATTGTTTGGAATAATTTCAGAAGGAATGGTACAGTTCCTCTTTGTACCTCTGGTAGAATTCAGCTGTGAATCCATCTGATCCTCGCTTTTATTGGTTGGTGGGCTATTAACTACTGCCTCAGTTTCAGAACTTACTGGTCTATTCAGGGATTCAACTTTTTCCTGATTTAGTGTTTGGAGGGTGGATGTGTCCTGAAATTTATCCATTTCTCCTAGATGTTCTAGTTTATTTGCATAGAGGTGTTTATAGTATTCTCTGATGGTAGTTTGTATTTCTGTGGGATCAGTGGTGATATCCCCTTTATCATTTTTTATTGTGTCTATTTGACTCTTCTCTCTTTTCTTCTTTATTAGTCTGGTTAGAGTCTATCTATTTTGTTAATCCTTTGAAAAAATCAGCTCCTAGATTCATGGATTTTTTGAGGAGTTTTTCTTGTCTCTATCTCCTTCAGTTCTGCTCTGATCTTAGTTATTTCTTGTCTTCTGCTAGCTTTTGAATTTGTTTCCTCTTGCTTCTCTAATTCTTTTAATTGTGATGTTAGGGTGTCGATTTTAGATCTTTCCTGCTTTCTCCTGTGGGCATTTAGTGCTATAAATTTCCCTCTAAACACCACTTTAGCTGTGTCCCAGAGATTCTGGTTTGTCGTCTCTTTGTTCTCATTGGTTTTAAAGAACTTCTTTATTTCTGCCTTAATTTCATTACTTACCCAGTAATCATTCAGGAGCATGTTGTTCAGTTTCCATGTAGTTGTGTGGTTTTGAGTGAATTTCTTAATCCTGAGTTCTAATTTGATTGCACTGTGGTCTGAGAGACAGTTTGTTATGATTTCCATTCTTTTGCATTTGCTCAGGAGTGTTTTACTTCCAACTGCTAACTAGAATAACCAGTTTAGAGAAGAACATAAATGACCTGATGGAGCTGAAAAGCAGCACGAGAACTTCGTGAAGCATTCACAGGTTATCAGTATCCTAATTGATCAAGCAGAAGAAAGAATATCAGAGATTGAAGATCAACTTAATGAAATAAAGCATGAAGACAAAATTAGAGAAAAAAGAATGAAAAGGAATGAACAAAGCCTTCCAGAAACATGTGAAAAGACCAAACCTACGTTTCATTGGTGTACCTGAAAGTGACGGTGAGAATGAAACCAAGTTGAAAAACACTCTTCAGGTTATTATCCAGGAGAATTTTCCTTCCCCAACCTAACAAGACAGGCCAACATTCAAATTCAAGAAACACAGAGAACACTGCAAAGATACCCCTTGAGAAGAGCAACCCCAAGACATATAATTATCAGATTCACCAAGGTTGAAATGAAGGAAAAAATGTTAAGGGCAGCCAGAGAGAAAGGTCGGGTTACCCACAAAGGGAAGCCCATCAGACTAACAGAAAATCTCTCTGCAGAAACCCTATAAGCCAGAAGAGAGTAGTAGCCAATACTCAACATTCTTAAAGAAAGGAATTTTCAACCCAGAATTTCATATCGAGCCAAACTAAGCTTCATAAGCAAAGCAAAAGAGAAATAAAATCCTTTATAGACAAGCATCCAGGCCTGCCTTACAAGAGCTCCTGAAGGATGCAGTAAATATGGAAAGGAAAACTGGTACCAGCCACTGCAAAAACATACCAAGTTGAAAAGACCATTGACACTATGAAGAAACTGCATCAACTAATGGGTAAAATAACCAGCTAGCATCATAATGACAGCATCAAATTCACAAATAACTGTATTAACCTTAAATGTAAGTGGGGTAAATGCCCCAATTAAAAGATGCAGACTGTCAAATTGGATAAAGAGTCAAGACCCATCAGTATGCTGTATTCAGGAGACCCATTTCATGTGCAAAGACACACATAGGCTCAAAATAAAGGGATGGAGGAATACTTACCAAGCAAATAAAAAGAAAAAAAAGGAAAAAAAGCATGGGTTGCAATCCTAGTCTCTGATAAAGCAGACTTTAAGCCAGCAAAGATTTAAAAAGACAAAGAAGGGCATTACATAGTGGTAAAGGGATCAATGCAACAAGAAGAGCTAACTATCCTAAATATATATGCACCCAATAAAGGAGCACCCAGATTCATGTAGAGACCTACAAAGAGACTTAGACTCCCACACAATAATAGTGGGAGACTTTAGCACCCCACTGTCAATATTAGACAGAACAACGTGACAGAAAATTAACAAGGGTATTCAGGACTTGAACTCAGCCTGGACCAAGCGGATATAATAGACATCTACAGAACTCTCCACCCCAAATCAACAGAATATACGTTCTTCTTAGCACCACATCGCACTTACTCAAAGTTGGATTCTTAGCCTTCCAAAGTTCACATGCTATCTCTCACCAGTATCTTTGTTTTTTTCTTCTTCATCAATTAGGATGATTTAGAACACCAGTAATGTTGATATAGCATTGTTTCCACTTATTATTGTGTTTAATTCTTTTTTCCACAGTTGATATAGTTTTCTTTTTTTCTTTTTGAGTTGGAGTCTCGCACTGTCACCCAGGCTGGACTGCAGTTCACTGCGATCTCGGCTTACTGCAAGCTCCGCCTGCTGGGTTCACGCCATTCTCCTGCCTCAGCCTCCCATGTAGCTGGGACTACAGGCGCCGGCCACCACGCCCGGCTAATGTTTTGTATTTTTAGTAGAAATGGGGTTTCACCGTGTTAGCCAGGATGGTCTCGATCTCCTGACCTTGTGATCTGCCTGCCTCGGCCTCCCAAAGTGCTGGGATTACAGGCGTGAGCTGCCGTGCCCAGCCAATTGATATAATTTTCTGTAGGAAGATTTGTTTCTGAAGTGAGCAAAATAATGATTCATTTCTAAATTAATAAAACATTCTCTTTGTGACTGTAATCACTTGTATAGTCTGTTGGAAAGGAGCAAGAGATCAAAATAGTGACTCATCCAAGAATTATTTATATTTCCTGTTGGTCTGTGAGTACATTTGAGGTGAATTTACCTTTTAAATTATGTTTCTTTCTGCTGATACTAATATTGGTAGGTAATCCTTGATCTTACAGCAAATAATATTTAAAACTCAGGAATTTTGGGGGTGACAGGAGAAAGACAGAGGAGAGCTAAAAAATACCAATGCCAATCTACTTTATAGTTAATAGAAAATTATATTTGGTATTGTTTTTGTTAAACATCAGATGTTGAATGATTATTTTCTTTTGATGCAAGTATATTTCTAAATAAAGGAGAATCAGTAGCACTAAATATTAAGAGCAGTGTGAACATTAAAAACAGTTAATTTTTTAAGTCTTATTTGACTTTATATTGGTGTGCTCATAATTGTAAGGTATGGAATTATTTCTCCAGCTATAACCCTGAGCAGGTTTTGTTGCACATGTCTAGTAGGCTCCAGCACTGAAGTTCTCAATCAAGCAAGAGAATTAGATACAATCTATGCCCTGGGGACTAGAATGCATAGTTGAGTTGTTCCACACTGGTATAATTATGATCAGTCTAACATCTGGAATCATCAGTTTTAAATGTTTAACTACTCTGAACTCTGACCCAAATCCACATATGCAGTCATAAATAGATTTTCCTCTTAATAGGAGGATTGACAATTAATATTCTAAATAATTATTTTGTAAAATGTTTATGTATTTGCCAGAATCTGCCAGACAATCAACCTTTTATAGTAAATCTCAGCTGATAGGAAGCCTTTTAAAAGGATTATAAGTTGTGAATTAGCATTTAAACAATATTTTTAATCGTTTAGACTTAGACATTTACTTTAGAAAATGGACAGAGAATTCTTGGCCAGGCGTGGTGGCTCACACCTGTTATCCCAGCACTTTAGGAGGCTGAGGTGGGCGGATCACGAGGTCAGGAGATCGAGACCATCCTGGCTAACACGGTGAAACCCCATCTCTACTAAAAATACAAAAAATTACCTGGGCATGGTGGCGGGTGCCTGTAGTCCCAGCTACTCAGGAGGCTGAGGCAGGAGAATGGCATGAACCCAGGAGGCGGAGCTTGCAGTGATCCGAGATCATGCCACTGCACTCCAGCCTGGGCAACAGAGCGAGACTCCATCTCAAAAAAAAAAAAAAGAAAAAGAAAAAAATATTGATAGAGAATTCTTGATGGGCTTCTTGAGATAGGCATTTTTCCCTCAGAAAATAATTCAATTTATTGCAAACTAAACTTCATTTTTTGCTGCTGTTGACACTTCCTTACAGTCAGTAGAGAGAGCACAAGTTTTCTATCAGTCCCTTCATCACAAACTGAAGTGACATCATTAATGATGGTATAAAGGGTGAAAACTCTAGACTAATTCATATTGGCTCATGTTTCTGGGAAAAATTTAAATTTAACAGGTAGAAAGCCAAGAATTATAAAGATGAAATGTAATATCAGGTTTCAGAGACCATCTGTTAAGTCGAATGATACAGTAACAAGAATAAATTGACATAATTCCTTTAAAATTTAAAAATCTGGGGCCGTGTGCGGTGGTGCACGCCTGTAATCCCAGCACATTGGGAGGCAGAGACAGGTGGATCACCTGAGGTCAGGAGTTAGAGGCCAGCCCGACAAATAAGGTGAAACCCCATCTCTGCCAAAAATACAAAAATTAGCTGGGCATGGTGGTGGGCGCCTGTAATCCCAGCTACTCAGGAGGCTGAGGCAAGAGAATTGCTTGAATCCGGGAGGTGGAGGTTGCAGTGAGACGAGATCGTGCCATTGGCACTCCAGCCTGGGCAACAGAGCAAGACTCCGTCTCAAAAAAAAAAAAAAGGCCCAGCGCATTGTCTGGCACCTGTAATCCCAGCACTTTGGGAAGCTGAGGTGGGTGGATCACCTGAGGTCAGGGGTTCGAGACCAGCCTGACCAACATGGAGAAACCCCATCTCTACTAAATAAATACAAAAATTAGCTGGGCATGGTGGCGCATGCCTGTAATCCCAGCTACTCTGGAGGCTGAGACAGAAGAATTGCTTGAACCCTGGAGGCGGAGGTTGCGGTGAGCTGAGATTATGCCATTGCACTCCAGCCTGGGCAACAAGAGCGAAACTCCATCTCAAAAATAAATAAATAAATAAATAAATGAAATTTAAAAATCTGGGCTATCAAAGCAAAAATGGACAAATGGGATCACATCACGTTAAAAAGCTTCTGCACATTAAAGGAACCATCAAAGTGAAGAAACGACCCGGAAATGGGAGAAAATATTTGCAAACTACTCAACTGACAAAGGATTTATAACCAGAATATATAAGGAGCTGCAACAACTCTATAGGAAAAAATCTAACAATCCTGTTTAAAAATTGGCAAAAGATCTGAATAGACATTTGTGAAAAGAAGTCATACAGTGGCAAACAGACATATGAAAAGGTGCTCAGAATCATTGATAATCAGAGAAATTCAAATCAAAACTACAAAGAGATATCATCTCACCCCAGTTAAAATGGCTTATGTCCAAAGTCAGGCAATAACAAAGCTGACAAGGATGTGAGGAAAAGGGGACCCTTGTCACTGTTGGTAGGAATGTAAATTAGTACAACCACTATCGAGAACAGTTTCGAGGTTCCTCAAAAAACTAAAAATAGAGCTACCATATGATTGAGCAGTCCTATTGCTGGGTATACACCCAAAAGAAAGGAAATCAGTATATCAAAGAGGTATCTGTACTCCCATGTTTATTGCAGCAGTGTTCACAATAGCCAAGATTTGAAAGCAACCTAAGTGTCCATCAACAGATGAATGGTTAAAGAAAATGTGTTATTTATACACAATGGAGTACCATTTAGCTTTGAAAAGAATGAGATCCTGTCATTTGCAACAACGTGGATGGAACTGGATGCCATTATGTTAAGTGAAATAAGCCTGGCCAGAAAGACAAACATTGCATGTTCTCACTTATTTGTGGGATCTGAAATTAAAACAATTGAACTTTTGGACAGAGAGAGTAGAGGATAGTTATTCGAGGTAGGGAAGGGTAGTGGGGTCGGGAGGAGATGGCAGTGGCTAATGGGTACAAAAAAAAATATTTAGAAAGAATGAATAAGACCTAGTATTTGACAGCACAACAGGGTGACTATAGTCAATAGTAACTTAATTGTACATTTTAAAATATCGAAAAGTTTAATTGTATTGGTTATAACACAAAAGATGAATGCCTGAGGGAATGGATACCCCATTTTACATGATGTGGTTATTACACATTGCATGCCTGTATCAAAACATCTCATGGACCCCTTAAATATATATAACTACTATGTACTCACAAAAATTAAAATAAAATTTAAAATAAAAATCTAGGTTATGCTAGATTAAGGACTAAATTTAGTTTTACTGGAGATTATGTTGTTTATGCATTATTTTCTTATAAAATTTGAAGTTCACTTTAGGGCTATCTGAAATAATTACTTATATGATATACGAAACTTATATACTATACTAAACTTTGATGTACTATACAGCAAAAGAGGTAGTGATTTATGTGTGAGCCAGTTATGTTTCTGTCTTCTTCAACAAGGATTAGAATTTTATTTTCAGGGCAAAACCCAGAGGCTGATTGTATTGTGATTAAGGACTTAATCATTAATTAAGAACATATATTTCAGCAAAATACCCCATATATTTCTACAAATAGTAGACAAAAAAAATTTTACACCAAAAAAAACTTCTATAAATATAGTTCCATGAAATGTTTACATGCTTCGTGAGCATTTGACAGGACATGGAAGATGATCATTGTCCTTGTCAAATGTTGTTATTAATTTGTTCGAATGGTGCTATTCAGACTATTCTGCAAAGAAACCCAAATGGCATAGATGCTTATTTGTGCTACTGTGTTAGGGTTAATTAAGCACAGAGAAAACCAAGCCAGTTTAATATCCCTCTCTAGTATCTTATAGCTATTAAAATAATGTCCCTGAACATTTTAATAAAACTTTTATTTTTTTAATGTAACAGCTGTTTAAGTTAAATAGGGCCTATGGAAATAGATTCATTTTATAAAGGAGTTAATTGAGATATATCGAGACTTAGTTATTCAAGGTTATATATTATATTAAGACTGTCATCAAAACCAGAATCTGGAGCTCTTGACTCCTAGTTCAAGGAGTTGCCAACTTAAAGTTTATGCTGAAGTAATCTAGGGGAGATGATTCTGAAAATATAAGAACATTGTTTAAATTGCTGATCTTTTGCTAAGTGCCTGTTTTGTGCAAAATATTATGTCATTACTTTTGTTTGATAAAAAGATGAAAAAAATCATAATGTCCTTGAAGCTATATTGTGTAATGGTGATACAAATAGTAGACAAAAAGTGTTTAAAACAGTAACATGTTTATATCATATGAAAGCTAAGAATACTTTTTAGAGCCAATGCAGTAGAGAACACCCTACATACTAATATATAGTGAAGGAGAAGATTTGGAGGAAATAGCCAAGGAGATTCCTCTGCTTATGTAGGAAGAGAATAGCTCTGAGATTGAGGGCTAATACCCCTTAAATAAGATTACTAGGGCAGTCAAGTTGAGCAGAGGTCGTTCTAAAAGCTATTTATAGTTAAGATGTAATGCTAAATAGTGTAATCATAGAGATAGCTGAGTCCTTGGAAACTATCTAGTGCAGGCATTAGTTTTACAGTTAAAGAAACTGAGACTCAGAGTGATTCTTAGTTATTTGTTTGAAGTTAGTTATACAGCTGGATACAGCCAGAGCTAGAATTTGATCCTTTCCAAATGACTGGATATGAAAAAAACTAGGAAACAGATTAATAAGAGAATCTGGAAGGTGGCAAATTCTGGAAATGTATTGGAGGTGTAGAGTGTAATTTTTGCCGAGATATGATTTCCATCAGTCTTTGCAAGAGGGGAAGAGAGTGTTAATTTTTGGTTTCTTGGGCAAAGTAAATCAAAATAGAAGGCTGTAGGGATCCATGGAACAATTTGAAAAGTAGGATGAGCTGCCTGATAGCCTTTAGGAAAATGACCTTCCCAGCAACGTCTAAGGCATTTTATTAATAACAATAATATATGTAATAATGATATTAACAGTGACAGCTATCATTTATTGAATGTTAGGCATCATGTCAAGTGTCTGTGTGTAGTAGTTTATTTAATTATTTTAATCCTGTGACCTAAGTATTTTCATGCTATTTGTAGATGAAGAAACAAAAACTCTGATAGGTTAAGTCATTATCTAGTCATACAGGTAGTCAGCTATAGAATCAAATTTTGAATCCTGATCTCTTTGAATTCTAAAAATAGTGTATCTCAAACTTGAGTAATGAATAGGCCCTCCTTCTAAAGGAAAGATAATCTTCCCGCACCCCATACTGACTTATTTTTATTATAAGATTACTTAACTAGGTGTAAACACAAATTTCTTAAGTTTATAGCTCATATTGTATAGTTTAAAAATTAAATTAAATACAAGCAAAACTTACAAAATCAGTAAAATTCAAATTTATGACGTTAATTTAATGTAAAAGATTTTTTTCCTGAAATGAAGATGCTGATTGCAAGATGAATTTACAGCTAACTACTACTGTATAGGTTCTTTTGAGTTTGGCATGCCCATACTGCCATGTGCTTTGTGATAACTTAGTTCTCCTACCACTTTTCTCTATTTGAACTTCTTCAAAATATCCCTTCAGGCAATACTGTCTAGTATCATTTGACCTTCACTTGGTGTAATCAGTTATTTATTGTTAATCTTGCCTCTGTTTTCATTAGTTGTGTCTGCCACTTGATACCAATTTAACAGTTTGGGGCTCTGAATTGTCACAGCATTCTGTATTTAATTATAAGGTGATGGTCAGCCATGTGATCTATATTATGTTTATGTTAATTATTTTTTAGGTTATCATCTAGAGGGAACCACAAAATTAAAAAAAAATTCACGGATTCAGCCAATCTTAACCAGGCCTTTGTTGTTTTGACCTAAAGAAAAATTGTGCTGCACTTTCTCTCAAAACTCTGTACAGTAGTACTACCTGGTTTCTGTAGGGTAGTAGTGGAGATCCAGAAAATTTGCCATCTCCATCCACTTCAGTTCAGGCCTCTACCATTTTGCATCTGAATTTCTACCACAGCCCTCAGTTTTATTCCCACCAAACTGCTTTCCACAGTGTGAGTTTTTAAGAATATAAACTTCTAGGACTCAGCCTAAGAATCACCTCTTTCTGGACACTTTTCTCCATTGTTTCTCCTATGTCTAGCTTCCCCTTCCATCTGTCATACTTCACCATTTTCTCTCCTAGATTGAATTAGTTAGCTTTTCTTCCTATTTCTTCTTTATAACTCCATAACACCCTGTGCACACCTCTGTTATAATGCTTAGCATATTGTATTGTAATCCTTATTTTTTCAGTCTTCCAAGTAGAATATTAACAGCTTCTTCTTCCTCCTCCTCCTCTTCTTTTCTTCTTGTTCTTTCTTCTCCTCCCCCTTGTTCTCCTTCTCCTCCTCCTTAGCATATGGTATTGTAATGCTTAATTTTTCAGTCTCCCAAGTAGACTATTAATAACCTCCTCCTTCTCCTCCTCCTCATCTTCCTCTTCTTCTCCTCCTCCTCCTCCTCCCCTCTTTCTCCTTTCCTTTTTCCTTTTCCTTTTCTTTTTTTCTCTTTCTTTTGTTCTTTCTTCTTCATCTTCCTCTTTTTCCTCTCCTTCATCATCTTCTTCATTGTCATCTTCTTTTTTCTTCTTTCTTCTTCCTCCTCCTTTTTCTTCTTTCTTCATTTCTTCTTCTCCTCCTCCTCCTCCTTCTTCTTCTTCTTGTTTCTTCTTTCTTCTTTTTTCTTCCATTTTTTTTTTTGAGATGGGGTCTCACTGTATTGCCCAGGCTGGTCTTGGACTCCTGGGCTTAAGTGATCCCTCCGCCTCAGCCTCCCAAGTAGTTTGGATTACAGGCACATGTCACCATGCCTGGCTATTGGACTATTAATTTGAAAGTAAAGCCTAGCTTGTGCATCTGTATAACTAGCACATTATCTGAATGAGAAGAAAGTTCCACTGATAGAGTTATGATCCTGAATCACTGATTAGTCAGTTGCGATTTTTATTTTATTTTATTTTTTGTTTTGAGATGAAGTCTTGCTCTGTCACCCAGGCTGGAAGGCAGTGGTGTGATCTCCGCTCACCGCAACCTCTGTCTCCCAGGTTCAAGTGATTCTCCTGCCGCAGCCTCCCAAGTAGCTGGGATTACAGGCACGAGCCACCATGCCCGGCTAATTTTTGTATTTTTAGTAGTTACAGGGTTTCACCATGTTAGCCAGGCTGGTCTTGAACTCCTGACCCCAAACGATCTGCCCACCTCGGCCTCCCAAAATGCTGGGATTATAGGTGTGAGCCACCGTGCCCGGCCCAGTTGTGATTTTAGAAGTGAGGATTCAAAGGTAGGCCAAAACAAAGTCGACATTTTCTTGTCTTTCTCATTCATGTGTGTAAAATGTATATGAATGACCTAAATAGTTAACGTAATAGACTATTTGCGTATGTAAGCAACATAATGCTGGAAGTAATTTCTCCATAGAGAATTAAAAGATAATAGTATTTTGTTTATCTTTGGCTAGGTGCTGTGATTGTCTCCACGCCCCAGGACATCGCATTGATGGATGCACACAAGGGTGCTGAGATGTTTCGCAGAGTCCACGTGCCCGTAAGCGTTTACAGCTTCACTGTGAAAAATATAAAACTCTTCTAACTGAAGAAGCAAGTCATTGAAAAATACAGTTGAAGTTTTAATTTAGTCCTGTACAGAAGTCTTTATGAAAGTCCTAGTTTATCATTTTGGTGACTTTAAAAACACACTTATAGGTACAAACATGTCTATACATGATATTAATCCATAAGAATTGTAAAACACCCTTTAGGTAAGAGTTTTCTATAGAAGTGCTACTTCTCTCATACTTGCAGCTATCACTGACAAAAAAAATTACAAGAGTGTTTTAGGAAATTATTTAGATAGATAGGCTTGAATAGATCACTTATGGGGAAGCGGATGAAAAAAAGATTACTTTTTTCCTTCTGCCTCCTACAGTTCAACTCATTTATAGCTCACCTTCTTCTAGGAGACACTTCAGGATTTTCTCCCTAATTTGGTGGAATGAAAGTTAAAAATAAGATAAAAATAGACAAAATAATTAAAATTAGATGGGGTTAGAAGTGAAGTCAGTAAACAAATTGCCTGCTATTAAGAAACTTAAATACATGCTAGGGGTGTACCGTGACTTTTCTAGCAGCCAAAGGAAAAGAAAAATAGTACCATTATAAAACTGTGCATTTCTACAAAGTTAAAAAAAAAAAAAAACTGGATGCTCAAAAGAGACAGAGCTGAGACCAGAGAGAAATATCTTCCCTAGGTTCTTAGAAAGAAGAACCTGTGTATGTAATGAACACACTCTCATCACCTTCTTTATAGTAAATACAGGGTTCTTCCTTCTAGTGTGCCTCAATGAAAGCAGGTGGAATTGTGCTGGAGTACAATTTAAAGCAAACATTTCAGTACAGTGTCAACATGATGCTTCTCTGTGGCTGGCTAGCTAGTGGCCTTGCTTAATTCAAAGACAGATTTTAGAGCATATATATCAGAGCTTTTTAAACTTTAGTCTGTAGATTAGCTTCAGGAGTCTCATGTTTTTTCTCTCCCTCACCTCCCCCAGCCCTAAATTGTATGCCTACAAGTATTTGTTTTGGTATGGAATGAATTATAACTTTTATCAGATTCTTCAGTGAGACCATGACACAGGATAAGATCCAGTAATGTATTTGAATGAATGGACTTGAAGGGAAGCTTTCATAAATGTTTATCTCTCAGAGGGCTTCTGAAAAGTGTAAAATAGTGTAGTAGAATGGTTGAGGTGAATTTCCTCAAGTACCTCTTCTCCCTTGCCAGTTAGCACAGTGCTGTGGGTATTGGCAAGCTGAGGAACTCTGGGTTGGATTGACATGTTCTCGTGAAAATCGAGGAGGCTTATAAGGAAGGTGCCTGTATGCTTACCTTCCAGGTGGTCCAAGGGTTTTTCACTAGCAGGTTTATAATTGTAATCAGCAAGTAGTTTAGGGCCAGTGTTCTATGTCGTGAACTTTAGGTTGGAAAATTTTTAAAACAGTGATAACCAAATGCCTGCCTCACACCGAAAACTCTCTCTAAAGCACCTAATTTGAGCAGTGTTACTTTGTATTATGCCCTCTAAGACAAACTAGACACAAGTAATGCCTACCCAGATAACTAAATAAGGTTACTTGTTATAGGGGATTTTAAAATATAAATCAGCAAAAAGTTAGGAGGTTATCTACCAAAAATTATGACATTGACTTAAGTAATCTATAATCCTTCTTTCTGGCAGAAATTAGATAACAGTGCCAATTGTCTATTAAGATCACTCCAAAGTCAGGATAATAGCCATTCTATTTGCACATAAGTGAATGCTTAACTTCTCATTCTGTAAGATGAGAGTTGAGGGTGTTCAGCTCACCCAAAAACATGAATTCCTTGAGGAAAAAGTTTTAAACAGAGCAGGAGTAAGACCTTTTTAAAATTTTACCCCCTATAAATTATCATTTTATATATCAAAATACCATTTCAACTGACACTGTCATTTGAGGTGACTGGCTGTGGAGAAAGTCCTACATGGACTTTGCTAGTTAGGAGTCTAATGACCGTAGTTGCCAAATTCAGCATATATTATTTTTCAGTCCCTATGTAAACCTGTATACCTGTGAACGTGGATACTTAATCTCATACTGTTCTGACAGATTTTTTCCTAAATTCTAAGACAGAGGGTTGGACAGATAATCCTTATGGAACATAACAGAGAGGAAAAGGGATGGTCACTAAGTCCAGGTTAGGCTATTGTTAGGTGAATGCCACTGAAGGATAGACGTTAAGGATATTAGCAAGGAAGTATTGTGAGGAAGTATTCCAAATGAAGGCTGATGGACTGCATAAGGCTCATAGGACTACTTCAGGGATCAGTTAGAAGGTGAAAGAGCTGTTTGGGATCAGAAAGTTGATATTAGAGTATAAGTTTGCCAAGTTAGAGCAGTTCTGGGTCATGACAAGGTCCAGGATGCTGTCATGGGTTTGTGGGACTTAGTGGGAGTAGAAATGAAAGTCATTGGAACTGTGTAATTCTTCCAAGTTGAAATTTATAGTTCTTTCCTCTGGCCTTTTGGACATCTTCCTGTATCTTTATTACAGCTCTCTTTTTTTTTTTCCACCCTACATTTAAATTATTTGCCTTCTAAACTACAAACATTTTTTAAAAGAGATAGAAGGTCTTAATCATTTCTTAAACCTGCAGAACAAGATAGGTATTCAGTAATGTTTGCAAGTGAATGAGTGAGAACTTTCCAGCAATAAGCTCTGTGAACAGTTGGGCAATCATGATTAGCTACATTGTAAAGAAGGTCTGGGCTATGAGTGGGAAGTGGATTTGTTGACCTCTGAGATCCCTCTGGGCCTTAAGAGCCAGCCCCACAGCCAAAGTAATAGTAAAGGATTTGAAATTATTAAGTGTTTTATAAATACAAAAAAAGATGTTATGCTTTGTTTATACCACTTTATTCCATTTCTTCCCCTTGGTTTTTAGTCCAGCTCTCTGTTTTTCCCCCATTTGACGTGCATTAGTTACCATGGAAACGATGATGTCATTGGAATTCATCGGTATGGACAGAGTTTAGTAATGTCTGCAAGAACATATTGAAGTTAATTTAAATGATTTCTTAAAACTCAAGGCTTAGATAGGGGAAGTAGGAGAAGAGATGAGCTATTAAATTCTCTGTTCTCTGCCTGAAATGATAGCAACTATGCCAAATCCTCAATTATCTCAATATTTGTAGGTAGACTATTTTTTTAAACAAAATAAAAATTTTCAGTCTTATACATTTTTAATAATGAGTAATTTATGTGTTGTGTCATTCTCACTCATTTTTCTTGCCTTCTTATATGTGGGAGTCCCAGGCACCCCGATCTGGAGCCCTTCTCCTACCATTTGAACTTCTGATGTCAAAGGGATTTCACTATATACCCCTTCCTTCTTTGATAATCTCATTCCCTGCTACTGAAAAGTAAATTAAAGTATATTTATTCTCTTACTCCTTCGGCACATAAGGGATCACTTAGTTACTTTTAATTCAACAAATGTGATTAATTTATTTTTCCACAAATCTATATTTACTGATATTTAGTGTCTTCTATAAGCAAAGTGCTATAATAAACTTCCATTAGTGGTTTAGAAAAAAATAAAGAGGATGAAGCCTCTTTCTTCAAGTACTTTATATCATCCTGTAGACTAACTCTATTTTGATGCAAAGGCCTTAAATTCTGAGATGCATGAAAACACTTTTTCTTCCAGGCTATCAGGGATGACTTTATGGAAAAGCCATGATTATTTTTTTCATGCCACTGTAATTTTACACATCCTGGTCCTTTGCCTGATAAGCCATGGCCAATTTAGGGAACTCATGTATTCATTTTTAACATCTCTGCTCAGACATTATTTCTTCTAGAAAGCTTTTCCCAGTATGCCAGGAAAAGTTAATACTCCTGTCTCAGATCTACTTACACATATATTTAGTTTGGTTCTTATTCCACTGCAGGTTTACCTGTCAGTCTTCACAGAAGAATGCAGGTTTTGGATAGCAAGAAAACATGCTTTAAACATTCTTAAATGCATAGTTACCTGGCATATAGCAGGCAGGATACTTTGATCTGGGATGTAATGCCATCCACATCTGCTGTTCCCTTTACCCCAACTCATGGGCTACTCTGCCTTGCTTTCTCTGTGCCACAGCCAAACTGGTCTTCTTCCACTTCTTTGAAGTTTCCACACACCATTTTTCTCCTCAGGACCCTTACCATGCTTTTTTCCTACTGGAGAACATTTTAACCTCACTTTTCACCTGTTAACTCCTTTTTATACTTTGGTACTTAGATTAAACAAAAAGCTTTTCTCAGGGAGAGGTGCCCTAATCCTTTTTATTTATTTATTTATTTATTTTTTTGAGACAGTCTCGCTCTGTCACCCAGGTTGGAGTGCAGTGGTGTGATCTCGGCTCACTGCAACCCCTGCCTCCTGGGTTCAAGCAATTCTCCTGCCTCAGCCTCCCTAGTAGCTGGGATTGCAGTCACCCACCACCACGCCCAGCTTATTTTTGTATTTTAGTAGAGGCGGGGTTTCACCATGTTGGCCAGGCTGGTCTCAAACTCCTGACCTCAAGCAATCCACCCGCCTCAGTCTCCCAAAGTGCTGGGATTACAGATGTGAGCCACGGTGCCCAGCCTGCCCTAACCCTTTTATGAGCTTTTTTAATTTTATGATCCAATTACACTCTATTACTCCTTTTCTAACTGTTTTCACATTTGTCAGTACTTTCACATTAGCATACTATGCTATACTATACTGTACTATACCATACCATACCATACCATACCATACCATACCATACCATACCATACTATACTCATACTATAAGCTCTATGACCACCTGTCTCTCTCGCTGTGCCTGGAAGATGTAGTTTCTCGCTAAATATATACTGAGTGAATGAGTGGAGTAGGATTTTCATAGGCATATCTAGGGACTAGGGAGGGACAGAATTCAGTCTTGAAAGAATCAGGAATACACAAGTTGTGTTCAGGATTGTTCAGTTTGTCTATAGTTGAGATAGTTACGCATTGGTGTATTGCCAGGTTTGGTAGAGCCCTAAACAGTAGGCTAAGGAATTTGTACTTTCTTCTTAAGATTATAAGAGGAGTTCATAAAGAATGCTGGATGGGAAGTAAACATCATTAGGATAGAGCTTTACAAAGTTTTAATCTGATAGAGATGAATAAAAAGAATAGGAGCCAGGAAACATAGAGGAAGTAAGGGAACATTTGCAATGATCAAAGTTATTCATGCTGCAGATTGTGACCCACCAACAGATCGTGAAATTGATACAGTAAGAGATGTAACCAAAAATGCTTAAACCATGTCAGAGTAAATTGCTCTTAGGAAGACAGTCTTATTTCATAAAGATTTGGTCTCAAGTATAAATACACATATGTGTGTATTGTGTTTCTTCCTGATGTAACAGTACTATTACAGTAGATGAACAGATAAGCAGAGTGGCCTTCTTCCATGTAGTCAAGATGTGAAATATTTCTTTTATCAGTAAGACAGTTTAAAAAGTTGGAAAAACATGGTGTAGGTGATAGGCAGTAAGGGGCTTAATTAGAATAATGCCAGTGAAAGTGGAAGGGGAAATGAATGTAATTGACATTTTGAAGGAAGAGTTGAAAATCTTGGGAATCGATTGTATAGGGTAGGAGAGTTAGAACAAAAAAGGCAGAAATCAAAAGAATTTTGAGAGTTATGATGCCATTAATAAATCTACCAGGAGCTGCTTTGTAGCTCAGGTAGACAACAAACTAGAAATAAGAGGTTAGGTTCTCAGTCACAAATCTCTGCCCTTCTTCTCTTTGAGAGTTGTGATTTAATAGTGTTTGTCAAGGAAGAAACTGGTAAAGATACTGACAAAAGAAATACTCTTTAAAAAATTTCTTATATACAGATTTTTATTACCACTTAGAGAACTATATTTTTGATATTCTTTTGTGGTTTCAAATTAAATTGCTTTCCAAATTTTCTTATAATTTTTTAGATGATAGGAAACTACTTGCAGAGGCATTTTTGCATAGTAGTGAAGAGCATGAGCTGAGGAGTTTGAATTGTAGATCCCAGCTCTGCCACTTTGTAACTGTATGACCTGAGTTATCTATTCTATGCCTTAGTTTTCTCAATCATCATATGGGAATCATAGTAATATTTTCCTCAGGAGGTTAAGATGAGAAATAAGATAATGCATATAAATGGCTTAAGTACAGTTCCTGGCAGTCTAAGCACTCAATGTTTACATAATGTTATATAATTAATTTTTTCTTGTAATTACTTTTTAGAATGTTATGAAACAGATAAATTTACAGATTTTTATGTATTTTACCTGGGTATTTTAACTAATCCCTTTAGTTGGTAATAAGAATTTGGGGCTGGGCGTGGTGGCTCATGCCTGTAATCCCAGCACTTTGTGAGGCCGAGGCAGGAGTACTGCTTGAGGCTAGGAGTTGAAGACCAGCTTAGGCAACATATTGAGACCCCTGTCTCTTTAAAAGAATAAAAAATTAGCCAAGTATGGTGGCATGCAACTGTAGTCCAAGCTACTCAGGAGGCTGAGGTGGGAGGATCGCTTGAGCCTGGAAGGTTTAGGCTGCAGTGAACTGTGATCATGTCAGTACACTCCAGCCTGAGTGTTATAGAGTGAGACCTTGTCTCAAAAAAAAAAAATTAATTAGAATTTTAAACACTACTGTTTTTTGAGATTTCTTTATTCCTTGAGTATATTCATTGAGCCATCTATATTATCTTCATATAGATTTATTAAGTTGCTATATTATTTTGAGTCTAAAATTCTGCATTATTTGAAATTTACATCATTTAAGGAAGGCTAATTGCTGTTACAAGTAGACCCCAAAATATATAATGATACAAATACAATGGCAGTTTCTTTCTTGCTCATGTAACAGTACCATTACAGTAGATGAACAGGTGAGCAGAGTAGCCTTCTTCCATGCAGTCTTTCAGACTGTTGGAGCCTCTGTCATCTTCAATTGTGACTTCTAAAATTACATTAGGAGCCATCTTCATTCTAGCTAGCCACAAGGAAAGAGAATACAGAGGGATGTACCTACATTGGAGATTTTTATGGGCCAGACCTAGATGTGATACACATACTTCTGCGCACATTCTATTAGCTAAAATCAGTCACATGGCCACATGTCATATCTCTCAAGAAGCCTAAGAAATATCAATTAGTTGTGTGCCAAGGAAGATGAGATCATGAATTTTGGTGAGCAGCTAGCAGTCTATACCACATTTGACCTGGAAACAAATATATAGATTAAATCCTAATGTAGATCACTGAACTGATTTATTTCCTAATAAATAATTCTGAAAATTGTATAACTATTTTACTCTTACAAATATTTATTTTATAAAGGAGAGATAGAAATTCTACCTTTCCTGTGGTTTAATTTTTCTGCTAAAAACAAAAAACAGAGACAAGCCTACTGTGGCCTGGAACTTTTTTTTTTTTTTTTTTTTTGAGACAGAGTCTTGCTCTGTCGCCAGGCTGGAGTGCAGTGGTGTAATCTTGGCTCACTGCAACCTCCGCCTCCTGGGTTCAAGCAATTCTCCTGCCTCAGCCTCCTGAGTAGCTGGGACTACAGGCTCCTGCCACCATGCCTGGCTAATTTTTGTACTTTTAGTAGAGACGGGGTTTCACCGTGTTAGCCAGGATGGTCTCGATCTCCTGACTTCATGATCTGCCCACCTTGGCCTCCCAAAGTGCTGGGATTACAGGCGTGAGCCACTGCGCCTGGCCGGTCTGGAACTTTTTAGTATTTATTTGTAAAGGTTAAGGATTATATTGTTTACTTAGAAAAATTAGACGATCTTTATTACCTTTATGAGACTGGATAGCATTCTGCATCTCAGCCATAATTATTTCTCAGAGACTGGAGATATATGCTTATTTGTGACTTTCCCCAGGCTCTCTCAGAAGTCTATGTATGCTTTGAACTAGAATGCTGTTCTATGTGAGTTACATAAATTAAACTCATCTCTCACAACAACCCTGTGAAATACAGAACATCATTTCCCCCATTTTGCACATGAGGAAATGTGGTTGAGAGAGGTTAAATAACTTACATAAGAATATCTATTTGTTTAGTGGGACATCTGGGCTCTGATCCAAGAAGTCAGCTTTCCAGAGCCCGTATTCTTAACTGCAGTTTCTGTGGATACTCCAGAGTTGAGTTTTAGTACTGTGGACATCATGGACTATCACAGGGTGACAGAATCTAGGGTATAAGAGGGTTCTTCATCAAATTTGCTTGTTATTGGGGTTCTGATTATTAAGGTAGACAAGTGAAGCCAGAGGAAACTGGTGGATTGAAAATGGGGAGGAGTTAAGGAGCCATAGGTTCTGTTGACAGTTAAGGAGGTATCATGTGGGCGATAAGGGGAAGGGGAGTTCCACGTCCAGGATCTAGGAGAAAGGAATGAAGCCTAAGACTTGACTGCAGCACTGGGTGGTAAGGATGGCTCAAATCAGGCCTGCCCTGTAACTGTGCTCTTAATTACTATGCTATATTGCTCAACTTTATTGACTCATTATTATTTTAAGCCACCTAATTCCATGCACAAAAGTCTCTATCTAGTTGTCATCTTGTTTGGTGACTTCCTTATACAAACCAGTCACTCAGATAGTTTGAATTTTGGCTTTGTCATTTACTAACTGTGTGACCTTGAGCAAATAATTTAGCTTCAGAGTTTCCTTCCATCATATAGGGATGATAATACCCATCTCATTGGTCACTATGGCAGTGAAGCATGATTATATTTACATTACTTAGCATAGCCTTAGCACACGGTATGGTAAAGGGTAGCTCTGAATGTTTTTGATATAGTGGTAGACATTAGAGATCATTATAAATCTTTGTTTTCAAGATTAAGAATGCAGGACATAGAGAAATTGAGTTGCACCTCATGGACCCACAACTATTTAGTTGGTCCCTGAAAGGAGCATGGACACAGGCCCCCCCATTCATTGTTCTTTCCATGTCAAATGACTATTTCTGAAAGAGAAAACAAGAACACCTGTCTCATTTTTAAAACTTATAACATCCATGCACATGCTTCAAGGAGTATACCAAAAACTGGTTTGAGTCTAACAAAGAACTGAAAAGCAGTTATGAATCTAATCTATTTCAGTTATTATCATTCATTATTTAACAATGAATTTTTCCTCCTCACTTTTTCTTAAATCATGGCTTTTAATGCTTGTAACAGGTTCCAACCAGCAAGCATTTAACCTGATTGTAACCTGGATAAATTGGATTATATAGTAGCTTAAAAATCTTGCTTGTTACTTACCTGTATCTGGGTTTAAAATGTGAAAAATAAATTAAAATTGGAGCCTTTTGGGCCTCCTTAATTCAATAGATTTAGACAGAAAAATCCAATATTCAGAGCGATGTTCATATTTCAAGAGAATCAATTTTTAAAAAGTTAAGAAAAGAAGTGCCCTTCTGAGCCAGTGATGGATTGGAATACTGCAAAAATCACACGCAAAAAGGTTGTGGTGGCTGATGGTAGCCAGGCATGTAGTATTTGCTTTCTTTCAGTAAAAGTAGCTGAGGTAAAAAGAAAAAAGGACCTTATGCTTTGATGAGACATTAAAAAATGATTGAGCATGCTTACAGCTGTATCTCAGTGGTATTATGTAAATTAAGCTATAGCAAAGAATCTGTTTTCTAATGTTTCTGCTATTAAAGGATATACACAATAGCTCTACAATAAATACAAACAGCTTAACAGTATATGAAGTATTCACAAGATGTAAGGCTTATTTGGCGGGGAAGACATCATAATGGACTTGAATTCTTTCCTATTTAAGAGAGAAGAATTTTTAATGAACAAAACTGTAATATGGATATTCTAATGTTCTTACTGCATTAGTTGCCCCCATTCAAAACCTCCTTGATTATGGAGGATTGCTGTTAAGTGAACTTGAGCAGTGGTTTCTAAGCTTTTTAATACCCAAGGCTTTCTTTTAAATTGTCCCCCAGCTAACCCCATGTTTTGAAAGAATTGTTTGCCACTGTTTGCATATGTTAATTAATGACTGATGTCTTCTCTTTTTTAATAAATCAAAGATAGAATATATAAATAATATGTATGTACATCTATATATAGATATAACTGTATCTCTGTGCATACAGAGAGAGACATACACAGAGTTATGTATATAACTGTTGTATGAGCTCTGCACAGAATGAGATAACCATAAAAGAAGATTATCACATTTGGCTGATGTAATTTCAATTAAAAGCACAGAAACTTGGTAGTTTATCTGTCTTGTATATTTTTAAAGTGTTTTATTTATGTTCAGTTTTTAAAAATATTCGTAATAGGCCAGGTGCAGAGGCTGAGGTGGGAGGATTGCTTGAAGCCGGGAGTTAAAGACCAGCCTTGGCAATACACTAAGACCTTGTTTCTACAAAAAATAAAAAATTAGCTGAGTGTGCTGGCATGCATCTGTAGTCTCAGCTACTTAGGAGGCTGAGGCAAGAAGATCGCCTGAGTCCGGGAGTTGCAGTTTGTTTGAGGCTTCAGTGAGCCGTGATCACACTACTGCATTCCAGCCTGAGCAGCAGAGTGAGACCCTGTTTCAAAAAAAACAAAAATTCATTATAAATCACAGAACCTGACAAAATATTTTTGTGCATCTTTAGACCCTTAAAAGATTAGGTAGGAGAACTACCAAAATAGCTTCTACAGTCAGGCTTTAATTTTCTAGAGCAGCACTGTCCAGTGGAAATATAAACCATGGAAATACGAACCACAAACGTAGTTTTGAAGTTTTTAGTAGCCATATTTTAAATAGAAAGAAAAGAAGAAGTTAATTTTAATAATATATGTACCACAGTATATTCAAAATATTATCATTTCAACATGAAAACCACATAAAAATTATTGAGGATCAACCAAAAAGGAATTGTATTTGAAAAACACTAGGAATTCTTACAATTCAGTAAGGGGAAGAAGACATATAATCAATTGAAAAAATAGGCAAGAGACCCGAGCAGGCACTTTATGGAAGAGGATATACAAATGACAAAAAAATGTAAAACATATAGTCAACTTTATTAATAATTATGGCAATGCAAATTAAAACCATAGTAGAAAAGATAGCTGGGCACAGACTCCAGAAAAATGAGGACAAACTGGAATGCAGCTGCACCTCCGAATCTTCCTTTCACTGTCTCTGAACAAAGAAAACCAGTAATGTGTAATGCCTAAGCCTTCATTTCCACCTTCCAGATCTCCCGCCACTTTACTTTTGGCAAACTTTAACCAGGAACCATGTAAGGAAGAGTCTAAGTAATTTGGTTCACAGTATAAACAAGTAAACGGTTGAACAAGCCAGCACAATGAGAGTCTACTACACATTCATCATATTTGCTAAAATTTATAAAAACTGATGGTACCAAAGATCCAGGCTGTGGAATGGCTGGAATTCTCATACATTGCTGGTGGTAGTATAAATTGATAGAACTTTATTTGGAAACTTTTGCTTCTTTAACGTATTAAGTTAAATACATATAACCTAATATCCAGCAAAAAAAAAAAAAAAAAAAAGAGAGAGACATGTACAAAAACATTCACAGAAGCATTATTTACAGCAGCCAAAATCTGGAAACAACCCAAATGACCCAAAAGGAGAATGGATATTTGTGGTATAGTCATTATAAAATCTTAGGACTCAATGAAAATAAATTACAGGTACATAGTTTAGCTGGATGAATCACTTGGACACAAAAATATATATTGCATGATTCCATTAGTATCAAATTCAAAACAACACAAAATTAATTTATGGTGTTAGAAAGCAGGTTAGTGAATACCTTTGGGAATGTGTTTGGAGGATATATAGGGAAACTTCTGGGGTGTTGGCAACATTTTATTAACAGGGTCTTGGTAACATGGGCATACATTTTGGTGACTCCATTTTGCCTAAACTTAAGTACTTTTTTGTGTGTTCCTGATATACTTTGATGGAAAAGGTTAAAAATAAATAACTTGTAAACTTTAAAAATTATTCAGATATTTTACATTTTTTTTACTTGTACTAAGTCTTCAGTACTTAGGGTGTATTTTATCCTTATAAGACATGTTAATTCAGACTAGCCACATTTCAAGTATCCAGTAGCCAGCCACACGTGACTAATGGCTACCCTATTGGGCATTGTGGGTCTATAGCCCTACCATTTTAGAGCTTCTATGGAGTTAGACTTTATTTCAGGGCTTTCGTTGAAGTATTAATTAGGAAGAATAGGAGATTATTCCTCCCAAGGAACTCATTTTAATTTTACTGCTTTTGGTTTTATAGAATATTTTCTATTGAAAAACAGATGGTTGTTTTTATATACAAGTTCACAAGACACCTAATATGTCATTGTTTTGGTTTTTTGTTCTTATTGCTTTATTACCATTCTTCTCATGACCACCTTTTTTAAAAGCAAACTTTTCATTGAAGCTGTGACATACATACATAAAAGGGCACAAATTATAGCTCAATGAATTTTTACAAAGCAAACATACCCACTGTTTGTATCCCAGAAATAGAACAATAGAGAGCCTAGACATCATATATTTACAGTCAATTGATTTTTGACAGAGGTGCCAAGAACACACAATGGAGAAAGGACAGTTGCTTCAATAAATGGTGTTAGGACAACTGGATGTCCACATGCAGAAGAATGAAATTAGACCCTTATTTCACACCATATATAAAAATCAACCCAAAATGAAGTAAAGACTTACATGTAAGACCTGAAACTATGAAAGTATTAGAAGAAAACCTAGAAGAGAAGCTCTATGACATTGGTCTGGGCAATTATTTTTCTGGATAGACAAAATAGCAAAAATAGACAAATAGGATTACATCAAACTAAAAAGCTTCTGAACAGCCAAGAAAACAATCAACAGGGTGAAGAGACTACTTACAGAATGAGAGAAAATATTTGCAAAACATGCATAAGGAGTTAATATTCAAAGTATATGAGGAACTCAACCCAATAGCAAGAAAACAAACAACCTGATTTTTTTAAATGGGTGAAGGATCTGAGTAGACATTTCTCAAGAGAAGACATACAAATGGCCAACAGGTATGTGAAAAAATGCTAGTATCACTAATCATCAGGGAAATGCAAATCAAAACCACAATGAGATATCCCCTCATACCTGTTAGAATAGCTATTATCCCCTCATACCTGTTAGAATAGCAAAAGAAAAGTGTTGGCGAGGATGTGAAGAAAAGGGAACCCTTGCACCCTTTGGGTGGAAATATAAATTAATATAGCCATTAAGGAAAATAGTATGGAGGTTCCTTAAAAAAATTAACTATACAACTACCATATGATCCTACAGTCCCACTGCTGGGAATATATCCAAAGGAACCGAAATCAGTTTACGAAAGAGATACCTGCACTCACATGTTTACTGCAGCACTATTCACAATAGCCAAGATATGGAATCAACCAACAGATGAATGGATTTTAAAAATGTGTACACACACACACATAGACACAGACAATGGAATACTATTTGGCCTTTAAAAAGAGAGAAATTGGCCAGGCGCGGTGGCTCACACCTGTAATCCCAGCACTTTGGGAGGCCAAGGCAGATGGATCACGAGGTCAGGAGATCGAGACCATCCTGGCTAACACGGTGAAACCCCATCTCTACTAGAAATACAAAAAAATTAGCCAGACGTGGTGGCGGGCGCCTGTAGTCCCACCTACTGGGGAGGCGGAGGTAGGAGAATGGTGTGAACCCAGAAGGCGGAGCTTGCAGTGAGCCAAGATCACGCCACTGCACTCCAGCCTGGGCAACAGAGCAAGACTCCACATCTCAAAAAAAAAAAAAAAGAAAAAGAAAGAAATCCTGTAATAACATGGATGAACCTGGAGGACATTATATGAAGTAGAATAAGCCAGGTACAGAAAGACTAATACTTCATAATCTCACTTATATGTGGAATCCAAAAAAAGTTGTATTATAGAGGTAGAGAGTAGAATGGTGGTTACCAGGGGCTGGGCAGCAGGGATTGGGGAAATGTCAGTCAAACAATATAAAATTTCAAAATAAGAAATAGAACATTACCAGCATCCTAAAAACTCCTGCCTGTGCCACCTTCTAGTCACTACCCCAAAATGGAACCCGAATTATAACACTATAGATTAGTTTTGCTTGTTTGTGAAATTTTTACAAACAGAATAATATAGTGTTATACGTTTGTGTGTCCGGTTTATTTTGTTTAAAATTATGTTTGTGAGATTCACTTATACTGCTGATAGTTGCCATCGTTCTTTTCTTGTCATTGCTCTGTAGCATTCCATTAAATATATCACAGTTTGTCCATTTTATTGTTGATGGACACGAGTAGTTTTCCATTTTTGACTATTATGACTAGTGCTGTTATGAACATTGTTGGACATGTCTTTTAGTGAATGTTTTGTTCATGTTTCTGTTGATACATAACTGGAAGTGGAATTGCTGGGCTGTAGTATAAACATGTATCAGTTTATGTAGATACTGCCAAACAGTTGTTTAAAATGATTGTACCCATTTCCACTCAACTGAAACAATGAATCTTACTTGTTTCACATTCTCACAAACATTTGATATAATTTTGTTTTTTGTTTAGTCATATTGATATTTCTTTTCTAATACAGTCTTAAGCATAAATGTACTTTGAGTATCTTCTTTTGTGGAATATCTGTTAAATCTCTTGCCCATTTCTTTATTGTATTATCTGGCTTTTCCTTATTGGTTTGCAGGAGTTCTTTATACATTATGGGTAAAAGTCCTTTGTCATGTATGTGTATTGTATATACCATCTCCCACTCTATAGCTTGCCCTTTCACTCTTGAATCATATCTTTTGATTAATTTCTTAATTTTAATGTAGTCCAATTTAATTTAAATAATTTCATTTGTGTCTAGTGTAACTTTGTGTCCTGCTAGAAAAATCTCTGCCTGCCTGCAGCATTAGTATATTGCCTATTTTTTTCTAAAAGTGTTATTATTTACCTGTCATATTTAGCTCTAAAATTCACCTGGAATTAATTGTTGTGTATGGAATGAGGTAGGAGGTTAAGATTCATTATTTTATATATGGATATCCAGTTAACATGCAGTACTATGTTGTCTCCATTGTAACTTAGTGACTTTCATGTATGGGTCGATTCTGGGCTTTTTTTTTTTTTTTTTTTTTTTTTTTTTTTGAGACGGGGTCTTCCTCTGTCGCCTGGGCTGGAGTACAGTGGCACAATCTCAGCTCACTGCAAGCTCTGCCTCCCAGGTTCACGCCATTCTCCTGCCTCAGCCTCCTGAGTAGCTGGGACTACAGGCACCCGCCACCACGCCCAGCTAATTTTTGTATTTTTAGTAGAGATGGGGTTTCACCGTGTTAGCCAGGATGGTCTTGATCTGACCTCATGATCCGCCCGTCTTGGCCTCCCAAAGAGCTGGGATTACAAGCATAAGCCACCACGTCTGGCCTGTTCTGGGCTCTTTATTCTATTACAACCAAGTTTTTTGGTAAAATCAAGCAAAGTGGTATATGTGTGGGACGTTCTTAAGATGAGGAAATTCTAGAGTTAAGTGGAATTAATTTATTCAAGATGTCTAGGAAGCAATATTAGAACATTTATCCTTTAACTAGGAGAAGTTACATATTATCAGTAATAGAGCCAAGCTTAGTTATCAAAACCTCTGACTTTCAAACATATAAAGGGTTCTTTAGTTCCAAACTTTTTTTTTCCTTTCTGAAATAGGGCCTTGCTCTGTCACCCAGGCTGGAGTACAGTGGCACAATCACAGAGCTCACCTCAGCCTCAACCTCCCAGGCTCAAGCAATTCTCCCACTTCAGCTTCCTGAGTGGCTAGGACCACAGGTGTGTGATACCACACCTGACTAATTTTTTTGTGTGTCGTGGAAACAGGGTCTTGCTGTGTTGCCCAGACAGGTCTTGAACTTCTGGAATTACAGGCATAAGCCACCATGCCCAGTCTACCTCCAGACTTTCAGTTATACATCCTTATTAGTAAATGATGTTTGAACATATAACCTAATATATGTATGAAATATATTTATTAATAAGTTATATATTGTATATGTAGTATACATATATTACTACATTAATATGTTATTTTCTTTATAAAACACACAAAATTGAAATTGAAAGGAAATCATAACATAGAAATAGAAATCCTAATGTTTTCTTTTTACACCTCTATATCAGCCAAGATGGGCTAGGTTATGTGTGTTATCAACTCTCAAATTTCAGTGGCTTAAAACAGCACAGGTTTATTTGTCTCATGCTCTGTGTCCATTGTGGTTTGGCTTCAACACTCCTCTGTATTGCATCGTTCTCTGTATTGTTCAACACCCTGGCACCCAGACTGATACAGCAGCCACCAGCTGGAGGCTTGCTTGTCATCAGGACAGAGGGAAAAATAATGAGGAATTAACACTTAAAGCTTTGGCCTAGATTTGACACATGGCACTTCTGCATACGTTTCATTGGCCAAAACAAGTTATGTGTTCCTACCTAATTTGAGGGAAGAAAAGTCCTAACCTTGTGCCCAGGCAGAGAAATGGACATATTTTAGACAGCATTAAAAGTTGACACCTCTCTCATGATCAGTTTTGGAGAACACAGCCCAGGATTTGTGTTTGTCTAAGAAAATAAACACACAAAGACAAGTCTATTTAGCTTCTTCCATTATTTTGTATTGTTTTTAACACACTGAAGTCCTGAGTAATGAGTCAACTACAACTACAGGCATAGTGGCCTCTCTTGCTTACAACTCTGTAATGGCTTTTTAGCACTCATTATATAACTCAGACACCTTAATATAGCCTACAAGCCCCACCTTTCCAGCTTCATCTAACTCCACTCACACCACACCTTAGAGGCCTCAGACTGGCCTTTCAGTTCCTTGAAGGGAGACATGTGCTCCCTACTTCTGTTTTGAATGTTTTTCTTCCCTTTTCCTTGTTTTTGCCCAGTCACTCTGTAGCTTTAAGATCAAATGTTTCTTCAAGGAAGCCCTCTCTGACTCCCAGAGTACATCAAGTCCTCTCTGTTCTACACTCTCATAATACCCTATACTTTGCTTCCAGAGAAGCCATTCCATTTTATGAGTGTATTTTTGCACTATTCTTTGTTCAGTCAATTTCCTCCAATTACAGTACAAGCTCCAAAGGGTAAGGATCAAGTCTGTTTTGCTCAGCACTGTATGCTATTCCTTGTGTTTAGCCCAGTTACTGGCATATATTAAGAGCTCGTTAAATATTGAGTTTGGTTATAGTTTTATATTTTAGGTCTGTGACATTTGTGTAGTCTATAGAGAACATGTCTGAGATATTTATACAGTCCATAGAGAATGATGTGATAAGAAGATGTAAATCACACAAACTGCAAATACACACTTGTTCTATGCCTCTATGTCTTAGGGAGTCTAAGAGATTCCAAGGTCAGAATGTTTTTCCTGTTCTCTCTGAATTGAAATATACCCTCACAAAGATTTTCACTTTCTTTAGGTGTTTTTCCTTTTCTCACTTTTTGAGTGATAATTTTTTGTTTAAATTGAGAGCCATACAGTCAGGGGATATATCACATTTAACATAAATGGCAGTAAAACTGCCCAAGCAGTGAGTGTATTATATAGGCATAGTTAATAAACAAGCTGTGTGACATTAAGCTATGTTTCTCTCTAGCTTTCTGGAGATAGTACTGAATTCCCAAAACACAGCGTGATTTATTTTTTGTGATAGTGTGCATCAGCAAAAGGGCATATATTAGATGCTTGGAAAATGCTTTGCTATAGATTTATGTCTTTTTACTATTTGTCTTCATATATAATTATTGGGGGCAACTTTAGTTTTTTCTATTTCTCTTTTCAGAAAGAATAACAATTTTTTCGCCTTCTTATCTATATGTTTCATTGTGGACTATCAGTACTGTTCTTCATTTAAAATGCAAATGTTCTAATAATCTACAATCATAACCTTATGGTAGAACTGATACAGACATTGTAATCTCTAAGCCTCTGAAAATAGTGTTCTGCATTTTTATTGTAATCTCTAAGCCTCTGAAAATAGTGTTCTGCATTTTTATTCTAGAAGAGAGCTACTGCTCCTCATCAATGAGAGAGTGGGATTAAAAGGAACATGAGTAAGGATTATATTTGCAGAGCCTATCTATTTATTCAACAGTATTGTTGAATAATAACATTTCTTAAGTATCATCTTCCCTCAATATATGTGGGGGATTGGTTCCAGAATCGCCCTCCCCCCGCCACTGCATATTCCAAAATTCATGCATACTGAAGTCCCACAGTTGCTTCTAGGACATCAGCCATTCCGGTACTTGGGTTTTGTGGCGGGCAAATACTATATTTTTTATCTGTGGTTGGTTCAAAAAAAATTCACACATAAGTGGACCCCCCACAGTTCAAACTCATGTTCAAGGTTTAGCTGTATCTATTTTGTAGCAGAATCTAGGGAAACTTAGAAAGAGAATGACCTTTTCTATGAAACTTAATTTTGTTTCAGACAATAACATTCTGATAAGAGCTGAGTTTTACTCTTTTGTTAGCACTGTCAGTTTTCTCAACCATAGAATGAGAATGATAAAATAACCATCTCGGCTGGGCACGGTAGCTCACTCCTCTAATCCCAGCACTTTGGGAGGCCGAGGTGGGCGGATCACCTGAGGTTGAGAGTTCGAGACCAGCCTGACCAACAGGAAGAAACCCTGTCGCTACTAAAAATACAAAATTAGCCGGGTGTGGTGGTGCACGCCTGTAATCCCAGGTACTCGGGAGGCTGAGGCAGGAGAATCACTTGAACCCAGGAGGTGGAGGTTGCGGTGAGCCGAGATCGCGCCATTGCACTCCGGCCTGGGCAACAAGAGCGAAACTCCATCTCAGAAACAAACAAAACAAAAAACAAAATAACCATCTCATAAAGTTCTTGTGAAGAGTAAATAAGATAGTACATTTAAAGTACTTAACCCAGCACCTGGCATACAACAAACACTTCGTTATTTTAGATTTACTGTGAGACTTCGTCCAAAGTTACCTCTTAGGTATTTATTTTCCTCTGTTCCTCCCTTCTTATTTTTCTCCAAATTGTCATCAAAGATAAATTTCTAAAACAAAAATCTGATTGTATAACTACCTCTTTGATACCATCTTTTCAGCTTTGAAAACCTTTAGTGGTTTCCTGTTGTCTGAAGAGGAATGCCTCAAATACATGGATGGTATTCAGCATCTTCCCACGTGGCCCTAGCCTTCCTTCCCAAACCATCTTCTGCCTTGACCACCCACTGGGTTGCAGCCCAAGTAGGCCACACAGTTTTATTTTGCTACCTTGGCTTGTTGTCTTCCTTCTGTCTAGAATTCCTGCTGTGGGCCTCACCTCCTCATCACCCCACAACCTGAAGAAACAACTGTCTATGGGAAACTCAAAGATTTCTCTTCTTTCTAGGCAGAATTTTTGGTTCCTGTTCATTCATCTCTTTTTAGCATTTATTATGATATCAAAGGTAATTCTATATGTCTTGCTCTCTTACTAGCTCATGAGTTCCTTCAGAGCAGAGGCCATAGTTTATTCATCATTGTGATAACATTGATGAGTGCCACTAGAACTCAGTAGGCACTCTGTAAAAATTTGTTGAAGTAATGTATTAATATTTGGTTTAATTTTATTTTGATTTCAGTGTGTTTTTATTCTAGGTCCTTGGCCTTGTCCAAAACATGAGTGTTTTCCAGTGTCCAAAATGTAAACACAAAACTCATATTTTTGGTGCTGATGGTGCAAGGAAACTAGCACAGACCCTTGGTCTTGAAGTTCTAGGTAAGACTGTGGGATGTTCTTTTGTAGAAGAAGTGGCAGAAGAGAAAGTGGGGATGAGGCTTGATGATTAAGAGTGTCTCAGAGGCCGGGCACGGAGTCTCACACCTGTAATCCCAGCACTTTGGGAGGTCGAGGTGGACAGATCACGAGGTCAGGAGATCGAGACCATCCTGGCTAACATGGTGAGACCCTGTCTCTACTAAAAATACAAAAAATTATCCAGGCGTGGTGGCGGGCGCCTGCAGTCCCAGCTACTCAGGAGGCTGAGGCAGGAGAATGGCATGAACCCTGGAGGCGGAGCTTGCAGTGAGCTGAGATAGCACCACTGCACTCCAGCCTGGGTGACAGAGTGAGACTCCATCAAAAAAAAAACAAAAAACAAAAAACAGTGTCTCTGAAAATGATGAGTTGCTTTTGGCTTTGTGTTTTAAATTAATATAGCACAGTTCTATGTGTTAACCTTTCTTTGGCTTTTTTGAATAGGTTTGTTCTGTCAACTATGATAATTTCTATTTTAAATAAAAACTGTCTATAACTTAAATTTGAGAATAGAGTTTTGTAGTCCAAGTACTGTAATTTGAAGCCATATTTTAAATGATACTCATCAGTGTGTTTGCTAAGTTGGGTGTACATCTCTCAGTAGAAACAGGTACATTAAAATGTCTGTTCCGTATGTTGTAAAAACCTCTAAAAGTGTTCGTTCTTAGTGCATATGTAAAAATGCCTTCCTGATTAATTCTTTGTTAGTCTTTCTGCTTTAGAATGGCAGTATTTACTGTTTTCTGTAATATTTAATGTGTTTGATATGTCTTTAAAATATGGCACCTGAAATTTACATTGTACGCACTGTTCATGGCACTGAACTGAAGAGTTCATTAGTGCTGTGAGGAAAACTAAAATCATGTGTTAAATAAGCAAAACACAGGTTTTGGATAAAACATGATGTTCCAAAAATCCACAGGCAACTTAACAGACTTTTTAGAAAACATGTTTTGATATTCTAATTGTGAATGGGTTTCTGTTCTTGCCAAAGGCAGGTGTTAGATGCTGAATAGGGAAGGCATAAAGTGAATTATTAGACTTAGGTAGTTAAAAATTAAGATCCCTAGAGATTAAGGAATTTCAAAACATTCTCTGTTATAATTAAGTTTCTAAAAGTTGATGTTAAATATATTATTGTTATGCATTTGCACTATAGCAGCCACTACAATACCAGGTGAATACTAATGATATATTTTGATACATTGCTATAATTATAGCCACTAATTATATTCTGCAACTGTTTTTCATTTAACCCAGAAAGTTCAATTTTCCAAATCTGCATAATAACAGATTGACATTCGCTTATATAATAAAGTAAATGTGTAATTATAATGGCATTATTGAATTATACTGACAACATTGTAATTTCCTAACTTACAAATGAGCTGAACAATTTCCTAAGTCAGTTATTTAGAATTTGAAACATTTCATTGAGAAACAATGGTATGTATGGAAGTTACATTTTAACCAATGGCTCACAGATGTACAATTACCCTAAAAATGTATCAAAAACACTGACTACTGATCACAAAAATTTGATGGTGCCCTAGACTGCTATGTCTGACAGTGTTAGGGGAAAAATCATTTAGAATTCCTCGTTAGGGCACGTCCCCTCCTTTTAATGTAGTCATGGGTCCCATGGTGTCTCCCATGAAGTGGAGCAGGGCTTCAATTATGAAGAGGTTGGAATTGGGAATGAGGAACTGAAATCAGGGAAAAAGCTTTCACAGCTCTGGCCTCTTGGCCAGTTGAACCTCCTGGGAACCCTTATTTGTCCTTTACTGACTCCCTGGCAGACTCTTAATTCAGTGGGTCGTGTTTTAAATGATTATTTGGTACGATAGCTCTTGAGAACCTTATCTGTATTTACCTACAGGGACAGTTTATGCATAGTAGTTAAGGTCTCAGACCATCTCACAGAAAACCCTTTAACCTATTATATGTCTGAAATGTTTCCTCATTTCTTTCAGACTTAGCACCTCAAAAATACTTCTCAGGCTCAGACTGCTCCTCACTCACTTTTACTTTTTAAAAATCCCTGTCTAGATACAACAATTAGCCCATTACCATTCTTACTACGCACCTATTTTTAACAAGATTTTTCCCCTTCTTGGTCTAATCTTCTGTGTCTGTAGGTAGGATTGTGAGTATCTGGAGAGCAGAAATGATGTCAATAGATGGCTATATAAAGGTGAAGGTTTTACTCTTTTACCTTCCATTTCTGCAGTAGAAAAGAAATCCTTCATGATTCTTTACTAGAATGACAGTTCATAAATTGAGAGGAAAAAAATTTCATTTCTAAGCATTTTCTATAACATTTTTGCTGCTTGCTCCTGTGACAGTTTCCTATAGTCCGAAGTTGATCTAGAGAATAGGAATCAAATTTAATGAAAAGCTGATCCTTAAATGGTTACTAAAATATCATGTATTTGTCATTTGGCCGTTGGATATTGAGGACTTATAGTTTAAGATCACAGCATTTGACAAGAGGATCATGAAATAACATTTACTTTTCCATGTACTTCATAGTATATACTGTAATATTTTTATAACATATACTTCATTATTTAAATTTCCTGACATGGTGCTAAATGACTTATTTGAATAAAGCACCACATACACGTATGTTTTAATAACTTTTGCATGGATTTGGAGTGGTTCTGAGAACGCTAAGTACCATGGCAAGTCAACTTTTCCGCTTAAGACTCCACTCACTGTGCTTTAAATCTCAGTCTTGATAGACTTCATTTGTGATAGTGTGCTGGAAAGAGTATATTGGATGAGGGGTCAGAATTTAGGTCAGCTCCTAAATTCCACTGCCTAATAGTAATGTGTCCTCAAGAAAACACACCTCTCCCATCTCAGTCTGTATTTTGGAGGTTCTTATCATATACTTGCTGAGATCTCACCAAGCTCACAAGTTATATATGGTGCTACATAGGTTAGTAAATAATAAGAGAAAAATAATTCTGTCTGATAAAGAGACAGATAGTTGAGATAACAGGTCTGGCCTACTTTTGACCAGTTCTTTGAGCTCACTCCATTTGCCAACATCAGGAAGGTTATTTTGTTGTACTTTTTTTTGAACTACTTTGCCTCCCCATATTTTTCTCTTCAGTTTCCTCTTATTATGTGGCATGATGTGTCTATATCAGATATTAATGGGAGAAATCATTTGCAAATGTCTTCCAAGCCATTGCTTGCTTGGAGACTTCCAGCAAAGAATAAATCAGAGGCCTCATACCTTGATGTGGTGCCACAGAGCTTTCCTATATAAACATACAATCACTGTACTACTCTAAAATAGAGTATCTTGTTTGTAATTCCCATTTGAAATTTCTTTTTCAAAGATTTAGCAATTAGAAGATAGTCAATTTGAATCAATTTAGTTCCGATTTTGTTTCTTTCCATAGTTCAAATAGTGAGATTCAAAATGCCTATATGAACTTTTCTGGTTCTAATGGATGTCTGCTGGGCTCTTTTAGGAGACATTCCCTTACACCTTAATATAAGGGAAGCTTCAGATACAGGCCAGCCAATTGTGTTTTCACAGCCTGAAAGTGATGAGGTAAGTTCCATTTTTGGATACATATTTTTATTTCTTTTTATGTACTTTTGAAATACAGAAAGAAAGTTGGGAAGATTAAGCGTTTATATTTGCAGTGCATATATATTTAAACAAGGATTATTTAACTTGTCCAAAGCATCTTTAAGTTACTGTCATGTACAGTAAGCTTCCAGTGCTGGCTCTAAATTATCATCTAAACAAGTTTACCTACAGAGAATCATCACCCAACCAGTTTTCTCAAGAAAAGCGTGAAAAGAGAGTTTGTAAAATTCTTATATTGCTGGCTAGCAATATCTAACTGCCCAAGATTATTATATTTCAGTATTAGAAGTTCAACTGATTGGAGAAGGAAGCCTAATGCAAGAAAGTATTGAATTGGATATAAGGCAATTGTGTAAACCATTAGAGGTGGGATTTTTTTTTCTTTCCTTTTTCTTCAGACAGGGTTTTGCTCTGTCACCCAGGCTGGAGTACAATTGTGCGATCCCAGCTCACTGCAGCCTTGACTTCCCATGCTCAAGCAATCTTCGCATCTCACCCTCCCCTCCCGAGTAGCTAGGACCACAGGTGTACACCACCATGCCCTGCTAATTTTTTTTTTTATGGAGACAGGGTCTCACTATGTTGTCCAGGTTGGTCTCGAACTCCTGGACTCAAGTTATCCTCCCATCTTGGCCTCCCAGCATGCTGAGATTATAGGCATGAGCCACCATGCCCAGCCTAGAGATGAAATTTTCATTGCATTTATTTTAATAAATATAACTGGGAAGGTGAGGTGAAAAGACTAGTAGTGTTTCATTAGCCAACATAGTTGGAGATATAGTTGATAGATTTTCAAAATTACTGCCACATAAAATCTTTAAGCATAAAATATTTTAATCTTTTTAAAAATAGAAATAAAATTAATCATACATATTTTTTCTTTCCTAAATAACACTTGCTATTTAACTTGGAAACTGAATCATCATCTGGCACATCAGTTCAGATGTTGTTCCTTTGTTGAACAGCCCCAATCAATCTTCTAATAGTTTTTCTTTTTTTTTTTTTTTCTTTTCCTTAACTAATGGGTATAGCTTTACAGTACTGGTATTTTTTCCAAACATAACTGCTGTTCTTTATATTCTAGTTTGCTTCCTTTAACCTTCTGTGAATTGGAAAATAAAGGAGCCAAGTTTGGTTAGAGCTGTAAAGTAAGAGTAAATGAACAGTAATCTTGGATGAGTAAAGTATATTCATTTTGAGTGATCTGTTTTCTGCGTTTAGAGGTCCTTTCCTTTTCTTAAGAGTCAGCAGCTATGGTATAGGTGATTGTTTTGCTGGCGATATGATCTCTGAGTAGATATGGTATAACAGTTACCATTATTTTTCTCTTCTCTGTCTTTTAGGTATTAAATGTTAAATTTCCTTTTCAGTCTTTCTCAACAATTTTTCAGCTAAGCAAAAAACCATAATCCTTTATCATCTTGGTAATTAAAGTCTGCCAATCCCAACTACCATAGCTGTACTTTATGCAATATATGAAAAAGTTCTTTGAAAATTGAGGGTTTTTTTTGCTTTAATTACACACTTTTAAGTGCCTCCTGAGAACAGACTATAAAGACATTTCACAGTGATTCCTAGTGAATAAGAATAATTTCTTATCAGTGTATTTCAATTAAGAGTTTAGATTTTTATTATGGTTTTCACCTGTTCATTATTTTTTCTTTGAAATCCTCCAGAAGTAAGAAACATTTCATTGAAGTTAGAGGAATGTAATATAACAGAGAACATATAGCCACCATCCAAAGATAATATGATTTAATACTCTAAATAGCTTTGTTAGATTCTCGAAGGGGATCTCTGCATGGCAGGAAGAGCACTAAATCTGAGTCATCATGGGGTACCAAGTTTGCCACTTTCGATGTGTGACCTAAAGCAAGTTTTCTAACCTCTCTGAACCTTTCTCTCCATCTATAAATTGATGTCATAATGAGGAAGATGAGAAAGAATAAATGAAATAATAATGTGAAAATACCTTGAAAAATGCCAAGTAGAATATAACTGTATTTACCTTCTGAAACTGCCTGTATAAGATGTCATGACACTAAATGTCTCTCCTCTTCCCTTTGCTAAAGAGCTGAGTCCACTTAGTGTCCTTGACGTGGTATCAAGTAAATATCACTCTTTGATGTTATTTAAAAATCAAAGTAGGCCCGGCACGGTGGCTCACGCCTGTAATCCCAGCACTTTGGGAGGCTGAGGCGGGCAGATCACGAGGTCAGGAGTTTGAGATCAACCTGGCCAACATGGTGAAACCCCGTCTCTAGTAAAAATACAAAAATTAGCTGGGCGTGGTGGCACACACCTCTAATCCCGGCTACTTGGGAGGCTGAGGCAGGAGAATCACTTCATCCTGGGAGGCGGAGGTTGCAGTAAGCCGAGGTCACGCCATGGCACTCCAGCCTGGGCAAAAAGAGCAAAACTCCGTCAAAAAATAAAAATAAAAAAATCAGGGTAGCAGCATTTGAATCATGAGAGAAGAATTCCCAGCTTCAACATCAAAGACATTAACTCCTAGACACTAAGAAGCTGTGATTGAGGCCTAGGATCAGAATCCTCCAGTTAGTCTTGTGATGAATCTTGCCTCCTGAAAGCCTCCTTCCCTTTCCCCCGTGAACTCAAATAGAAATGTGCTCTTAGAAACTAGTCACAACGCTCTCACCAGATTCTGTTGTATTCATAGAAGCATAATACCTATTCTGCCTGCATGTCTTCATTTAAAGAATGAAGGAAGTGTTTATTTGCCAACATGATAAAACTTCTGCAGAAGTTAATGGGGCAAAACCTATAATGTTATTTGTTAATTATCCACTTTAGACTGATACTGTTGTGTTGTGTTGTGTTTTGTTTTGTTTTGTTTTGTTTTGTTTTGTTTTGTTTGAGACAGGATCTTACTCTGTCACCCAGGTTGGAGTGCAGTGGCACGATCTCATCCTCCCAAGTAGCTGGGACCACTGGTTCACACCACCACATCCAGCTAATTTTTTGTGTGTTTGGTAGAGATGGGGTTTCACCATGTTGCCCAGGCTGGTGTCAAACTCCTGAGCTCAGGAGATTCACCTGCTTTAGCCTCCCAAAGTGCTGGGATTACAGACATGAGCCATCACACCTGGCCTAGACTGATACTTTTTATTGTTTACTTTTAGGGGTTGACTCATAGGCACGATTATAAATCAGTAAACGTTTAATCGTTAGCTTTTTGTCTTCCTTCTTACTCCACCTTCTCCATTTTCTATCACTCCATCCTCCCAGCACCAGGTGTTAGGGCTCTTATTCTCTGCCCACAAAATCCTTTAGAATTACACACTGAGGATTTAACTCTCCCAGTAACATTTAACTTTCAGAAGAGGCAAACACTAAAAAGGTAGTGATTAATTTAAAGATATGAATTGTGGTGAATTTAAGACATCATTGGAAATGTTGGAAGAGCTGTTAGTACCAATTAAAAAGTACTAATAGTCTGCTGCTTGCTCAGACAATGGGCAAAACCTTCTGCACATGTACACCACTTAGGAAAGGCAAGTAAGACTCCAAATGTGACTAGTGTAAAGCAGCCAAAGAAAACAATAGAGGAGGGGTGAGAAGGCGATATTTAGAATTCAGAACCCCTAAATTCAATAGCATCCCCGCATGCTGGTATGATTAATACTGTTGATGCAATTAAAACTACCTTCTGCTCTTGATTAAGACCAGAATACAAGGAATGGACCTGTGATTAGCTGATAACATTGTGGTTTTATCCTTTTTATCAAGTAAGAATATTAGCTACAGAAAGATGTGCTATAAGATATTCCTGGTAAAGACTTTCAAATATTAGTGGGAACTTTATTTTCTTACAATTTCTAAATTATCACCTCACAATCTTAATATGAAATGACTGTGTATGATAAATTGGGACTTCAAATATTTAAAAACAAAAACAAAGGAAAAGACCTTTGTGCACTTTGGTTACCATTCATTCCCTGTTGCTAGTTAATGGCATAGCGGACAGTAGGGTCCAACTGTATTATCTGTGCCTCTAGATGACCTAACAAAAAGATCTTGAATAGGAGAAAAGGGTTAGTCTGTGTAGAGTTGATGAAAGAAGAGAGTATTAATAGTTTGAGTTATCTCAGTTATGTCCTTTACATATGATATGTGTGTGTGTTACTTTTTTGCTAGTTATGGATTAAACAAAAGAAAGATAGATTTGATTTAATTATTCCTCAGGTGGGAACAGTGCCCAAAGGACATGTTCATATGAGTTCTTCAATGAGATTATAAATTTCTTGAGACTATAATGATAATAACAGCAGCTACAGATATTTATTATATGCTTCCTCTGTACCAACAATTCACATGCCATATTCTCACTTAATACTCCGAAAATGCTTTGAGCTAGATATAATTATTATAACCAGTTTACAGATATGGAAACTGAGCCTAGAAGGGTTGAGTAACTTGCCCAAAGCCTCACAGCTGGTAAGTAATAAAGCCAACATTCTAAACCATGGCTGTCTGACTTCAAGGCCCCAACTCTTCACCAATGAACTGTTCTGCCCCTCTTTTATATCATTACACACCACAGATTTCCCAACACAATGCCTTGCACGCAATACAAACCAAAATGTATTTGTTGAAATAAAACTGCACTGGCTAAAAAATTTAGCCTCAACAGTTTTTGAGAAATTGAAACTGTTAAACTAAGCACTTTCAGTGGTTTCTCAGCAACTGACAATCTATTACTTTGAATGTGATATATTAGAAGTCAAAGTTTGGAGATAGTCCATTAAAAAGGAAAGGTTAAATGTAGCCAATTTGATTGTTCTGGAATTATTCAGTATTTTTTGTATTCTGATAGGTTTATGTCTCTAATGTAGATAAATACTAAAAGATTACAGAATGATGGCCTTGTCTCATCTTGCTTTAGTGAACTTTAAATTTTCATCACAAAATATTAGGCATAAGTACCTAGAAAAGCTACTAGGAGATAAAAGGTATTTATAAAGATGTATGGGTGAAAATCAGCACATTTGATTTGAGAGAAACCTTTCTTTATAAGTAGATGTTATTTCTATTTATAAACAAAAACTATTGTTTCTGTTAACTACAGCAGAGAAGAACCCATTTTTAGACTATGCTTTATGATTATAATTACTTGTATTTGGGTTTACTGTTTAACATGTGGTGTAGTGGAAAAAGCTGGACTTTAGAGTCAGTTGGACCCAGGTTTGAAGGTTTTCCAGCCTGACTTCATGACCTTGAGCAAATAACTCCTGGTTTCATCATCCAAGTTAAGCTGATGATGCTTGTTTTACGTGTCTAAGTGAGATTATTTACATGAAGTACTTGGTATAGTAGGTACTCAATAAAAACATTTAAAGCCTTATTCATGTTTTTAGAGTTTTTTTTTTTTTTAAGGACTCTCTTAAAATGACTTTTAATACTTTTCTGGTAAAATAAATCATGATTTAGCTGTTAGGGCTCAAGCATAGTCTTTAAAAATGAAGACATGCGAAACACTCTTAAAGCACTTCATCAAGTCAGGGCAAATGGACCACAAACATCTCTTTTTACTGTGCAGAGTCTGGGAATTGGTCAGCTTAGGTTCAAAGCCCAGCTCATCTCTTACTAGCTATAATGTTTTTGACAAAATTATTTACCTTTCTGGATGTTTCCTTATCTGTAAAGTCGGGATAATGATAGAATTTACCCCCAGAGTAACTGTGAAGATAAATAACACTTGGCAAATATTAAGTACTCAGTAAATCTTAGCTGTTTTCATTAGTTGTATATAAATATATAACTGTAAGCATATTATTTTATTCGTTTGTTTTCACACTGCTGATAAAGACATACCAGAGACTGGGCAGTTTACAAAAGAAAGAGGTTTATTGGACTTACAGTTCCATGTGGCTAGGGAGGTCTCACAATCATGGAGGAAGGTGAATGGCAAGGAGGAACAAGTCATGTCTTACATGGATGGCGGCAGGCAAAAAGAGAGCTTGTGCAAGTAGACTCCCATTTTTTTTAAGCTATCAGATCTCATGAGATTCACTGTTATGAGAACAGCATGGGAAAGACCCACCCCATGATTCAATCACCTCCCACCAGGTTCTTCCCATGACACATGGGAATTGTGGGAGTTACAATTGAAGATGAGATTTGGGTGGGGACACAGCCAAACCATATCACTCCACCCCAGCCCCTCCCAAATCACATGTCCTCACATTTCAAACCCAATCATGCCTTCCCAACAGTCCCCGAAAGTCTTAACTCATTTCAGCATTAATTAAAATGTCCACAGTCCAAAGTCTCATCTGAGACAAGGCAAGTCCCTTCCGCCTATGAGCCTGTAAAATCAAAAGCAAGTTAGTTACTTCCTAGATACAGTGGGGGTACAGGCATTGGGTAAATACAGCTGTTCTAAATGGGAGAAATTGGCCAAAACAAAGGGGCTACAGGCCCCATGCAAGTCTGCAATCTGGTGGGACAGTCAAAGCTTAAAGCTCCAAAATTATCTCCCTTGACTCTATGTCTCACATCTAGGTCACGCTGATGCAAGAGGTGAGTTCCCATAGTCTTGGGCAGCTTTGCCCCTGTAGTTTTGCAGAGTATAGCCTCCCTCCCGGCTGCCTTCATGGTTTGGCGTTGAGTTTCTGCAGCTTTTTCAGGCACACTGTACAAGTTGTCAGTGGATCTGCCATTGTGGGGTCTGGAGGATGGTGACTGTCTTCTCACAACTCCACTAGGTCATGCCCCAGTAGGGACTCTGGGGGCTCTGACCCCACATTTCTCTTCTGCACTGCCCTAGCAGAGGTTCTTCGTAAGGACCTCGCCCCTACAGCAAACTTCTGCCTGGGCATCCAGGTATTTCCATACATCTGAAATCTAGGTGGAGGTTCCCAAACCTCAATTCTTGATTTCTGTGCACCCACAAGCTCAACACCATGTGGAAGCTGCCAAGGCTTGAGGCTCGCTTCACCCTCTGAAGCCATGGCCTGAGCTCTTCATTGGCCCCTTTCAGCCATGGCTGGAGCAGCTGAGGAGCAGGGCACCAAGTCCCTAGTCTCCACACAACACGGGGACTCTGGGCCCAGCCCAGAAAAATTATATTTTCCTCCTAGGCCTCCAGACCTGTGATGGGAGAGGCTGCCATGAAGACCTCTGACATGCCCTGGAGACGTTTTCCCCATTGTCTTGGGGATTAACATTCGGCTCCTAGTTACTTATACAAATTTCTGCAGCAGGCTTGAATTTCTCCTCAGGAAATGGGATTTTCTATTCCTATCACAGTGTTAGGCTGCAAATTTTCTAAACCTTTATGCTCTGCTTCCCTTATAAAACTGAATACCTTTAACCTCTTGAATGCTTTGCTGCTTAGAAATTTCTTCTGCCAGGTACCCTAAATCATCTTTCTCAAATTCAAAGTTCCACAAATCTCTAGGGCAGGGACAAAATGCCGCCAGTCTCTTTGATAAAACATAACAAGAGTCACCTTTGCTTCAGTTCCCAACAACTTCCTCATCTCCATCTGAGACCATCTTAGCCTGGACCTTATTGTTCATATCAGTATCAGCATTTTTGTCAAAGCCACTGAAGTCTCTGGGAAGTTCCAAACTTTCCACATTTTCCTGTCTTCTTCTGAGCCCTCCAAACTGTTCCAACTGCTGCCTGTTACCCAGTTCCAAAGTCACTTCCACATTTTCGGGTATCTTTTCAGCAACGCCACACTCTACTGGTACCAACTTACCGTAATAGTTTGTTTTCACACTGCTGATAAAGACATACCAGAGACTGGGCAGTTTACAAAAGAAAGAGGTTTATTGGACTTACAGTTCCATCTGGCTAGGAAGGCATCACAATCATGGAAGAAGGTGAAAGGCAAGGAGGAACAAGTCGTCTTACATGGATGGTGGCAGGCAAAAAGAGAGCTTGTGGAGAGAGACTCCTGTTATTAAAGCTATCAGATCTCATGAGACTTATTATCACAAGACCAGCATGGGAAAGACCCACCCCATGATTTAATCACCTCCTACTGGGTTCCTTCCACAACACATGGGAACTGTGGGAGTTACAATTGAAGATGAGATTTGGGTGGGGACACAGCCAAACCATATCAATTATCAATGTAGAAATTAATGGTTTTAGAAAATTTTACTATTGTGTTCTACAGTTACTTTTTATGAATAAAGTAGAGGATATAAGTAATTTTGCATTACATTTATTTAAAGGAACTCTTAAAATGCAAATATCATTACCATGCAGGCATTAGGTTAGCTTGTGGCCCACTCTGTGGCTTAAGAGCTGCTGTTAGTGTCCCATGACACTGGGATCCCAGACATAAAGAGTGTAACAATGGAACTAGGATTTTTTGCATGATATCCATTTTTTACCAGGTGAAAGAGCCTATAGGTGCTTGGTGCTGGTATTACACACCATTCTCGGGGAGATGAAGAAAATGCTTTCCTAAGATAAACTGTAGCATGGTAATAAATAGTCCTCCTTAAAATGACTAACAGCTCTTATGCTAAAGAAGTTTTGGCAGTCTCTAACTCAATATATCAATTTTTCAGAGCAAAAAGGTGTAATCTCTCTGCAACTAGACTGGGTTGCTAGTTTGCTGACACCAGAATTAGAATTTGAAAAACAGTAATTTCTGGTACTAAATATTACTTCAGAGTCACCTTCCAAATAATTACCCTCCAAATAATCTAAAATTCTTTCTTCCTTGTGCCGCCTGCAATATATACAGCACTATCTTCTCAATACTGAATTTCCTCATCTCACTCAGCCTTTTTACTATCAAATACAGTGGGCCTCTATAACAAACAGTTGATGAGTCATTCAATGTCTGCTGAAGAGAAATACAGAACAAATAAGTTTGTTCTTTTCCAGGCCAAAGCTTACTTGAGGATTGCTGTGGAAGTGGTAAGAAGATTGCCATCACCTTCAGAATGATTCCCCAAGTGTCCTGGAAATTTGCCTGGTACTGACATTAAGAGGACCTTTGGAAATCAGCAATGTGGTGATGGAACCTACAGAAATAATAGAAATCATAACTGTTTTATTTCTAAGGAAAGAATGTCTTCATATTTGACTTGCTAAGCTAAGGTTCACAAAACTTTGATGTATCAATGTTAACTGCTATATTTAGGAATTTTTTGAAAGCTGGTGTGTACCACCTGCAAAGAACTGCATTTTATTTTATTGAATTACCCCTTTAGAAATCACGAGTTTATGATGTTACAAGTCCATTTTGGGAGAGAACTGTACACTTTTTGCAGGACCACAGAATTAGTAATTTAAATGATATACTAAATTTGTGTATGGGCATAAGTATTACGCCTTCCCACCAGGCAATTTGGACTGTCTTTGAATCCTGTCTTTGGTACTGTCTTGGACATGTTCTTAATATGAACCTCTGCTTCTTCATCTGGATCACACTATACCCCAGACTTAATGAATTTCAGTCTCCAGGAGTGGAGCCTGAACATATGTATTTTTAGTAAGACCATGATGATGTTGATGATGATTCTGGTAATCATGGCAGTAAGAATAATAGCTAACATTTAACAAGTTAATTATAATTGTTCTTCCATTTGTGTGAGTGGGTACTATTATCTCCATTTTACAGATAAGTAATTTGAGATATAATTTGAAGGCACTCAACCTTGAGTGTCTTGCTGAGGGTTACTGTATCTAGCAGGTGATGGAGCTTGGATTTGAACTTGAGTAATTCGATATTAGATTCATCTTTTTGTACACCAATGTGCTTTTGTTAATTAAAAAAAGTCGGTGGTGGCTAGGCGTGGTGGCTCACGCCTGTAATCCCAGCACTTTGGGAGGTTGAGGTGGGTGGATCATGAGGTCAGGAGTTCAAGACCAGCCTGACCAACATGGTGAAACCCCGTCTCTACTAAAAATACAAAAATTAGCTGGGTGTGGTGGCATATGCCTGTAATCCCAGCTACTCGGGAGGCTGAGGCAGGAGAATCATTTCAACCCGGGAGGCTGAGGTTGCAGTGAGTGGAGATTGTACCACTGCACTCCAGCCTGGTCAATGGAGTGCGACTCCATCTCAAAAAAAAAAAAAAAAAAAAAAAAAGTCGGGGGAGATGCAATATTTAGCATTTCCTCAAACTTTTTTTGGCCATGAAATCCACCACCCCCCTCCTTTTTCAGAGCATTTCATGAAGTTCACATTTCAAATAATACATTTTGAAAAACATTTATCTTGTCTAATTGAAGCTCAAAGAGATAGAGTCAATGACTTTTCAAAGTCAGGTAGCAGATAGTTTTAAAGCTGCAAGTACTGATAAGTGTGAGCCATTAGTTAATTCGCATTTATAAAGAAGTGGTCTGTCACTTTTGGCAAATGTCTTGACATCTGTTGCTCTACAGTTGTCAACTAGAAAATTAGGCATAGAGTTTCACATTATTATAAGCATGTTTTCACACAAAAACATGTACATTGATGTTTATTGCAATTTTATGTGTAATAACCAAAAACAACCCAGATTTTCTTCATTGGGTAAATGATTAAACAAACCATAGTACATTCATACCGTGAGTGCTACTCAGCAATAAAAAAGAACAAACTATGGGTACAGGCAGCAACTTATAATTCCAGAGAATTATGCTGAATGAAAAAGGCCAATTTAAAAAGGTTTTGTACCAAAAGATTCCATTTATATAACGTTCTTGAAGTGACATAATTATAGAAATGGAGAACAGATTAGTGGTGGCTGTGTTAAGGAGGGGGTGAGGATGGGAGAGAATTGGGCGTGGCTGTGAGAAACATGAGGGATCCTTGTGATGATGGAAATGTTCTATATCACAGCTATCGATGTCAGTATCCCAGTTGTGATATTGTGCTATAGTTTTGCAAGATGTTACCACTGGGGGAAATTGGGTGAAGGGCACATGGAATCTCTGTATTATTTCAACTGCATGTAAATCTACAATTATCTCAAAATAAAAATAAAAGTTAAAAAAACACAAACTGCTATATCTGAACTGAAATTTACTGGACCAAATTATACTAATTAATATCATGAATAAAATTATTTGTGGACACACTGTAATCATATCACTCTGAGAAGGAAGTAATGACTTAAAGTTTCAGATATTCTTTGTGTATTTATTGTCTGTTGAGGAAGAAGAAAATATAGATGATCATTGAGCACTTGTGAATACAAAAAATACTTAAACCAAACTTAACTTTTTTCAAAAAAGAATGACTTAAAGTTGTATGTCACCATTTAATACATATCATAGGGAAATGGGAAAGGTGGTCTTTACTCATAAATACATGACCGAGAGAAGATCCACATATAAAATTCCCTGCCCTCTTCTCCTCCTTCTTTTGACTGTTGTCTGCAGATGCTTCAAGGAAGTCTACTGAAACAAATGGCGGTTGGAATATATATGCAGGTTTAGACATGGAGGAAGGAACAGTAGCTATAAAACAAGAACTAAGCTTATTCTAAAATTTTGCCACCAACTCCAAAGGTAGACTGAAGTACAGGTAGTTTGCCTGTTTGTTAAGGAGTGATATTTATTTTCCATTCTTCACATCTCAGTAGAGTGTAAATAAAAGACTGATATTTTGAAAAGGTGAACAAAATTGGCAAACCTTTAGCCAGGCTCATTAAGAAATGAGAGAAAGAAAGATGACATAAATCAACAAATCAGGAATGAAAAGGAGACATTATTACAGACATGAAAAGGACAATAAGAAAGATTACAAACAACTTTATGCCCATTAAATTGAAGACTTAGATGAAATAGACAAATGCTTTGAAAGAAACTACCAAAGCTCACTTATGGAATAGATATATTCCTTTAATATAATTTATGACTGAGTAGTCATAAATTACTTTTAAAAATATAATTTGTGTTAAGAACCAACAAAGAAAACTCTAGCCCCAGATGCCTTTACTGTCAAAATCTACCCAACATTGAATGAAGGAATAATACCAGTTCTACACAAACTTTACCAGAAAATAGAGGGGGCACTTTCCAACTCATTTTGTGAAGCCAGCATTACCCTAATATGCAAACCAAAGACAAAGACAATACAAGAAAAGAAGAATACAGACAAATGTTCCTCATAAACATAGACAGAAAATTCTTCAACAAATCTTACTTAATTGAATCCAGCATTATATAAAAGGATAATACATATGACTACAAGGTCATTTTCCTGGGAACACAAGGTTGGTTCAACATTTGAACATCAATCAATGTATGGCAGATTCAAGAAGAAACAGTAAAGCAAAACAGACTAAAGAAAAAAAGCATGTTTATTTGAATAGGTATAGACCAAGCATATAACAAAACTGAACATTCATTTGCAATAAGAATTAGCAAACTAGAAATAGAAAACAACTTTTTCAACCTAATAAAAGGCATCAACAAAGAACTACAACTAACATTATTGCTAATGGTGAAAGACCTACTGCAAGGCTGTCCAAGCTCACCATTTTATTCATTATCATACCTAAGGTCTTTCCTAGTGCAATAGAAAAAGAAATAAAGGCATATAGATTAGAAAGGAAGAAATAAAACCATCTCTGTTCACACACAAATTGATTGTCTATGGAGAACATTCCAAATAATATACACAAAAGCAACTAGAACTAATACATGGATTTAGCAGAGATGCAGTATGCAAGGTCGACATACAAAACCAATTTTATTTCTGTATACTAGCAATAAACAATTAGAAATTGAATGAAAAAAGTTCGATTTATAGCACCCAAAAAACCATGAAATATTTACATGTAAATATAATAAGATATGTAAAAAATCTGTTATTCTGACAACTACAAAACACTAATGAAGAAATCAAAGAAAACATTTAGGTGGTGAGACATACCATGTTCAAAGTTTGGAAGACTCAACATGTTTAAAATATCTATTCTCCCCAAATTGATCTATATCCAATGTGATTTCTGTCAAAATCCAACAAGACTCTTACTGAAATTGACAACTTGATTCTAACATTTTCACGTAACTAGAGTGTCCAGAATAGCCAAATTATTTTGAACAAAAAAAGATTAAAGTTTAGGAACTTACACCACCTGATTTGAAGAGTTTTTTTGTTTTTTATTTTTTGAGACGGAGTCTCACTCTGTCGCCAGGCTGGAGTACAGTGGCACGATCTTGGCTCACTGCAACCCCCGCCTCCTGGGTTCAAGTGGTTCTCCTGCCTCAGCCTCCTGAGTAGCTGGGACTACAGGCATGCACCACCACGCCCAGCTAATTTTTGTATTTTTTAGTAGAAACGGAGTTTCACCATGTTGGCCAGGAAGGTCTTGATCTCTTGACCTTGTGATCTGCCCACCTCGGCCTCCCAAAGTGCTGGGATTACAGGTGTGAGCCACTGTGCCCAGCCTGAAGACTTATTATAAAGCTACAGTAATCAAGGCAATGTGGTATTGGTGTAAAGATAGAAATATAGATCCATGGGACAGAGTTCAGAAACAGACATACACAGATATGATAACTTGATTTCCAACAAAGGTACCAAAGCAATTCATTGGAGAATGGATGACTTTCCAGCACTTGTGCTTGAATGATGAGACATCTTTTTACAAAGAAATAAACTTTGCCAACTTCTAGATATAAAAACACATCAAAATGGATCATAGACCTAAATATAAAATCTAAAACTATGACACTTCTAAAAGAAAAACATAGAGGAAAATCTTCATGATCTTGAGTTATGCAAAAATAAGACACAAAAATCCTGATTAAACAATAACAGAAAAAGTAGATAACTTGTATTTCATCAAAACTAAAACTTAACTGTTTGAAAGACACAGTTAAGAAAATCAAAGGCAATTTATAGACTAGGAGAAAACATTTGTGAAACATGTCTGATGAAGAGTTTAAAATATATAAAGAATACGTACAACTGATTAATAAGACAACCCAATTTAAAATGGGTGAAGGATTTCAATAGACACTTCGCCAAAGAAGAGATATCATTGACAAATAACATGAAAATGCTCAATGTTTTTAGTCATTAGGGAGATGCAAATTAAAACCACAATGGAATACCACTACAAAGCCACTAAAATTGCTATGATTAAAAAGATTGGCAATACGAAGTGCTGAAGATGATGTGGATCCCCTGGAAATCTCATACCCTGTTGGTGGGAATGGGAATGTAAAATAATACCACTTTGGAAACAGTCTGGCATGCTTTTTTTTTTTTTTTTTTTTTTTGGACACAGGATCTCTCTGTTTCCCAGGCTGTTTTCAAACTCCTGGGCTCATGCAGGTCTCTCACCTTGGCATCCCAAAGTGTTAGGATTACACGCATAAGCCTCCATGCCTGGTTCTGTTACACTCTTAAAGAGTTAAAAGATGCACATACCCTATAATTAAATATTATGCTCCTAGATATTTACCCAAGACAAAACAGACACATATTTGCATGAAGACTTACACACATGTTCCTATCAACTTTGTTTATAATATCCAAAAGCTGGAAACAACTCCAATATGCATCAAAAGGTGAATGGGAATGTCCTGAATGGAAGATCATCATGGCGGATAGGAGGCAGGACTAGATTGCACCTCAGACTCAGACGGACAGAGCAGCGTGCAGAGGCTCGCATTGTGAATTTTAGCTCCAGAATGACTGCAAGAACAAACCAGGAATTGCAATAAGACCCACAGACCCTCTGAAGGAAGCAACTGCTTCTGCAGGACCCAGGAGACACCCCTAATATTGTGAGTGTCCCGACTGCGGAAGTGGGAAAGAGAGATCCTCTTCTCCCAAACACATCACCCTCACTGGGGAAACGGAAGGTCTGTTTGCGGGAGAAGTCTCCAACCTTACCAGGAGCTGAGTCAATTTAGAGAGCCAAGCGAAATACAGGGGTAGAGGAAGCAGCAGGAAAGGTGCTTGGAGTTCTCTGGGTCCCCAAGCAAATCATTCCTGCCTGTCACCACAGAGATCCATCGGGAGGGCGGCCAGAGGCACAGGAGAAAATGCCACAGGGAGAAGGAAATCTCCAGCTGAACTTTGAAACAATTTGACCTGGGCAAGAAGCCTCCTGGCCATAACTCAGGGGAGGGTATGAATGTGGTGTACAGACTCCACAGGTAGGAGAAGAGCCAAGCCCTTTTCTTTCTCAGCTTAGGGGCAGGTAGCCCAAGGCAAGTTCTCAAGTCTTGTTCACCCACTGCCTGGAAACAGACTCAGGGCTGTTGCGGGGGGCACAGTGGGAGTGAGACCGGCCATTTGGATTGTCTGGGAGCTGGGTGAGGCTTGTGACTGCCGGCTTTCCCCTACCTCCCTGACAACCTACATGACTCAGCAGAGGCCAGCCATAATCCTCCTAGGTACACAACTCCACTAACCTGGGAACCTTGCCCCCATCCCCCATAGCAGCCACAGCGAGACCTGCCCAAGGAGAGTCTGAGCTCAGACATGCCTAGCCCTGCCCCAACTTGATGGGCCTTCCTATCTACCCTGGTAGCTGAAGGCAAAGGACATATACCCTTGGGAGTTCTAGGGCCCCGCCCATCGCCAGTTCCTCTCCATACTACCACAGCTGATGCTCTCTGGGAAGTGCCACCTCCCAGCAGCAGGCCAATCAGCACAAAAATAGAACATTAAACCACCAAAGCTAAGAACCCTCAGAGAATCCATTTCACCCCCCTGCCACCTCCACTGGAACAGAAGCTGGCATCCACAGCTGAGAGACCCATAGACGGTTCACTTCACAGGACTCTATGCAGACAACCCCCAGTACCAGCCTGGAGCTGGGTAGACTTGCTCGGTGGCTAGATCCAGAAGAGAGATAACAATCACTGCAGCTTAGCTCACAGGCAGCCATATCCATAGGAAAAGGGGGAGAGTACTACATCAAGGGAACACACCGTGGGACAAAAGGATCTGAATAGCCTTCAGCCCTAGACCTTCCCTCTGAGAGAGCCTACCCAAATAAGAAGGAACCAGAAAACCAACTCTGGTAATATGACCAAAAAAAAAGGCTTTTAACACCCCCCCGCCTCCCAAAATCACACTAGTCCACCAGCAATGGATCCAAACCAAGAAGAAATTTCTGATTTACCTGTAAAAGAATTCAGGAGGTTAGTTATTAAGCTAATAAGCAAGGCACCAGAGAAAGGTAAAGCCCAATGCAAGGAAATTCAAAAATCAATACAAGAAGTGATGGGACAATTATTCAAGGAAATAGATAGCATAAAGAAAAAATCAAAACTTTAGGAAAATGTGGACAAACTTACAGAAATGCAAAATGCTCTGGAAAGTCTCAGCCATAAAATTGAACAAGTAGAAGAAAGAAATTCAGAGCTCAAAGACAAGGTCTTTGAATTAACCCAGTTCAACAAAGACAAAGAAAAAAGAATAAGAAAATATGAACAAACCCTCCAAGAAGTCTGGGATTATGTTAAACGACCAAAACTAAGAATAATCAGTGTTCCTGAGGAAGAAGAGAAATCTAAAAGTTTGGAAAACATATTTGGGGGAATAATTGAGGAAAACGTCCCCAGTCCTTGCTAGAGACCTAGACATCCAAATACAAGAAGCACAAAGAACACCTGGGAAATTCATTGCGAAAAGATCATCACCTAGGCACACTGTCATCACTTTAGCCAAAGTTAAGATGAAGGAATCTTAAGAGCTGTGAGACAAAAGCAACAGGTAACCTATAAAGGAAAACCTATCAGATTAAGAGCAGATTTCTCAGAAGAAACCCTACAAACCAGAAGGGATTGGGGCCCTATCTTCAGCCTCCTCGAACAAAACAATTATCAGCCAAGAATTTTGTATCTAGCAAAACTAAGCATCATATATAAAGGAAAGGTACAGTCTTTTTCGGAAAAACAAATGCTGAGAGAATTTGCCACTACCAAGCCACCTCTACAAGAACTGCTAAAAGGAGCTCTAAATCTTGAAACTAATCCTGGAAACACACATCAAAACAGAACCTCTTTAAAGCATAAATCTCACAGGACCTATGAAACAAAACTACAAGTTAAAAAGCAAAAACAAACAAAAACAAGGTACACAAGCAACGAATAGCATGATGAATGGAATGGTACCTCACATCTCAATACTAACATTGAATGTAAATGGCCTAAATGCTCCACTTAAAAGATACAGAACTGCAGGATGGATAAGAACTCACCAACCAACCATCTGCTGCCTTCAGGAGACTCACCTAACACATAAGGACTCACTTAAAGTAAAGGGGTGGAAAAAGGCATTTCATGCAAATGGACATCAAAAGTGAGCAGAGGTAGCTATTCTTATGTCAGACAAAACAAACTTTAAAGCAACAGCAGTTAAAAGAGACAAAGAGGGACATTATATAACAGTAAAAGGCCTTGTGCAGTAAGAAAATATCACAATCCTAAACATATCTGCACCTAACACTGGAGCTCCCAAATTTACAAAACAATTACCAATAGACCTAAGAAATAAGATTGACAGCAACACAATAATAGTGAAGGACTTCAGTATTCCATTGAAAGCACTAGCCAGGTCATCAAGATAGAAAGTCAACAAAGAGCAATGGATTTAAACTGTACCTTGGAACAAAGGGACTTAACAGATGTATACAGAACATTTCATCCAACAAGCACAGAATACACATTCTATTCAACAGCTCATGGAACTTTTTCCAAGATAGAAGCCATAAAATGAGCCTCAATAAATGTAAGACAATTGAAATGTTGTCAATCACTCTCTCAGACCACAGTGGAATAAAACTGGAAATCAAATCCAAAAGGAACCTTCAAAAACATGCAAATACATGGAAATAAAATAAACTGCTTCTGAATAATTATTGGGTCAAAAATGAAATCAAGATGGAAATTTAAAAATTCTTCAAACTGAACGACAATAATGACACAACCTATCAAAAGCTCTGGGATACAGCAAAGGCAGTGCTAAGAGGAAAGTCCATAGCCCTAAACGCCTACATCAAAAAGACTGAAAGAGCACAAACTGACACTCTAAGATCACATCTCAAGGAACTAGAGAAACAAGAACAAATCAAACCCATACCCAGCAGAAGAAAGGAAATAACCAAGATCAGAGCAGAGCTAAATGAAACTGAAACAAAAAACAATACAAAACATAACTGAAATTAAAAGCTGGTTCTTTGAAAAGATACATAAAATTGAAAGACTATTAGCAAGATTCACCAAGAAAACGAGAGAAAATCCAAATAACCTCATTAAGAAGCAAATCAGGAGATATTACAACTGACACCATGGAAATACAAAAGATTATTCAACGCTACTATGAACAGCTTTATGCATATAAACTAGACAACCTAGAAGAGATGTGTAAATTCCTGGAAAAATACAACCCTCCTATCTTAAATCAGGAAGAATTAGATACCCTTAGCCGACCAATAACAAGCAGTGAGATTGAAAGGGTAATTTAAAAATTACCAACTAAAACAATCCAGGACCAGATGGATTCACAGCAAAATTCTATCAGACATTCAAAGAATTGGTACCTATTCTTTTCTCACTATTCCACAAGATAGAGAAAGAGGAAATCCTCCCTAATGCATTCAGTGAAGCTAGTGTAACCCTAATACCAAAACCAGGAAAGGACATAACAAAAAAAGAAAACTGGAGAAATAGGAACACTTTTACACTGTTGGTGGGACTGTAAACTAGTTCAACCCTTGTGGAAGTCAGTGTGGCGATTCCTCAGGGATCTAGAACTGGAAATACCATTTGACCCAGCCATCCCATTACTGGGTATATACCCAAAGGACTATAAATCATGCTGCTATAAAGACACATGCACCCGTATGTTTATTGCGGCATTATTCACAATAGCAAAGACTTGGAACCAACCCAAATGTCCAACAATGATAGACTGGATGAAGAAAATGTGGCACATATACACCATGGAATACTATGCAGCCATAAAAAATGATGAGTTCATGTCCTTTGTAGGGACATGGATGATATTGGAAATCATCATTCTCAGTAAACTATCGCAAGAACAAAAAACCAAACACCGCATGTTCTCACTCATAGGTGGGAACTGAACAATGAGATCACATGGACACAGGAAGGGGAATATCACACTCTGGGGACTGTTGTGGGGTGGTGGGAGTGGGGAGGGATAGCATCGGGAGCTATACCTAATGCTAGATGACGAGTTAGTGGGTGCAGCACACCAGCATGGCACATGTATACATATGTAACTAACCTGCACAATGTGCACATGTACCCTAAAACTTAAAAGTATAATTAAAAAAAAATAAAATAAAAATAAAAAAAAAGAAAAGAAAACTACAGACCAATATCCCTGATGAACATAGATGCTAAAATTCTTAACAAAATACTAGCTAACCAGATCCAACAACATATCAAAAAGATAATCCACCCTGATCAAGTGAGTTTCATACCAAGGATGCAGGGATGGTTTAACATATGCAAGTCAATAAATGCGATACACCATGTAAACAAAATTAAAAACAAAAATCACATGATCATCTCAATAGATGCAGAAAAACCATTAGACAGAATCCAGCATCCCTTTGTGATTAAAACTCAGCAAAATCGGCATACAGGGGACATATCTCAATGTAATAGAAACCATCTGTGACAAACCCACAGCCAACATAATACTGCATAGGGAGAAGTTGAAAGTATTCCCTCTGAGAACTGGAACAAGACAAGGATGCCTAGTCTCACCACTCCTCTTCAATATAGTACTGGAAGTCCTAGCCAGAGCAATCAGACAAGAGAAAGAAAGAAAGGGCATCTGAATCAGTAAAGAGGAAGTCGAACTGTCACTGTTGCTGACGATATGATTGTTTACCTTGAAAACCCTTAAGACTCCTCCAGAAAGCTCCTAGAACTGAGAAAAGAACTCAGCAAAGTTTCCAGATACAAGATTAATGTACACAAATTAATAGCTCTTCTATACACCAACAGTGACCAAGCGGAGAATCAAATCAAAAACTCAACCCCTTTTACAATAGCTGCAAAAAAAACCCAAAAAAACAAAAAACATACTTAGGAATATGCCTAACCAAGGAGGCAAAAGACCTCTACAAGGAAAACTACAAAACACTGCAGAAAGAAATCATAGATGACATAAACAAATGGAAACACATCCCATGCTCATGGGTGGGTAGAATCAATATTGTGAAAATGACCATTCTGCCAAAAGCAATTTACAAATTCAATGCACTCCCCATCAAAATACCACAATCATTCTTCACAGAATTAGAAAAAACAATTCTAAAATTCATATGGAACCTAAAAAGACCTTGCATACCCAAAGCAAGACTAAGCAAAAAGAACAAATCTGGAGGCATCACACTATCTGATTTCAAACTATACTATAAGGCCATAGTCACCAAAACGGCATGGTATAGTTATAAATCAGGCACATAGACCAATGGAACAGAATAGAAAACCCAGAAATAAACCCAAATACTTATAGCCAACTGATCTTTGACAAAGTAAACAAAAACATAAAGTGGGAAAAGGACACCCTTTTCAACAAATGGTCCTGGGACAATTGGCTAGCCACATGTAGGTAAATGAAACTGGATCTTCATCTCTTACCTTATACAAAAATCAACTCAAGATGGAGTAAGGACTTTAAGACCGGAAACTATAAAAACTCTAGAAGATAACATTGGAAAAACCCTTCTAGACATTGGCTTAGGCAAGGATTTCATGACCAAGAACCCAAAAGCAAATGTAATAAAAACGAAGTAAATAGTTGGGACCTAATTAAACTAAAGAGCTTTTGGATGGCAAAAGGAACAGTCAGCAGAGTAAACAGACAACCCACAGACTGGGAGAAAACCTTCACAATCTCTACAGCTGACAAAGGACTAGTATCCAGAATCTACAACTAACTCAAACAAATCAGTATGAAAAAAAACAATCCCATCAAAAAGTGGGCTAAGGATATGAAAAGGGAGTTCTCAAAAGAAGACATACAAATGGCCACCAAACATATGAAAAAATGCTCAACATCACTAGTGATCAGGGAAATGCAAATCAAAACCACAATGCGATACCACCTTACTCCTGCAAGAATGGCCATAACCAAAAAAGCAAAAAACAGTAGATGTTGTCATGGATGCGGTGATCAGGAAACACTTCTACACTGCTAGTGGGAATGTAAACTAGTACAGCCACTATGGAAAACAGTGTGGAGATTCCTTAAAGAACTAAAAGTAGATCTACTATTTGATCCAGTAATCCCACTACTGCGTGTCTACCCAAAGGAAAAGAAGTCCTTATACAAAAAAGATACTTGCACACACATGTTTATAGCAGCACAATTTGCAATTGCAAAATCGTGGAACCAGCCCAAATGCCCATCAATCAATGAGTGGATAAAGAAACTGTAGTATATATACATGATGGGATACTACTCAGCCATAAAAAGGAATGAATTAACAGCATCCACAGCAACCTGGATGAGATTGGAGACTATTATTCTACGTGAAGTAACTCAGGAATGGAAAGCCAAATGTCATATGTTCTCACTGATATGTGGGAGCTAAGCTATGAGGACACAAAGGCATAAGAATGATACAGTGTCCTCTGGAAGAAAAAAAGGTGAATGGATAAACAGTTTGCTACTATACAATAGAATACTTCTCAGCAATAAAATGGAATGGAGTTATTGATACAATAATGTAAATGATTCTTAAAATAATAATGCTGAATGAAAGAGGCAGACAGAAAAGAGTACAACTTGTATAATTCCATTTATATACAGTTTCAGAAAATGCAAGCTTAACTACTTGACAAAGTAGATCAGTGGTTGCCTGGAGACAGATACTGGGAGAGAAAGGAAAGAGAAAACTTTTGGAAGTGATAGAAATATTCACTAACTTGATTCTGGTAAGGTTTCACGGGTGTATACACAGGGGAAAGTTCATCAAATTGTACACTTTAAATATGTGCAACTTATGCATCAGTTATACTTCAATAAATCTGTTAAAAAGTGATGTATTAATATATTGCTTTCTGATATTTGATTTAGTTAAACCTTTTTGAGTGCCTGAAATGTCACAATTTTCATATGTGGTTATTTTCAAATCCCTTTTTCAAAGCCTTTTTAAATTAAAAAATACCTTATTCAAACTAGATGAGCATTCTCTTGTTCTAGAGGAGCTGGTTTGAGTGACTTCTGACATTTGACTTCAGGTTGAAACTTGAAGTATAATCAATTAATTTATTTGCTTTCTTTTCTTACTTTGCCACATCCTAGGAACAGCAAATTGTTTTCACATTTAAAACGTTTTAAATAATTGGGCTTAAAGTTTCCATAGAGTATAGTGTTGCTAGAACTTGATTATAGACCACTTTTTAATCAGAAAGTCTAATTTATATAACATTTAAACCCAGTCTTCAGGTTAAAGTTTCTAAAAGTGCTCTATAAACCTAGTTAAACTCTAATTTTGGATGACCTATCTAAATATTGGTGTGCCATACTTTCAGCTTATTAATGGAAAAATAGCCTACTTTTTTCTCCGTGAACGTTAGGTTGCTAACAACAGATAACTTGGTTAATAGAAAAAGGATTTTTAATACAAAATCATGTTCTTTAATTTTAAAAAAGACAAAAAATGGCTGTGCATTTAAAGATTTTTTAAAACTACTTTCCTGATGTTTATTATTTTTAATCTTTTATAGATATTTTAAGTTCCATAGTTGTAATTTTTTGTTTCAGCTCATTCGCACCCTATGACTTTGGTAATTTTTATACTGCAAATTAGTTTAGGCCTGTATGATAACACCAGTTATCTCTTAAAAATTAAACATATCAAGCAACTTTCATTCTTATTATTTAATTTGCAAAATAAGGAACAATAAATTACCTTCAACTATATCTATTTCAACCATTCACAAAACATTTTGAAGAGTATGGGTGTTGCAGCTGTTGAACTGTTGTTTAAACATTATTTCTCACACTGTGCCTAATGGATTTAATTATGGTTCACACAGTTGTTTCTTCAGATGAAGAACTATACAGATACATTGTAAACCACCATGAGAACATGTTATTAGGCTGTCTCTGCTGATGAAGATATTTTCAAATTATATTGTAAAAGTCCCTTGCAAATCAATTCCGTTAAGCACTGGGTTTCTCTTATAGGTCACTAAGCATTGTTACATACCTAGTTTAAGTACAACAGAAAGCCAACATATTCAAACTAAAAGGCTTTATTGTGACTCAACCCAAAGGCTGGCAATAGTGACTAGTCCAAAATACATTTCTATTGAGAAGAACCAATCAAAACTATTTCTTCAACTCTTAGCCACCTATACTTGCCCCTAGGGAGCTCGTACTTTAATTGAGGACACTAAACTATCACAAATAAAGTAAGTTTTAATAAGAGCCAGAATTCAACTTTGAGTATATTAGTTGTTTTAAGGAAATGGATTGGAGAAATAAGATCTAGAATCAGGTGTGAAGAATAGATGGTTGAATATGTTAATATGAGCAAAGAAATGAGAGGATAGGAGCAGACCGAAATGATATACATGGGGAAACCAGTCTACCTAAGAGACATGGTTTCATATTTGAAAGTAACAGGTAATAGGATGGAAAAATAGGACTAATCAGACTGAATAGCATAAATAACATGAAGTGCAGTTTGACCTTGATACAATGGACAGTCATAAGATTTTTTAAAATATTTTTTATTTATAATGCCTACCTTTCAAACTTCCAGACAAAATTTAAAATGTACAAAAAGGGATTTCATGAAAAGTAATTCTCCCTTTTAATAGAGCCTAACAAACTGATTTAAAAATTTATGTGATGAGCAAAGGTCCAAGAATAGCTGAGAAACTCCAGAAGGGGAAGGAAGGGGAGAGGGAGCATTCCCTATCAGATAACAAAGACTTACTGTAAATCTATAATTATTAAGACAGTTTGATATTGATACAGGAGAGTCCAGAAATGATCTATGCGTATTTGAATACTTGACTTATGACAAAATGGGGATTGAAGATCCTGAGGAAACAGTGCCCGGATAGTTGGTTATCCAAGGGGGAAAACTGGAACCCTACTTCGTGCCATACAAAAAAAAATCAATTTTTATGGCAAAATTATGAAATTTAGAAGAAAATATAGGACTTGTCTGACTTTGGGAAGGAAGAATCTCTTAAACAAGATACAAAAAGTGCTAATCATAAAAGGTTGATAAATTCGTCTACATTACAATTAATATCTCTTCAGTGAAGTACATCATATAATCACGAACTGGGAGGACATTTGAAGTGCCTATAACTATCAAAGAGCTGGTCATTTGGAATAATTTGAGAACTCCTACAAATCAATAAAGAAAAAAAGGATAATATAACTTAATTGAAAACTGAGCAATAGAAACAAACAGACATTTCACAGAAGAGAAAACATGAATGGCCAATAAATGTAAGAAAAGAAGCCAATCCTAGTACTAATCAGGAAAATGCAAATCTAAAGCAATGAGGTACCATTTTACACTCACTAAATTGTAAAAATTATGAAGTCTGAAAAAGTGTGAGAAGCAATGTGTTTCAGACATAGCTAAAAGGAGTGGTAAAGTGGCACAGTCATTTTGGGGAACACTTTGTTATAATATTCAAGTCACATAACTTACTGTACTTCTGGGTATTTCCTGGAAAATTTCTTGCACATGTGTCCCAGAAGACATATATAAGAATGTTCATAGTGACACTGTTCAGAGTAGCAAAAACCTGCAAGTAACCCATTTGTCTGGTGCCATGGTTAGAATGTTTTTGTCCCCTTAAAATTCATATGCTGAAATCCTAACCCCCAAGGTGATAGTATCAGGAGGTGGGGACTTTTGAGAGGTGTTTAGGTCAAAATAATGGAGCCCTCATGATTGGTATCAGTGCCCTTATGAAAGGAACCCCAGAGAGCTAGCTAATCCCTCGTTTCTACCATGCGAAGTTATAGTGGAAGACAGCCATCTGTGAAGTGGCCCTCACCAGACACTGTAATCTTGGACTTCCCAGCCTCCAGAACTTTGAGAAATAAATTTCTGTTATTTACAAACTACCCAGTCTGTGGTATCTGTTCGGGTAGCAGCCGAACAGACTAAGACATCAGGTGACAGGAGAATGGATAAATTCATTGTAATATAGTCACACAGAATATTATACAGCCAGTGATAATGAACGACAGCTCTTTTTAAAAATTGATGAATCTTAGAAATATGATACGTGAAAATTGCATGTTTCAGAAGACCATTTTATAAAGCTCAAAAATAAGAAAAACCACCTAATATATGGGTTAGCCATGTATATGTGATTAAAAAAATTTTTAAACCTATGGGAATGACAAATATTAAAATCAGATAACAGTTACTTCTAGGGCATGAGACAGGGGCGTGGGCTGGAAAGGAACACAAGGGTAGATATGGTGTTGGTAAACTAGACTTTTTTTAAGTTGGGAGGGTGGGTGGGAGTCGTGGGTATTGTTTGTTTTTTAACTCACTTGTATGTATTCTTTCGTATGTATGAAATATAACAAAAATATCATTTGGAGAAATATGTACACCCTCCTCATTCAACCACCCATTTCTCTTCTGCAGAGGCTTGTTATTTATTAATTATGGAGCATCCATACAGTGGAGTATAATGCAGCTATTAAAAAACAATAAACAGCTTCCAACATTCTGAAATGGAACGATCACTGGGTTACATATTGTTAAGAGAAAAAAATGTGTGTGGAATGCTACCATTTACATTAAAACGTGCACATACACATATATTTGTGTGTGCATACACCAGCTGTCTCTGTAAGGTTACCAAGAAACCGGCAGTCATAAGTTCTTGACTCTGAGTATGAATTATAGAAACCATATGTAGGAAATGAGGTGGTACCTGCAAGGTGGTGGGGTTGGGCTGGGCCAAAGGAGTGTCGTTCAGTAACAAAACCAGGAAGAACCGCTAGTAAATCATCACAGGATTCAGCTCTGAGGGAACAAGGATCTGAGAAAGGGTGATGGCTGTGGGGCTGCAAGGTAGAGCATACGGATGTTATATATATATTTTAATGCCTTAAATGGTTAAACAGTTCAGTCTGCACAATTACATAATATAAAGCCACATATCTAATCTATTAAATGCAATGTATTTTTTTTATTAATGATCTGTTCAAGGTGTAGTCATAATGTCTTCAAAAGGGCTTGTGGAATCTCCGTTTGTATCAAAACCAGGAGAAATCTCTTCAAAATCTGAAATTCGTCCAGATTTACTCCACATAAACTACTTTTTGACCTTTCATCTTGAGAAAAGCATAATTTCTGTCTTTGGTGGGAATATAAAAGTGTTTGCCTCCTAATGTTTCCTAACTAGCAATGCCAAAAAATACCCTTCTAACTGGATGTTTTAAGTAAAAGTACTTTTAAGGCAGAAAGTAGATATTATAAGATTTATTCTCTTGTCATCTATAATTAAGTTTAATGAAAATACTATATTTTAGTTCATTCAGGCTGCTATAACAAAATACTATAGACTGGGTAATTTATAAACGACAGAAATTTCCTTCTCACAGTTCTGGAGGCTGAGAAGTCCAAGATCGGGATGCCAGCAGATTTAGTGTCTCATGAGGGCTTATTTTCTCTGCTTCAAGATGGTGTCTTCTTGCTGCATTCCCACATGGCAGAAGGCGAAGGGGGTGACCGAGCTTCCTCAGGCCTCTTTTATAAAGGCACTAATCTCATTTATGAGGGTGGAGCTCTCATGAACTAATCGTCTCCCTAAGGCCCCTCCTCTTAATACCACATTGGAGTGTTAATCTTGGGAGGACACATTCAGACTGTAGCATGCTATAAACTTTTTCTTCGTCCCAATTACATTATGCTGTGCATTTTTACATACGTATAGTATTGGATTGGGGACTTTTCTTAAGCTGTGCCGTCGATATTGCCATGCCCATGTGGTTGCTAATTTTCAGCAGAAACTGCTGGCACCCTAACATGAGTCCTGTCCAACTTTTCTTCTTTCCCACCCCTCATCCCTCCTTTCTTCAGCACTTTTTGCTGTCACTCTTCTTGCAGTTGTTCTTTTTGCCAAAATAAGAGCAGGAGCTAGTTGTACGGAGACATATTGACTGTAGTGTGTGTGGCTTTCTGCTGTCCTGTTTCCACGAGCTTAGGAGGGAGTCGTCACTCTCACCGGTACAAATCGATTACTTCTTGTTGGAGTACTGAGCCTTTGAACATCTGTTTTTCTTTACGTCATTTATGGGACTCAGAGATCCACTTGAAGTTTTTTTCTGTCTTCCCACGGGGATTTTCTAAAACTTGTGTTATTTCCTGTGGCCCAGAGATTGTTTCATTTTCCTGCAAGAGAGGGGAAAAGGATCTAAATGCTTCCTGTGATTGCATAAAGTTTATTTTAGGAACTAAAATCTGCATTATTTTTTTTCCTATTGTACACTGTTTTGCTTGCTGAAGAATTTCTGGGGAATATTGGGCGATGTTTACTTCTTGCACCAAGGCAGTGTTTCCCTTACTGACTAGAAAGGTTTACAGTCAATATTCTGTGGCCCTCGAGTTGGAAGTCCAGGTTTGATGTGTTCTGTGGAGGAGGGACAAAACATTTCTCTGAATTTCTCTCCTTTGTCAAGTTGCTAGCGTTCAAGATTGTTGCCTGAAACAGCATTATTTAGTCTCCCTCTACACTGACCAGTTTTTATAAATACTGTGCATAAAGTCACCAATAAACAAAAGTATGAAAACCATTTATTAGCTTATGTGTCTTTTTATGGTGAGGAAAGCTTTTACCGTCTTGAATTAGCAAGTATAGTAATTGTTTTCTGTTGAATCTGAAAGATTTCTTGTCTTTTGTGGTGAGGAATTTTCATAGAAACAATCTTTTTATATCTATCTGAGGCTTCTGATTAATAACGGTTTACAGTGAATTATCAAAATGAAGATTCATAATAACCATTTATTATTAGAAAAGGGTTGGACACAGGAACTCTTTAGTCAAATTTCTTTTTATAAAATGAGTATTGAAAGGATGGGAAAATATGCCATGTAAACATTTAGGCTGGAACCTGTATAATCCACTTTTGTTTCTGAATGATGGATTTATTGCCATGCTTTTTAGAATGCTTTAGTGTCTTCAGCTTTTAGAAACAAGTGTGTATGTGACTTGCTTGTGCATTTTCTTTCTTCTATTTTTTGAGACAAGGTCTCACTGCAACCTCTGCCTCCCAGGCTCAAGCTATTCTCCCACCTCAGCCTCCCTAGTAGCTGGAACTATAGGCGTGTACTACCATACCTGACTATTTTTTGTATTTTTTGTAGAGACTGGGTTTCACCATGTTGCCCAGGCTGGTCTCGAACTCGTGAGTTCAAGCGATGGGCCCCCCCATGGCCTCCCAAAGTGCTGGGATTATAGATGTGAGCCACTGCCCCTCGCCGCTTGTGCATTTTCTAATAGCATCTTTTCCAAATGCAGAATAGATGCTGCCACTTCAGTTTTGGTTTCACTGAACAACTCTGTTAATAAAGATCCTTATTGCAAACCAATTTTCCTTAACAGTTCATAGCCACTCTAGCATGCTGTTATTTAAGCAGTAAATGAAGGAGTTATCAGTCCCCATGTAAATAAGATTAGTCACCATCTCCAAAATTGGTTTGAGAAAGGGGAGGGGATTGATTTCCTGATGATATGCGAGAACAAATTATGGGAATAATTTCCTCTTTGTGTAGTTAATTTATTTGTGCTTGAAAATACTTTACCAACATGACTTCTTTCCCCATATTTTTTCATAAGTCGAAAGGCCTCATTTTTTCCAGGTGGAACAAACAGGTTTGGAAACTTCAATAAATTTGCCTAGGTAAGACCATCAAAGGAAAACATATTCAGGAAGTCAGGACAAGCCTTTATTAGCTGGAAGAGCCCACAGTATTAAGTGGATATCAATTGATGTGGGGAAGACTCTATACTCATTGCCCTACATTATCCATCAAAATTTATTTGCTTTACTTTCTGGAGTACTAGATATGAATTTGAAAGGACATTTTAATTCAAACAAGTATTCCAGATAAATTAGAATGAATTTGAGTGGCATTCTTGTTGAATTAAACATTAATCAAGAATATAATTTTGACTTATTTTATTTATTTACCATTTCCCTCATTTGGAAGATTTGTTTTATTTTATAGCTTTAAAGAAATACTTAGGCCGGCCGGGCACAGTGGCTCACGCCTGTAATCCCAACACTTTGGGAGGCCGAGGCAGGAGGATCATGAGGTCAGGAGATGGAGACCATCCTGGCTAACACGGTGAAACTCCGTCTCTGCTAAAAATACAAAAAATTGGCCGGGTGTGGTAGCACGCACCTGTAGTCCCAGCTATTCCAGAGGCTGAGGCAGGAGAATCGCTTGAACCCAGGAGGCGGAGCTTGCAGTGAGCTGAGATCGCACCACTGCACTCCAGCCTGAGCGACAGAGCGAGAATCTGCCTTAAAAAAAAAAAAAAGAAATATTTTCTTTCTTCAACTTCATTGCTCATGTATATCTGGCTTTTATAATAGTGGTTGGGGGAAGTTCACAAGAGAGGTTGGCATCTGGAAGAAATGAGGAATTTGCTTCTTCATTTCCCCACCATGGATGGAGGGTAGTGGAGAGGAAGTGTGGAGTGCTTGAAGTGATTAAATTTGCTGGGCCATCTGGTCATCAGGAAAAGGCTGTGTTTTCAATTTCACGGTGAATGAGAAGTTTATTAAGGAAGGAAGAAGGAAGCCGAATTTAGTTTAAGGAAGAAAACAATTAGTTTAAGGAAGAAAATAATCATACTTTTCATAATCATAAAAGAAATCATATTTCTGCCATGAAGAACTTCAGCTTGCTTAATTGTAAAAAGAAGGGTCACCTGTTGAAGACTATCCACAGGTGGAACTGTGTAATGATGCTCTCTGTATCACTAGGGAGAACTTGGTGACAGTGGTTTGGGAAGATGAACAAACACGTGAGGGTAGCCTCTTGCTGTGGAGTTGCTCCAGTCCCCTAACGTCTGTCCCCATCCCCATACAATTATTATGGAGGGAAGAAAATGAGTCCAAGGGGTAAATTTTTCTCAGCCAAGGAAAAAATTTATTTATGTAATGCCTCATTCCTTGAATTTTGTTGCCAAAGTCTCTGATCTAGTTATCAGTTGGAAAGCCATGAATCAATGTAATTGAGGAGCATCTATCTCCTCATCTGTTTATTGAACTGCCTCATACTTTAAACATTAAAACCAGGCTCATATATTATTCACCAATTTTAAAATCACATACTAAGTTCAAGAAAGGCTATAGGAAGAAAATCAAGACTAGTACAAGAAGTCAGTGCAAAAAGCATATATTTGCACTAAACATTGAAACTGGAAATCTGGCAGAGAGATGGCAATGGACACAGGTATGCAAAAAATGAAGAGCTTGGAGGTGAGTCCACTCGTTGTCACCTGCTGCAGGCTTATCATCATCTCTGCAAGTAATTAATACGATTATCTTATGCTACCTGTATTGAATCCACAATGCTCAAATACTGGGATGTGATTGAGATTGAGTAGCCTGAAACTTTTTAAAGGATTTGTAGAAACTACAATTCCAAGAAAAGTGAAGGTTGCTTTATTTAAGGAACAACTAATTACTAAGGATAGGATGAACTTTTCCTAACCTTTAGGAGACAATTACCCAGATGGCCTTTGGTATATTAGGAATGTTTATCAAATTGAGAATTCTTTTTGGGTTTATTTGAAGCCTTCAGTATATATAGAGATGGTTGGGGCCAGGAGCAGAATGCCAGGCAAGAAGAATGGAATGTGCAGAAGTTGCATGATGAGAGCTTCCAGACCACAGACAAGGTCAGCGTGGCTGATGACTCGCTGGTCTGGACTGAGAAAAGTTGAGCTGGAAGGTACAAAGGGCCAGGTTATGCAGAGCACTCATGCCATGCGAAGGAGTTAGACATTTGCTGCAGATGATATCGAAGAATTTTACCAGGCAGCCCTCCCTGTCTGCTGACATCCTGGCTTGCAATCTTTTCTCTTCTCTCTCTGCTTCAAACTCATGCTCAAGCCTGATGCACTGCTTTCATGTGCATGTGGACAGCCCATCCAATGCCTGCGTCTCAAAGGCCTGTTCAGTTTCCAAGTTCTCTACCTCTACACCTCTGGTTTTGTTCTCATTCAAATCCACTCTTCATCTGAAATGTGAAACTCTCCTAACAGTGAGTGTAGTAATTTTCATCCTTCCCACATTCCATTACCTTCACTGAATGTGCTGTTCAGGACTCTGGTGCCTTGATGTCCCGTCACCTTGTCCTTCTCCTCTCTACGTACTTACCTTCTGTTTTAGTCAGGGTTCTCTAGAGACACAGAATCAATAGGATGTGTATAGAAGTAAAAGAGAAATTTATTTTCAGGAATTGGCTCACATGATTACCAAGGCTGAGAGGTCCAAAATATGCAAGATGAGCTGGCAGGATGGAGACTCAGGGAGGATCCAGTGTTGTGGTTCAAATACAAAGACTGTCTGTTGGCAGAATTCCTTCTTGTTTAGGGGAGTTCAATCTTTATTCAGGCCTTCAGCTGGTTGGATGAGGCCCACCCACATCATGGGGGACAGTTTGTTTTCCTAAAAGTCCACTCATTAAATATTCATCTCATTTGAAAGCACTCTCACAAAAATATCCAGAATTATGTTTCACCACATATCTAACACTGTGGCCCAGCCGAGTTGACACACAAAATTAACAATCATACCTTCCTTTCTTTTCCAACCTAGATGTACCCAGTGAATGATTTCATTTGCTTCTCCCTTACTCCCTTAACTTATTGTGTAACCACTGCATTTGCTTTGTTAATGCCAAAGCTTGTATCACTCTTGCAATCTGCTGCTGCTTCTAAAACTGCTCAATACAAGAAAACCACAAACTCAGGTGTAATGGTGCTACAACAAATGTGTGGTCTCCAGCTTCAAATGGGCCCACAGCGTTGCTAGGAAGTGCTTGTGTGTCCTCAGTCAGCTCCCTCTCCACTCCCACAGTGGCTGTCTCAGACCTAAACAGTTCTATGAGTCCCTGACCCATACGTGTCCCTGTCTCTGTCTCTGCCTCTCTCTCTCTCTCTCTCTCGCTTGCTTTCTCTCTCAGCAGTTGAACTTACCTGTTACTCTGCAGTGAAAATTGTGATCTCAGGCATGAACCACCTTCAGTTTGCTGCTCTTGATCCCTGTCCTAACCATTTGAATAATCTTGGCTTGCCCACATCAGAGAATGTTAGGAGCAGATAAAAAAGCCCATAGACATTTATACTTAGTCTTCAGAATCCATCCAGAGCAACTCTGCCCCTTCTTGGTTTTGACTTTCTGGTGCCTTGATTCCTTGCCCCATTTTCCCATTTTCTGCCTTCCACTTGCCACCTTGTTTCTTTAATTTGTGCCTCAATTTGAACTCAGCATGCCAGCTTTGACCTTCATACTCCTCAAGGTCACATGTTCTGGTGGCTACTCTCCTCAGGGTGGAAGACGGTGGCAGTGGCTGGAGAGGCCTGCATTCAATTCCTGTATCTGCGGCTTGGCTGGATAACATGGCTTGTTCAGAACTGTAGAGTTCCTAAGGACTTTGGTGGCCCTGTGTCTAATATGACACCTTGCAGTTCTCACTGCTAGCCTCTCAGCCGCCAGCCAATGCTCGTAGCAATTACAAATCTCCAGGAGGACTTCCTGATACCCTCTGGTGTACCAAGAAGCTGTACAAAAAAGCATTTCAGTCAGTTCTTGTCTCTGTGGAGTGGGAGGCCAGTTTGGATCTCCTCCAGACGTACATCGTCCACCCATATAGGCCAGAAATGCTTAGCTCACTACTAGAGTCTCTTTGAAGGGCACAGTTCATTACCAGTTACCTGCCTCCTAACTCCACCTGCCCCCTCCATGGTAGGCTGTTCCATCTTTCAACTTGCCTCACCTGCTAAATATCCACTTTCAACTCCTACATCTGACCCCAGAACTCAGGCTAGGAAACCTAAGTAGGATTTAGAAAAGGCAGGACATCTGGATGTGGTTGGGCAGATGGTACCAGTCATGGAGAGATGGGAATAGGAAAAGTAGCAGGACGTTTGAAGAGGAAGATGATAAGTGACTGTGGCCATGTTAAATCTCAAAATTAGAGAACTCAGTGAATGAATGAATGAGTCAGTAAATTCTCCTTGAGAGTGAGTTAAATTCTTGGGAATGTCCCTTATCTTCCTCAGCCTACCTACAAATTAATGGAGCAATGTGTAATCATTGTGACCTCCTGAGGGGCTTCTATTATGCATAGGTTGTACAGTCTGACTTACTCGCTGTATTCCCTCCCCTCCAGATCATGAGGGTTCCTTTCTCATCATATAAGTTGTTAAAACAAAAGGAACAGTGCTAATCACCTTAATACCAGTCATTTAAACAAAAGGGATTTGTTATATGTAACTGAAAAGTTCCCACTCAAATTGTCTTGTTATAGCAGGAATACCATACACACTCATCAGAGATAAGTCCTAACTCGTGGTAGCTTTAGCAGTCTGTCAGTCTCTTTGTACTATAATATCTTACCATCTTTGCCTAACTGTTGATGGTCTGACGTGCGTCACAAACAAGGAGACTCAGAAGCTGGTGAACTAAAAAGAGGAGAAAATACCTCTAAGGTCACCAACCAACCAGTTTTATTATTTAGGTCAAGTATATAGTTTCTACAGAACCGTTACCCAAGGTTCCTCAAAAAAACCTCTGTCTGTTTATTCATCAGTTAATGTAAGTATGTAGCATCATTGCTTCTTTAAATGATAGTCAACAAGGAGAGAGAATAATGAGGACAGGACCTAAGTGTTCTGCAGGCATCTAGGAGGGTCTGGAATTGTCAGTTGCCATTTGCAACATTGGTTAGCATCAGAAACAAGCATGGAAGAAAACATGTGCTGAGACACCTCCCAAGTATATCTCTGGACTGAGAACTTGGCTCACTTCTCACACAAAGGCCCACTCTTAAATTCCATTTTATGAATTAATGATGGCAAATGGCAAGCATGCATGTGTGTGTGTGTGTGTACATGCACACACTTGAATGCTGAGCATTTGAAGCCTTGCAGACCTCTATACCATTAGAGTAATAGTGTCAGGAAACCAGCTCCTTATCCAGCCTGGAGCTCAGAACAGAGGCTGGGCTGCAGATAGAGCTCTGGGAGTCATTGGCATGCTGGTGGAAGCTGAAGCATCTTAGGTATCTTTTGTATGTTTCAGCTTCCAAATTTCTTAACTTCAAAGATTCAGCAGACAATGTTGACTCTTTAAGGCGTATTGCAGTTTCTTCCATTATCACGTGATTGTGAACACCACTGCTATAAAGTATAAATAACCTTTTTAATGGAAAAATAAAGAATGAAAACATTGTGAAATTTAAAATGAGGAACTTTTTAAAAGTATTTTTAATAATTTTATGAAGGTTGGAGAGTGAACAGAGATCTTCTAAGTGTCTTACAAGAACGAAATCCTTGAAGAGTTTGCAGTCACTGAAAAAAAAGTCAATAGAATACGTAGAAAAGTGGATAAGTCAATTGTCCTACTTTTGAAATACTGAAGTACATCTAAAGGTACACCTAAATACAAAATTAAAGAGAACTCAATGAATGAATATGTGAATGAATGCATGAGTCAGTGAGTTCTCCTTGAGAGTGAGTTAAGCTCTTAGGAATGTCCTAAGAGCTACTTACAAATTAATGCCCTGGTGCTTGATATGGTTTGGCTCTTTACCCCCATCAAAATCTCACCTTGAATTGTAATAATCCCCACGTGTCAAGGGTGAGGCCAGGTGGAGGTGCTTGAATCATGAGGGCGGCTTCCCCCATGTTTTTCTCCTGATAGTGAGTACGTTTTCACGAGATTTGATGGTTTTATAAGCACCTGGCATTTCCCCTGCTGGCACTTATTGTCTCTCCTGTTGCCCTGTGAAGAGGAGCCTTCTGCCATGACTGTAAGTTTTCTGAGGCTTCCCCAGCCATGCAGAACTGTGAGTCAATTAAACCTCTTTTTTTAAATAAATTATCCAGTCTTGGGTATTTCCTCATAGCAGCGTGAGAACAGACTAATACAGTGCTCCTTAAGCGCCTGAGGGTCTCTTGTTATTACTAAGCCAAAAATAAAAAATGAAGGCTCTACCTTCCCTATTAATTCATTTATTAACTCTACATTATTTTATCAAGTGCCACCAAGGAACCACTTTCATTCATTCACTTTTCTTTTTTCTTTTTATCTAATGTATAGAACTGTTCTAGATAACATGTTTTTCATTCATTCTGTGTGGCAGCTCTCTAAGAGAGGTGAAGTTCCCAGGCCAGGAGACCAGACTCTCAAGATCTGTTGGTGGCAATAGATCTTATATTGATGAAACCAAATATGCTTTGCTGAGAATATTGATAAACCAATTCAGTTTTACTGAGGGCTGTTTGCACTGATAGGTGGTCAAATACAAGAAGGAAGATAAATATGGATGATCCTGGCATCTGTGCCGCTGACATTCTTTTTATTACTTTAATTTTTTTCTGTACAGGGTATAAGTGAGGATGGGTGCCAAACTGTATTTAATTTTCCTATGTCTCCTGGAATGGCAGTTGTTAGCTTTATGTACTAATTCTTAAACGAAAAGATACTTTTCTCTATGACAATGTGATGCTTCTACTTGATAATTTGATTCCTGCTTTCTAAACATGTAACAGTTAAACTTTAATTAATGGGGATACATGTTTAATGAGATATATGGATTAATTGAAATATAGAATTATTGAAACCTTCCTTCCTAAAACAAAATTTTTATATCTTCCAGCCTTAATAAATTATATCCAGTATAGTCTATTTATCTTCCTTTGATTAATCTGGATTTTGTCATTCTTCAGGATAAAAGCAATAATTTATGCTTCTACTATAATATATATGTACACATGGAGAAAGTCATTTCACTCTTTATTTCCAGGATCTTGCCTCAGAATTGGAGTTACAGCAATAACTACATCCTTTATTCCCATTTGTTTTCTTTTGGTTGCCTCTTTAACCTCAGGGCTGACAATACTGGCCCAAATTCAGTTTCACTGGGGATTTAGTTATTTGAGGTTTTAAAAATCACTGTTAGTCTTTTTTTTCTATTTCAATTGGAAGTCATACATTTGAATAAAATATATTTAAGTTGCTGACTAAACCAAAGAAATGAATGTCCTCTAAGTTCTAGAAAGCATGTATTTGTTAAACCAAATTCGGAATTAGATTCCCTTAGATGTGCATTTATCTGCTGGTTGAATGGTGTAATTGTCTCTAGCTTTCTACTAACTCTTCATTCGTTGTTCAGTCAATGAATATTTATCCAGTGTCTACAATCTGTCAGACAGTGTATGAGATACTGGGGAATACATAGGCGGCAAACCACAATCTCTGCCTTCAGTTTACTTATAAGGCTAGTGGGGGTCATCAGGCAGGAATTCTGTCTTCAGCATCACTGGCTGAAAAATTAAGGCTAGATTTCAAGTTCATTATTTTTCAGTCAATGAAAAAGCAGAATTTTAGCAGCCTTCCTGGAAAACTCAAGGTTGCCTCTGGCTGCTAAAGTTTGCAAGAGGCTTCAACATATGATTTTTCTGTGTCAGTGGTTCTTAAACTCTAATATGCCTGGAATGACTGGAGAGCTTGTTAAAACAGATTGTGGGGCCTTACCCCAGAGGTTCTGATTCAGTAGGTCTGGGGTTGGAAGGTGAGGAGGTGGATTTGCATTTCTGAGTCCACAGATGCTGCTGGTTTGGGGACCACACTTTGAGAACTGCTGGTTTAAACCATCATGTTCCTTAACAGACCCTCCTTCCAGTGATGACAGTGATGTTAATAATAATGATGAGAATGGGTCACATTTAGTGAGTTCTTATTGAGTGTCAGGTATTTTGCCCTTTACAAATAAAGTACAGCCAATCTTCACAACAACCTGATGAAATAGGTGTGATGACTTTCCTTATTCTACATATGAAGAAATGAACATTTGAAGAGGTTAATTAATTTGCCCACAGTCACAGAGCTAGTAAGCGACAAAGGCCAGGATTTGAATTTAAATCTTTCTGATACATGTCTGCTCCAGCCACCATGCTCTCCTGCCTTCCTGTGATGGCCAGCACACCTGGGCAGTGATGGAACAGGGCAATCATGATCTCCTTGGGAGACACCATAGGCATCTCTTTGACCTGTCGTCATGTGCACCTGCACCTTAGGGGATTCTGAATACATGATTCTTTGGGCTCTTGTGACAGAACTTCCCTTAGTAATCTATTCTAGAGGTTAACACATTTTTTTGATGGGAAGTTTTCTTTTTAATTGGATAAAATATTTCTGTTTTATAGATTTTTTAAAGCTATCAAATCATCAAGATTTAGATAACTGTAGCACAGTACCCCGGTTAAATTGACCACAGCTCTAGATGAAACAAGATTTGAGAGTGAGGACTGGAACATGTCTGTGTTTTTCTGGAGGGTCATACACCCTCTTTCCATTCCTCATCCTTTTACAACTCTTTTCAAAAGGTGTCTGCAAAATTATCTGGAGCTTTCCTGACCTGTCTCAGTTAAAGTAGTTTTTGCACTATCTCCTGACATAAAAACAGTAATTACCCAGTATATTAATTAATACTTCTCTCAGGAGGGTTTGATAATCTTCATTCCCCTCAGGGAAATCAAAGAATGTGCTGGTGGTCCATCAGCTTCCTGGGAAATGCATCTGGCTTTCTGGTTAGACATCATAGTCTTTGGTGGGGAATTGTTCCCATCTCCTGACCCTGCACCAGACTCTGCTTCTACCTACAAAGATGAGAACGCCTCCCTTCCTTCCTTCTGTCTTTCCTTCCGTCTTTCCTTCCGTCTTTCCTTCCGTCTTTCCTTCCTTCCTTCTTTCCTTCCTTCCTTCTTTCCTTCCTTCCTTCTTTCCTTCCTTCCTTCTTTCCTTCCTTCCTTCTTTCCTTCCTTCCTTCCTTCCTTCCTTCCTTCCTTCCTTCCTTCCTTCCTTCTTTCCTCCCTCCCTTCCTCTCTCTTTCTCTTTCTCTCCTTTCTTCTCTTTTTCTTTCTCTTTCTCTTTCTTTGCCTCTTTCTTTCTGTTTCTTTTTCTCTTTGTCTTTCTTCTTTTTCTCTTTATTTCTTTCTGTTTTTTTCTTTTTCTCTTTTTCTCTCTCTTTTTCTCTTCTTTCTCTTTCTTTTCCTTTCTTTCTTTTCTTTTCTCTTTCTTTTCTTTCTTTTGTAAAGGAATAAAAGAGTGGCTACTGCATAGGCAGAGCAGCTGGTAAGCCCTTTCAGGTGGGAGCTCAGAGGTCCATCCTGTCACCAAATTTGATCTTTATTCTGTTCTTCTCTTTTTTCCTTCCTCTTTTTAATCCCCCTTTTTTATTTTCTCATAGACGATCACTAACCCCTAACCCATTGAACAGGCAATTATGTTATTTCCTTTACTCAGTGATTGACCAGAAAATGGAATGTTCCATTATATTCCTTGTCTTAGAATCCTGTTTATATGTCTCAGTTGTTTTTAATGGAAATTGAGGGGCCTCAGCTTTTACTGTTTATTTGCCAGATGTCAAGCTTTAAAAGTTAACTCTCAATCTAGAGGCCTTTTTGCCAGCTAGTAAGACCAATCTACTTTATTTAAGCTTTAGTGAGCTGTTCTTCTTCCTTCTTTCTTTTCTTCTTCCTTCTTCTTTTCTCCTCCTCCTTCATCATCATCATAATCATCGTCATCAAATAAAGCACAGATACTTAAAATAACACAAAACAAGCATACGGCACAATAAGTATTTTAAGGTAAACATTCTTGAAATCATAGCCCAGGCAAGAAGTAGAACTTTGTTATCTATTCAGAAGGCCCTTCCATGTACCTCATTCCAATCACAGGTCCCTCCTTCCCCACAAAAGTAACTATATCCTGACTTTATCATAATCATTTGATGCATTTTTATAATGTTATCCTGCATTTGTGTGTCTTTAGCACTATTGTTTAGTCGTGATCATTTTTAACATCTGATATGCCTTTAGGTCTCTTTTAATTTACAGATACGCTCTTCATCCCTTTTGCTTTCTTAAAATTTATGTGGAAGAATCCAGGCTATTTGACCTTTAGAGTTTCCCTGAGTCTGGGTCTTGCTGCCTGCAGTCTCTTGGTGCAGTACAACACGTTCCCCTTTCCTCTGTATTTCCTGGAAATTGGCAACTGGATCCAGACACTGGATCAGATTCCTGTTTACCCCTTTGGCAAGATTCTAGGTGGTATTTGGCAAGATCATAGGAGGCACAGGATATCTGGTTGTCTCTCTTTTTGTGATAGGAACAGTTGTTATGCTTAATGTCTACATCTATTAATTCATTTGGGTTGCAAAATGATGCCATTCTATTTCTATTATGTCTTTCCCATTTATTAGTTGGAATATATTTATACAGAGATAATTCATTTACTATCAATACATCAATGGCATAGTTCACATAGGAAAAGAAGGCTGAATGCTTGATTCTTTCCCTTTATTTACTTATTCTCAATATAATGAATTACAGTTGGTCCTCCATATCTGTGGGTTCTACATCTCTGGATTCAACCAACCACAGACCAAAAAGTATTTGGAAAAAAAAATGGGATGATTGCGTATGTAATGAACATGTACAGACCTTTTTCTTGTCATTATTCCCTAAACAGTATAGTGTGACAACTATTTATATAGCATTTACATTGTATTAGGTATTACATATAATCTAGAGTTGATTTAAAGTATACGGGAGGATGTGTGTAGATTTTATACAAATACTACATCATTTTATATAAGGGACTTGAACACTGTGGATTTTGGTATCCTTGGGGTCCTGGAACCAGTTTCCTGTGGATATTGAAGAGCTACTGTGGTTCTGTCACATTTCAAAGGTGACCAATTCCTTTTTTAAAAAATCACTTAAGAACTCATGGATTTAAACCTATTTAATATGTCTCAATACATTGCATTTATTATCATTATGAAGCTCAAATTATCTCATCTTGGGCTAGTGGAAGCCTCTTCAAAGTGTCTCCTAGGTCCTTATAATCAAGCAGTCTTTTATTGCTTCCTTGCTTTCTTTTTTATTTTTATTTATTTATTTATTTATTTATTTATTTATTTATTTATTTATTTATGTTTTTGAGATAGAGTCTCTCTCTGTCACCCAGGCTGGAGTGAAGTGGCATGATCTCGGCTCACTGCAACCTCCACCTCCTGGGTTCAAGTGATTCTCCTGCCTCAGCCTCCTGAGTAGCTGGGGCTACGGCGCACGCCACCATACCCAGGTAATTTTTTTTTCATTTTTAGTAGAGATGGGGTTTTGCCATGTTGGCCAGGCTGGTCTTGAACTCCTGACCTCAGGTGATCCGCCTGCCTTGGCCTACCAAAGTGCTGGGATTACAGGCGTGAGCCACCATGCCTGGCCTTCGTTGCTTTCTTGTATGATGAAGTGTTCTAGGCTTATCTTGGAAACTTCCCGTGTCACACCTGGAATCCACCATTTCTCTAATAAGCCCCAGGTTCTTTTAGTGAAAAGTTGTACTTTAAAGCCATATGTGGTGTAGGGATGCACTTTACTACTGGATCAGCCTTTGTTTCCTGGCCTTTTCAGTGGACAGAGCTAGGAAAGGTATATGTGCGTAGACACTCACATACATACATACATACATACATACATACATGCATATAATTTGAATCTGCCCTTTCCACTGTTTTTCAGTAGTGGAACTTTGTGTTGTTTTTAGCCTTCTCATAGTCATAGTTCCATAAAGTATAAAGCAATCCTTAGCCAATGTCAGCCATTTTCAATGTCAATGTCAGCCACTTTGGTTGTCTGGTCATTTGTCCTAGTCATGTTCCTCAAGAAAAGTTCTTGGGGATGATATTCCCTGAGCCCTTGCATGCAAATTGATAAGTTTGTACCATTTATACTTGAAAGTGAGTTTTGCTTGATATAAGATTATTGGCTCGTTCTTTCTTTGAATATCTTAAATATATCATTCCATTTCCTTCTGGCAAAAAGCATCGTTGTGGAAAAAACGAATGGCAATTTAATTTCTTCCCTTATAATTCATATGTTCTTTTCCTAGGTGCTCAGAGGATCTCTCCTCTCCTCCCCTCTGCCCCCTTCCCCTCTTTCTTCCTGTTTTTTGTTTTTTCTTAACAGTATATTTTACTAGAATGTGGTTTGCTATTGGTCATTGTGGGATGATATTCTGAGGTACATGGTGTGTTTTCTTCAATGTGTACTTTTAAGTCTTTTCTTTTTTAAATTTAGAAGAGTTTTTGTGAATTATAGTTTTCAGTATTTGTTCTGTTCCCTCACATTGGCTTTGCTTATGCTGCAAGGGACTCTTATTATCAGTGCGCTGGAGTTCCTTTGCATATCTTTAATTTTTCTCATTTTCTCTTGAATCCTTTTTTGTTTTTTGAAATTTCTTTTTGATTTTTAAAATGTTTCTCTTTTGCATATTTGTCTTAATGCGTTATCTGTTGTGTATTTGTGCTATTGTGTTTCTTCTAGTTCTTTATTTCTGAAATATGTTTAATTTTTGAGTTTTGTTGCCTCATTTCTGTGTATTTCTAGTTTTGATTTTTCATTCAGGTTTTCTATCATTTTTAAAATGTCGTCCGACTCATTTTGAAGTGTGAGTTGACAATTTTGTTGTTCTGTGGGCGTGCCTTTCCAGCATGCTTTCTTTGCCTGTGGAATGCTATTCAGCTCATATTCTTTCCCCTTGTAATAACTTTGTGTGGTATCTTGTGTGATACTTTTCTATGGCTCATTTTTAGTAAAAGTAGTTTTTCTAAACTTCAGAATGAGGAGGGGTTCAGAGCAGCTTTTCTTACTTCACTCGGCTCCTTTTGTTGTTTTTGTGTAGTATTCAAATATGGCAGCTTGCTTTCTGAGCTTTCTTGGCTCTGCTCCTCTCCCTCAGTTTGGTCTGAACTCTCCATTTCCTTTGTCTCTCTTGTCCCTATTCTGCTCCATTTTGATTGCACTCCAGCAGCTTCCCCGCAGCATGGCCCCTGTCCTAGAAGGGGGCCTGATCGGTTTGGGGAGTTGCTAGAGACCCCTTCTCACTGCAGGCCACTTGCATTCACTTGTTATTGGAGAGGGCAGCACCTCCCAGTTTCAACTGCTCTTCTCACATTGGTCCTCTGTTTTCCAGTGAATACCTGTTGTGGTTTTTCTGTTCTCAGGTTCATAAGTCACAGTCCCCATTGCTTTCCTCTTTTTCCTCCTGCACTGATAGGCCCCATGCAGGTTTAGGGATTTCTGGTAGTTTGTTTCTACTCACTTATATTTGGGGGCTCAGAGGGATACCCCTTCATCTCATTTTGTTATAAGTGTTGTCCATGGGTTTTGGGTTTTGCTATCTTGTTTTCCTATTTTTATGTGGGGACTTGGAGAGATTGAAAGACTATGCTTGCCACTACTGCTGTCTTCCCAGAATCTTCCCCTCATAGGGAGCTCTTGATAAATCTGCCCCCCACCACCCTGCTCCACCAGTTTCCTTCTCACTTAGAACAGGAAGAACTATTTTGGATTCCATGGCGGAGACCTTGAAAAGTGTTTCTGATGGGGAACTCTCTGCTCCTTTTTTTCCCTCCCTTTATTCTGCCAGGTAGATTTGAGGACGGAGGGGTTAGCGGTGTGACAGGATGGTGTGTCCATTTCCTGTCTTGTTCTACATAGGACTAAACCAAAAGAGGAGTGAGAGTGGAATGGTTCAGAGATAAAAGCTGTCTCTGCCTCACCTAAAGCTTGAGTTACTTATTGTTAAGTGAGAAGAAATATTTAAGATACAGGTTTTTTTGAGGCTTACATTACACTTCCAGGAGGAGGCAGGTGCCACAAGGGGAAACCAGCACTGTGACCTGAGAAACATTTTTAATGCTATGTTCACATGGGGAAAATTGGAGAGGTCTGGGATTTAACCCTGTCATAAAGATTAGTCATGTGCATATAAAAACACAGCAGCCCTCACAAGGTGGGGTTTCCTCCTCACTCTTGCCTCTGGAGGAAGCCTGCCATATGACTGAAGTCAGCACTCCTTCCTTCCTGGCTAGCAGGCCCTGTGTCCTCCCCAGGTCAGGGACAGACTGTCAAATCACCAGACTCTGCGATTTTTCTGTGCAGGTGCCAGGCATCCTCAGAAATCTGAGTGCTGTCCTGCTTGCAGCTCTCACTGGCAGCCAGGGCTGCATTTGAGTTGGGAGCAGGCGAGAAGGCCCCCTTTGATTGGCATTTCCTTTATTAGCTGGGAGCCTACAAACAATCAACCCTTCCAGCATGCCAGCATTCAGTGTTTGGCCCGTGAGTGTGTCTTGGTGACCTTTATTTGCATTGGCCTGCAGATAATAGTTTCCTCAGTGAGGAGGAGGCGGGAGGAGGTAAACAGCATACATGAAGCCTAAGTATTAACTGTGAGGACTTAAGTATAGGATGTGCGGCTAGGTCTGGCAACCTCAGTTCCGCTGCCCTTTGTGAAGGGGACAGGGACTATATCATTAGCCACCCTGGCCAAGCACCACTGCAGGGGCACTTACAGGTTCAAAGATTTTAGACAGTAAATAGCCAGTGACCTTCAGAGGTCCCTAAACCAGGAGGCCACACCTGATAACTATGGAAGGAACCAAAGTCAGCAATCTAGGAGAGGTTGCCAACCGGTGGCCTGCAGACGAGTTTCATTCAACTTCAGAAAGTTTGAAAAAAAATGTAATTAGTTGTCAACATATCTCCTGCTAAATATCAGGAGACTTCGTGCTTAAAAACAAACAAACAAAACAAAAAAACACCAATTTCTGACTTCTCTTGAGAAACGAGAGGACTGTAAACCATTGGCTGGAGCTGAGTGGCAGCTGCCCCCTAATTCAGGGAACTCTGTTCTTCTCCTTGCCATAGTCCTCCCTCTCCTCTACCATTAGTTTTACTCTTTTTCCTGGATTATTCCCATCAGCATACAAACCTACTGTTAGTTCTCCTTTCTTAAAAAAGTCGACCTTTCCTTGACTTTACTTCCCCTAACAGCTGCTCCCCACTTTCTTTCTCTTCTTTGCAGCAAAAACTATTTAAAAGAGTTGTTCACACTCAGTGTCTGTTTCTCTCTCCCATTCTCTTTGCAGTCAAGCTTTGACGCCCATGGCTCCACCCAGTGCCGTGTGATGTATGTCACAGTGTGATAATCTTTGTGATCAGCCTTGTGGCTTTAAAAAGCCTGTGAGTCCCAAATGCATCTCCAGCTCAGGCCTTCCTCTGGAACTGCAGTCATAGATCCAGCTGCCTACCTGATGCCTCTTCTTGGTGACTAATTGAACTCATATATCTGGCACATCCAGACTGAACTCTTGGCCCTCCCACTTTTACCAGCCAGCTTCCATGTACCTCTCAGTATCCACTCTCCACCTTCCCCAACCTCCCTCACTTTCGGCCCTGGGAGAATGACTTGTATGTGCCCTTCTACTCTCTGGCTTCTGGTTGTCAGATCTGAAGAGAGAGGAGAGCAAGGTCAGAGTGTTTGATTCCTCAGCGTAGTCCAGGGCTGACTGCATCCCTCTATCAAAGGCAAGTCAACACAGCCATCTCCTCAGGATCCTTTCCTTTCTGAGCAGTTAGGCCTAGGGCTGGTCACTGCCTGCTGTTTACCAGCCTTGGGGTATCGTGCTCTCACTTGTGGTTTCGCTACCCCCTGCCCAAACCTTTGTAAATAGCCTCTTCATGAAACCCTCCATGAATTAACCTAATTTGAGTGTGCCATCTGTTTCCTGCTAGGACCTTGATTGTACCCCATATTGTCACCCTTTTTATTTGAAGAGGATATTTTGGAGAGTGACCACCCCTTGCATGAGGACGGTTAGCAAGGCGAACATGTGCCCATCATTTTAATGTTACACTTTGATGGAAGCTGGAGGGAAAGCAGAGCCACACAATCATTCCAATAAATACCTGTAATTAGACCTTCACCCAAGGGGACAGATAACAATTTGGAAGTAAATGCAAATGAGATGAAAGAGCATTTGCCTTAGATAATAACTCTTTTGTATAAGTCGCAGACTCGTGATTCACTCCAGCTGTGGGAATGTAAAACTGTGATTCATAGAAACCTCCAAAGAAGGCTGTGAACTGCATTCCTATGCATTTGCAGCCATTTTTGCCAAGATACATGTAATAGGGGAATATTGCCTCTCCCTACTCTGAAGAGTTGACATTGTGTTAGCTGCCAGAGACAGAGAAAACCATTATTAATTTATCTACAGACACTGACCCAAGCCACTCAGTAAACAGGATGATCAATGCAAGGATTATGTTTCATTGATGCCATTGTTTACTCTTGTTAATGCTATTTATATGCTCAGCAAAAACTCCCACAAGATCCCAGTGCTTCACAGTTTTTTAAAATCTGATTGATTATAAATGGAAGAAATATGGTAGCTCATCTACCGGGGATGGTTGGGACAGCAGAAGGGGAGACTTCCCCTCAGTGTGGAATTTTGAGGTATGCAGAGATTTTATTTCAATTTCACGTCCACTTTCTGTTCCTCTCCACTCCTCACTCCCCCAGAATTCCTTTTACTTCTGGTTTCTAGGATTTACATACAGCTTTGTTTTTCCTTTCTGCAAATCAAACAATCTGATAAATGTATTAACAGGAAGTCTTCAGAGAAAAGAGCTATGGACTTTTCCAAGGGTATTTTTGTTCTTAAAACAACAACAAAAGAAATAGTAAAGAAGCATATAAAACATACATCAAGATGAAATAAGAATTAGTTATTGTATCATTTAGAGAAGTCAAAAATTCTTTTAAAAATTCTGTTTTGAAGAAGCCCAGAAAAAGGAAAATGAAAGCAGAAAGGACAAATAATTAGAGGCAAAGATTTATGTACCAGGAGGTTTATTCTAGAATTATGCATTCTGGTAGAAGTAACAAAAATATCCTTCAATAAAGGAATAATTAAGTAAATTGTGATATATCCATATAATAGTTAAATAAGTTGTTTTACATCCATAAGCACTCATCAAATATCTTTTGTTTAATTTTATAGAAAAAATTACATGCTCTATGTAAGTTAATGGGTCATCATCAAATGTCTTTTTAAAGTATATTTGAACACATAGGAATCTGTTCAAGGCAAAATGTTAGGTGGAAAAAAGTAATACATAATACGTATACTTAATGATAGCAGAAATAATAAAAAATTGGGATGACATATTTCAAAATGCTAGCAGTGATTATCTTTGGATGATAGGATTATAGATGATCAATATTTGATTCTTTTTTTTTTTAAGACAGAGTCTTGCCCTGTCACCCAGGATGGATGCAGTGGTGTGATCTTGGCTCACTGCAACCTCTACCTCCCGGGTTCAAGCGATTCTCCTGCCTCAGCCTCCTGAGTAGCTGGGATTATAGGCGCGTGCCACCACACCTGTCTAATTTTTGTGTTTTCAGTAGAGACAGCGTTTCACCATGTTGGCCAGGCTGGTCTCGAACTCTTGACCTTGTGATCAGCCCACCTCAGACTCCCACAGTGCTGGGATTACAGGTGTGAGCCACTGCACCCAGCCTGAGTCTAAGTTTTCTATTTTATAAATTTTTTGCAATAAACATATAAACACATTAATTTTATGATTAAATGTGGAAGTTACTCTTTAAAGGAAAAGGCATTGATTTACATAAAGGAATGGTGGAATTTCAGGCTGCGAGGAGTGGGCTTTTTTTTCTCTCTCTCTTTTTAGACAGGGTTGCACTCTGTTGTCCAGGTTGGAGTGTAGTGACACAATCATACCTTATTGTAGCCTTCAACTCCTGGGCTCAAGCGATCTTCCTGCCTCAGCCTTCCAAACAGCCAGGACTACAGGCAAGCACCACTATGCCCAGCTAATTTTTTTTTTTTAATAGTAGAGATGGGATCTCAATATGTTGCCCAGACTGGTCTTGAATTCCTCCTGCTTCGGCCTCCCAGAGTATTGGGATTACAGGCATGAGCCACTGTGCCCAGCCAGTGTGGGCATTTGAATGTATATGAGAGCCTTCTATTATATTGCACATAATAGGCAATGGTAATTAACAACAGGTTTCATAGAATAATAAGTAATGAACCTTTATTGTATACTTACCATTTGCTAGGCATGATGCATTAGCACACTTTATATTCATTGTTTCTCTTTCAGTCTTTTTAACAGCACCATGTACTAGAATTATCTGAAGAGGCAAGTGAAGTTTAGAAAAGTATGTTGATTAAGTTAAAACAAGCTGTTCTAACACAAACCTGAAATCTCACAAAAGGGAAGATTATTTCTTCATCATGTAAAGGTTATTTTGTAATCGTGTAAAATTCTATTGGCAGCACCAGTGGGGATGGGGGGAGGTTTCCATTTCAGGCACTGATGGAGGCCCTGCTGTCTTTAACACATGGCTTCCAGGGCTGCCCTGGACATTCCTATCAAGCCAGCAGCCAGCACAATTGAGAGACTGGAGGCCTGTGCAGTTTCTGTGGACCAGCCCTGGTACTGGTAAAATTTCCAATCACATTTCAGTGGCAAGAGCGCAATCATGTGGTCACTCCTCACTGCAAGAAGGCTAGGAAAGAGTCTAGTTGTATCCTCAGAAGAAAAGAGAAAAGGATTTGGTAAACAGCTCACTAATTTCTGCCGTGTGAGGTATCTTACTAGAGATCACACACCCAGCAAGTGACAGAGCCAGGATTTGAATACAGTCAGTCCTGTTCTAAAGCTGACCATCTTAACCACAGGGCTATGCCTCCACATTGCAGAAGACCAAAAGTTTAAAAACTGACTCCCTTAGTTATTGGCTTATAGAGCAGCAGATTCCTCGTCTTTGGAAATGAGATATTCAACCTTTTGCTTTTACTTACTTTTAAAAAGGAAATTTTAACATTCTCTGCCAGATTGATACATTCATTATAATTGATAAGCCCACACTAACATATCATAATCACCCAAAGTCCATAGTTTACATTAGAATTTATTCTTAGGGTTGTTCATTATGAGTTTGGACAAATGTATAATGACATATATCTATCATTATAGTAACTTCTGTATTCCATCTATTCATCTTCCCCCCAACTTGATAATGGGGAGGCTATGCATGTGTGGGGGCAGGAGGTACACAGGAAATCTCTATCTTCTTCCCAATTTTGCTATGAACCTAAAACTTCTCCAGAAATATAAAGTATTTCTTTAAAAATTATCCCAAGGACATTTGTCCTTCTCAAGACTTACAAAAACTAAAATTTTAATAGAAGTTATCTACTATATTTGCTGATTTCCTCCTGCTTCAGCCTCCCAAAGTATTGGGATTGCAGTATTTAGAATTTTCTATCCATTGTTCAATAACTTCAAGTTTGAAGAATATTGCTGATAGAGCCTACTGATACATACTTATTTACATTTATTAAATACCATATGTGTAACTTTTTTAAAAAAGGTTTTACTTTATTTTTTTAAAGTCAGATTCAAAATGAAAGGAGAGGTTGAGGTATGGCCAAAGCTAAATACTCAAGGGTGGGACAAACATTCAAGAATTATAGCTAGGGTGAGCTATGTGGGGAAAAAAATGCTTTCAATTGTAATATGATAGATTTTTAAATCATGTATGCAAGATCAGTAGGCTATAAACTGATGACAAAGAAAAGTTAACACATGTTCTATCAAGAATAGTATTCAAATGAGAAATAGCAGAACAAACATAATTAAGAGGGAACTGGAAGTGAGTGAGATGCAAAACAACTGAGTGTCCAGTTCCTTGTTTGATAGAGTGAGTCACAGGACATCTGCTTCATGAAGATGGACTGGGTGCACACATTTATCTTCCATTACTCCCAAGATCCAAATAAAATAAAAAGTACCAAAAGGAATAAACCTATAACAGGGAAGAGAATGGAATTGGGGTTTACAAAAGAATGAGACATTTTAATAAGTATCTGGAAGAAGAAAAGTAGTTTAGAGTGAGTTGACAGATGAGAGGCAAGAAAAAACAATAGTCTAGCATGAGTTTCAGAGGATGAGGGAGCCACCTGCCCAGTGGAGGAAGCTTTGAGTTGAGAGACAACAGGTCCTATGGAAGGCAGATGTGAGTAGGAGAACCAAAAATGGGGACAGAGGAATGTGGGGAGGCAGGTACATATATTGAAGATTCATCTGTTGACAAATTTATCAACATTTAGCTGGGCATGGTGGCAGGTGCCTATAGTCCCAGCTACTCAGGGGGCTGAGGCACGAGAATTACTTGAACTCGAGAGACAGAGGTTACAGAGAGCTGATATCGCGCCACTGCACCCCAGCCTGGGAGGTGGAGCGAGACTCTGTCTTTACAAAAAAAAAAAAAAAAGTGTCAATATTAAAGTCAAAATGGACCTGACACAAGGTGGGATATAGAAGGGAGAAGGAAAGATGGGGAGTCAAAACGGGATATCAAATTTTGTGTAAAATGAAATAGAGATTTAAATGTTATTTTATGTTATAGTGGTTATCAATTTAAAAAACTTAAAAAAATTAAAACACTAAGAAGAGAGAGGAATGAGGTAGTATAAACAAAATCCTTGTCTTTCATATTAGGGAGTCTATTAAAATTGCTTTCATTGATAAATTAAGAAACAGCAATGTTTCTTAATTTTATCCAACAAATTATCCAGAGGAGACAACTTCCAGAAGAATAAAAATAAAAATATTAAAAGAGTTTGCCATGGATATTCCATTTACCCTGATGTGATTATTATGCACTGTATATGTATATATATGTATCACATAGTTGTGTATTAAAATATCTCAGGTACCCCATAAATATATACACCCTAAAAATAAAAACACCCGGTTACCTCTGCGCAAGTTGAAGTTGGGTTCAGTTCACACTGGACCCTCTTTCCTACTGCAGTAGTATAACCAGACATGAGTATTTTTGTTAAGCTTCGATTAAAATCTATTCTTACTACTTTAAAGGAATAAAAATAAGGAAGGTACAAGCTCTAAGCTATAATTGCCATTCTCTTAGCGTGGAAGGGGGAAAAGGAGTTAAAAACAGAAACCCAAAAAGCAAAACACTGAAAGAAATTCAATACTAAAAGCCTTTAATCTGGGGGAAACAGAGTTCACCTTTGGGTAATGCCACTAGTATTGGTACTAGTAATGCCATCATGTATTATCTTGATTAGAAGTCAGTCAGTTCAACTCTCTAGATTCTCTTACTTCATAGTACATAATATTTTCTCAGCGAGCCTATAAGAATGTGGATTTCTGGCCCTACTTCCAGATATTATAATTTGGCATTGATTACATGTGGTCCATGGGCCATGCATTAGGAACCATGGTTCTAGGCTGTGAGAAATTACATCCATGTCACTGCCAACATCATAGATGTGAGAGCATCCTCTCCCCTCCTCTCACTCTTACAGTTTTTTGAAATGTGGTGTTCAAGGCTGGCTACTCACTTCCTGGAGTTAGAAGGGTCTTCAGGGAAAGGTCTGATGACCTGTGCACAGAGATGAGCCTGAGAAGATGACTCCACCTTAGGGCCTTCCCTATGGTCCGTGGACTGAGGAGGCTTCAGTTGTAAGTCCAGAGACAGTCTTGTCTGTGACCCCAGAGAGCTGCTCCACTGCACATGACCACAGTTACTGTCCTCATTTAGAATGAGAAGGTGACTGCCACTTGGAGTAGACATTTGGATTACCCTGACACATACTCTCGTCTTCTGACAAAACCATTTAGAGAACCAAAATAAATCTAGAAATGAGCTTTGTAGATGTAGAGTTAGAGTTTATTGGATGAAGAAGGTGTTTCCAAGAGTATGACTCTGCTGGCCCACCCATCTCCACAGCATAGATATGCCTAGTAGACCAGCACTGCCCAGCTTGAGCTGCACGTCACATTCACAAAAGGAGCTTTTCAAAAGTACCAGCATGGGCTCCTCTTTAGCTTAATAGAATCAGAATCTCTGAAGATGGGGCCCAGGCGTGGGCATTTTTGTGAAACTTCCCAGGACAGCATAACATCCAGCCAGAGTGAGGATCGTGGTGTACAGGAGTCACAGGGAATGCTCACTGGGTTGTCTAGGCCTCCCTTTCCCCTAAACCACATGGGAGATAAACTAATATGTATTCCAGGGAAAGGCCTAAATGCCTTAATATAACAGGTCCAAAAACTCAATGTTGTCTGTCATAGAAGTAAAACCTTGCTTCGTGTACATAAATTCAGTTAATAATCATAGCAACCCTATGAGATAGGTACTGTTATCATCTGCATTTCATAGATGTAGAAGCTGAGAAAACAGAGATGCTAAGTAACTTGTCCAAGGTCACGCAATTGTCAAGTAGGAGAGCTGGAATATGAATTCAGGTGGCCACAGTTTGGACTCTCAAACATTCTGTTCTATTTCTTTACAGTCACTGACTCTGACAATTCCCTGCTTCTCATTTCGGCAGATGGCCTTGATTCTTACTTCTTGAGAAAAGCAAGGCAATCAGAGAGGAACTCCCTGCTTCTGCAACCACATATATCAGCCTACTGCATCCCTGACTCTATCTTCTATTTGTACGCTGGATCTCATCTCCTCTTGCCAACTCAGGGATGCTGTTCAAGCACTTAAACCGCCTCTCCTCACATCAGTTATTTCCTCAATTGGCTCTTTCTCACTAGCTGTACACATATGAGCTATTACACATTTGTTGTAACATCTTTCATGGAGAAAAATTCCTCCCTTGATTGCACATCTCTCTCTAGCTGCCACCCCGTTTTTCTTTTCTCCTATACAGCATAGTTCCTCCAAAAGAGTGGTCTGTACTTGTCTTCACTTCTTCTCCCATTCTACTCCAATCAGACTTTAGAGCTCCCCTCCCCCACTGTACGCAGGCTCATTCCAACAGTGTTTATCTGGTGCCCCACTCTGAGTCATTCTCTCCACCTATCAGCAGCATGAGTCAGTGTTAATACCCTCACCTGGAAACTCTGGGGCTCTCTCTCAGTTGTCTCCTCCTACCTACCTGGCCATCTACTGTTTCTCAGTTTCATTGCCAGTTGCCTTCACCCCTTTGTTTTCTAAGCATTGGCATGCCCTGGACCTAAGTCCTAGATTTCTTCTCTTTCTATAGTCATTCCATAGGTTTTCTTATCCAGAAAGCTGATTATACTCAAATTTATATTTTTGCATATCTTCATGACCATAGGATAGGAAAAGGTTTCTTAAACAGAACATAAAATGTACTAACCTTAAAGGGAAAGAAATAAAGTCAAACTGCATTAAAATTTAGACTGTAAATCGAGACACTCTTCACAGTGAAAAGGTAAGCTACAGAGTAGGGGATATTTATAATGCATATATCTGACAAAAGACCTGTATCTGTATAATATAAACAACTCCCACAGATAATAAGAAAAAGGTAAACAAAGCAATAGAAAAATGGATGAAGGGCTGGAACAGCCCAGATCTCCTCCTCAAACTCCAGACTTGAATGTACAACTGCATATTCATGATCTCCATTGACTAGTCATCTTATATTTAACCCACCCAGAACAATTCCTGCTGCTTCTTCTCCGTCTCAACCTGCTCCTTCTCCAGTAAATGGCAACTCCAGGTGCCAGTTACACAGGCCAAAACCTGTGGCGTCATCCTCAACTATTCTCTCTTATATCCAACCTATATTAATTATCTATTGCAACAAATATTACACTTCAGTTTCTGTGAGTCAGGAATGTGGGCATGGCTTAGCTGGATCTCAGGCTCAGGGTCTCATTTAGACTATAAATCTACAATCCCGGCATTGGCCAGGGCTAGTCACCTCAAGGTTTGATTAGGGAGGATCACTGCCAAGCTGATACATGTGGCTGCTGGCAGGCCCTGGGTTCTTGCTGGCTGTTAGCTGGAGACAACAGTTCCTTGCCGCATGGGCCTCTCCAAATGCAGATCACAGTATGGCATCTGGTCTCCCCCAGAGTGAGCCAGAGAGAGAGTGTGAGGGAGGGCAGCTAGACGGAAGTCACGTTTTATAACCTAACTCACAATTGATATACTATCACTTTTGCCATATTCCTTTCATTGGAAGTGACTCACTAGGTCAAACCTACATGCAGGGGGAGGTACAGATCACTGTGGGCCATCATAAAGGTTGCCAGTCTTACAATCTAACAGCACATTGCATCATTTCTACTTGCAAAATATAAGCAGAATCTAAGTACTTCTCACCGCTTCCATTGCTAAGCACCCTGGTCTAAGCCTCTGTCTTCTTCCACTTGGATTCTTGCAATACCTTCTTAAATGGCGTCCTTCCTCCCTAACTCCTACTTCACACACACTGTTTGCCATACAATAGTGAGAATAAGCCTTTTAAAATAAGAGTGAAACCATGCTAATGATTTGGAAAAAAAATTCTACAGTGTTCTAGAAGGCCCTGCATGCTCTGCTTGTGTCCTGATCTTTACTCCTGCTATTCTTCCCTTCACTCATTCTGCTCCAACTACACTGGCCTTCCTGATGTTCCCTGAACACACCAAGCATGCACCCACCTTAAACCTTGGATGCTTTTCATGTTTGTATCTTCTCTTCGATATCTGCAAGGCTGGGAAAATGTCATCCTTCAGTGAGGTCTTCCCAGAATGTCCCTTATAAAATAGCAATATGTACACCCTCCCCTCTCCTTTACTCCCTATTCCCTTAACTAGCTTTATTTTTACCTGTAACAATTACCACCTTCCTTGTTTTTCTTGTTTATTTTCTGTTTCCCGAGTACCATTTGTTGGCATATAATATGAGCTCAATCAATATTTATTAAATATAGAAACATCCTTGATTGGGTTATACAAAGTTCTTGTTCTTTCTATGGCTGATATGGGAAGACATTGTGTATGTATGACACATTTGGACGTGATTGATCTCATCTGGATTGTGTTGAATTCATCATTTAACCCTAGATAAATTCATCATTTAATTCTATCATGAGTGAGGGAGTGGAGTTGTGAAAGAGGCGGCGGGGAAGGAATTGGCTGGTTTGTCCCCAGTCCCCCCACAGCCCCTTCTAACCCACTGGTTCTTCATCCTCTTACAAAAACCCTTCCTCCTCTGAGCCTCATGGTACCTGTCAAGAAGCTGCCTTCTTGCTGTCATTTCTAGACCCCACATTCACCCAGGGTCTTACCCAAACACCCTTCAATTCAGACCCATCACGTGGTACGTTGGTGGTATAGTGGTAAGCATAGCTGCCTTCAGACTCATGGCCCCTGCTCTAGCTCTGAAATCCTAAACTATGGAATACCACTCTTTGACCCCAACCTTCTACTCTTTCAGTTTATTCCCCTTCGAGGAAGGGCAAATACCTTGAAACACGCCAAGACCTCCACCTGAGTCTCCTCCATTTTTTAGCAGACAATCATCCCCTTTTGGCTTTATGTCTTCCTCTATCTGCCCTAAATACCTTATTCATTACCTCATTTTATATAGAAAAAATGTGCTGCAGTGATGGAAAGCAAAGGCTTTAGAGACCCAAACACAGGTTCATAGTCTGGCTCTACCACTTGTTAAATCATGTGATCTTGGGCAAATTAATTAATCTGTCTGAACCCCACTTTCCTTGACTATAAAATGAGAATAACAGCTTCATTATAGGGAGGTTGTGAGGACTGCATGTGATTTAGAAAAGCATGAAGTTCATAGACAGCAACAAATGTAAATGACTATTATACAAATTTTTAAATAAATTTTATTGTATATATTTAAAGTATACAAATGTTGTTATAGGATGCATATAGATAGCAAAAGGGTTACCATAGTGCAATAAATGGACATATCTATCATCTCACATAGTTACCCTTTTTTTTGTTTTTGTAGCAAGAGCAGCTAAAATTAACTCAGCATGAATTCTATATACAGTACAATTGTATTACCTCTAGTCCTCATAGGGTACATTAGATCTCTAGACTTGTTCATCCTACACATCTGATGCTTTGTATCCTCTTGAACTATGTCTTCCCGTTTTCTCTCCCCAGTGCCCCATCCCTGACAACCACTGTTTTGTTCTTTCTGTATAGTTGAAATTTTTTATGTTCCACATATTAATGAGATAATACAATATTTTTCTTTATGTGTCTGGCTTATTTCATTTAGCATAATGTCCTCTAGGCTCACCCATGCTGTGGCATATGGCAAGATCTCATTCTTTTTTAGGGATGAATAATATTCAATGTTATTGTATCTACCACAATTTCTTTGTCCTTTCATCTGTCAACAGACACTTAGGTTGTTCCATATCTTGGCTATTGTGAATAATGCTGCAATAAACATGAGAGTGCAGATATCTTTGTGAGGTGGTAATTTTATTTCCTTTTAGTATATGCCCAGAAGAGGGATTGCTAGGTCACATGGTACTTCTAATTTTGATTTCTTTAGAAGTCTCCATACTATTCTTTATAATGGCTCTACCAATCGACATTTCCACCAGCAATGTACAAGAGTTCCCTTTTCTCCACGTCCTTGCCAACACTTGTTATCTTTTGCCTTTTTATTAATAACCATCCTAACAGGGTTAGGTGGTATCTTATAGTAGTTTTGATTTGCATTTCCCTGATGATTAATGATGAGGAACACCTGTTCCTATACCTGTTGGCCATTTTTATGTCTTTGGAGAAATGTCTGTTCAAGTCTTTTGCGTATTTTTTAATCGGATTACAGATGCTCCTTGACTTAGGTTGTGTTTGAATAAGCCCATTGTAAATTGAAAATACCCTAAATCAAAAGTGCATTTTCCACTTACAATACTGGAACATGATCATAAGTGGAGAAGCTTACTGAATGTGTATTATATTCCTACCAACCTAAAGTTGAAAAATTATAAGTTAAATCGTTGTTAAGTCAAGAACTGTATCTGTTTTTCTACTACTGAGTTGTATGAGCTTTTTATAAAATTTGGATATTATCACCTTATTAGATATATGGTTTGCAAATTTTTTTTCTAAATTCTTAGGATACCATTTTATTTTGTTCATTGCTTCCTTTGCTCTGCAGAAGCTTTTAAGTTGATGTACAGCTGACCCTTGAACAACACAGGTTTGAATTTCATGGGTGCATGAAGATTTTCTTCTCCTTCTGCCACCCCTGAGACAGTAAGCCCTCCTCTTCTTCCTCCTCCTCAGCCTACTCAATGTGAAGACAATGAGAATGAAGACCTTCATGATGGATCCACTCTCAATTAATATTAAATATATTTTCTCTTCCTTATGATTTTCTTAATAATATTTTCTTTCCTCTAGCTTACTTTGTTGTAAGAATACAGTATATAATACATATAACATACAAAATATGTGTTAGTCAACTGTTTATGTCATCAGTAAGGCTTCTGGTCAACAGTAGACTATTAATTTTTTTGAAAGTCAGAAGTTACCTGTGGATTTTTGACTGTGCAGGGGTTAGCATTTCTAACATCCATGTTGTTCAAGGGTCAACTGTAGTTCCATTTATATATTTTTGCTTTTGTGGCCTGAGCTTTTTAGAAAAATATATACATTTTATTTTAGATTCAGGGAGTGTATGTGCAGGTTTGTTGCATGGGTATATTGCATGATGCTGAGGTTTGGGGTATGATTGATCCTGTCACCCAGATAGTGAGCATAGTGCCCAATAGGCAGTTTTTTAGCCTGTGCCTCGTTCCCTCCTCTCGTAGTCCTCAGTGTCTGTAGTTCCCATCTTTATGTCCATGTGTACTCAGTGTTTAGCTCTCACTTGTAAGAACTTGTGGTATTTGGTTTTCAGTTTCTGTGTTAATTTGCTTAGGATAATGGCCTGCAGCTGCATCCACGTTGCTGCAAAGGACATGATTTCATTCTTTTCATGATTTTCATTCTTTTTATGGCTGCATAGTATTCCGTGGTATATATGTACTACATTTTCTTTATCCAGTCCACAGTTGATGGGCACCTAGGTTGAATCCATGCCCTTGCTGTTGTGAATAGCACTGCAATGAACATACAAACATATCTACCAAAAAGAATGATTTGTTTTCCTTTGGGTATGTAACAGTAATGAGATCACTGGGTCAAATGGTAGTTCTATTTTTAGTTCTTTGAGAAATCTCCAAACTGCTTTACAGTGGCTGAACAAATAATTTACCTTCCCACCAAAGTGTATAAGCATTCCCTTTTCTCTGCAGCCTCGCCAATGTCTGTTATTTTTGATTTTTTGATAATAGCTATTCTGACTGGTGTGAGATGTTATCTCATTGTGCTTTTGATTTGCATTTCTCTTATAAAGAGTGAAGTTGAACATTTTTTCATATGTTTGTTGGCTGCTTGTATGTCTTTTGTGAAGTGTCTGTTAATATTCTTTGCCCACTTTTTAACAGGATTATTATTTTTTTGCTTGTTGAATTATTTAAGTTCTCTATAGATTCTGGGTATTAGATCTTTGTTGGATGCATAGTTTTGTGAATATCTTCTCCCATTGTGAACGTTGTCTGTTTACTCTGTTGATAGTTTACTCTGTTGATAGTTTATTTTGATGTGCAGAAGCTCTTTAGTTTAATTAAGTCCTACTGTCAATTTTGTTGTTACAATTGTTTTTGAGGACTTAGTCATAAATTCTTTGCCAAGGTCAGTGTTCAGAAGGATATTTCCTAGATTTTCTTCTAGGTTTTTTTTTTTGTTTGTTTGTTTGTTTGTTTTTTTGAGATGGAGTCTCACTCTGTCACCCAAGCTGGAGTGCAATGGCATGGTCTCGGCTCACTGCAACCTCTGCCTCTTGGGCTCAAGTGATTCTCCTGCCTCACTTGAGAACATGGGGCAAATCTCCTGGACACTGGCCTTGGCAATGGCTTTTTTGGTATTACACAAAAAGCTTAGGCCACAATACCATTCTGCCCAAAGCAATCTACAGATTTAATGCTATTCCTATCAAAACACCAATGTCATTTTTCACAGAATTAAAAAAAAAGATTACAAAATTCATACAGAACCAAAAAAGAGCCCCAACAGCCAAAACAATCTCTCCCGAGTAGCTGAGATTACAGGCTCCCGCCACCACACCCGGCTAATTTTCGTATTTTTAGTAGAAATGGAGTTTCACCATGTTGACCAGGCTGGTCTCGAACTCCTGACCTCAGGTGATCCGCCTGCCTTGGCCTCCCAAAGTGCTGGGATTACAGGTGTGAGCCACTGCACCTGGCCCTAGGTTTTTTATAGTTTGAAGTCTTTAAGTCTTTAATGTATCTTGAGTTAATTTTTGTATATGGTGAAAGGTAGGGATCCAATTTCATTCCTCTGTATATGGATAGCCAGTTATCCTAGCACCATTTATTGAATAGGGAGTCCTTTCCCCATTGCATATTTTCATTGACTTTGTCAAAGATCAGTTGGTTGTAGGTGTGTAGCTTCATTGCTGGATTCTCTATATTTTGTTCCATTGGTCTATGTGTCTGTTTTTGTGCCAATACCATGATGTGGCCGTTTTGGTTACTGTAACCTTATAGTATAGCTTGAAGTCAGGTAATGTGAGGCTTCCAGCTTTGTTCTTTTTGCTTAGGATTGTTTGGGCTGTTTTTGGCTCTTTTTTGGTTCTGTATGAATTTTAGAATAGTTTTTTTTAATTCTGTGAAAAATGACATTGGTGTTTTGATAGGAATAGCATTAAATCTGTAGATTGCTTTGGGCAGAATGGTATTGTGGCCTAAGCTTTTTGTGTAATACCCAAAAAGCCATTGCCCCATTTTGTCCTTTGGCACCATTAGTTGACCATATATGTTTTGATTTATTTCTGGGTTCTCCATTCTGTTCCACTGGTTTGTGTGTCTGTTTTTATGCCAGAGCCACACTGTTTCAGCTTTGTAGTATAATTTTAAATCAGGAAGTGTAATGTCTTTAACTTTGTTTTCCTTTCTCAGAATTGTTTTGGCTATTTAGTCTTTTATGTTTTCATGCAAATTTTAGGACTTTTTTCTATTTCTGTGAAGAATGTCACTGGGATTTTGATAGGGATTGTATTGAATCTGTATATTGCCTGGGTAGTATGGACATTTTAACAATATTAATTATTTTAATCCATAAGCACAGGATATCTTCCCATTTATTTATTTGTCTTCTTCAACAATTTCCTTCATCCATGTTTTATAATTTCCAGTGTACATATCTTTCACTTCCTTGGTTAAATTTGCCCTAGGTATTTTATTTTGTTTGTTGCTTTGGTAAATGGAATTTCTTTATTTATTTTTCAGTTAAGAATTAAAAAATTCTTATATATGTTATTCATGTATAAAAATGCTACTGATTTTTGTATGTTGATTTTGTGTCCTGTAAGTTTACTGAATTCGTAGTCATTTTTACTTTTTCCTTTCTGATTTGGATGCCCAGTCTTTTTTCTTTCTTTTCTTGGTCTGATATGCTTTATCAGATATAAAAATAATTATCCCTGCTCTCTTTTGGTTACCATTTGCATAGAATATCTTCTTGTATCCCTTCTCTTTCAGCCTGTGTGTGTCATTAAAGCTTAAGTGAGTCTCTTATTTTTTAGGCAGTATATAGTTGGATCTTATTTTTTTAATCCATTCAGACACTCATGTATTTTGATTGGATAATTTAATCAATTTACCTTCAAGGTTATTATTGATGGGTAAGAACTTACTACTGACATTTTCTTATTTGTTTTCTGGTTGTTTTATAGCTGCTCAGTTCCTTTCTTCCTCTCTTGTTGTCTACCTTTGTGAATTGATAATTTTCTGTAGTACTAAGCTTTGATATCTTTCTTTTTATTGTTTATCTCCTGTAGTTTTTTTGTTGTTTGTTTTTTGGTTACTATGAGGCTTACAGAAAACATCTTATAATCTACCACTTTAAACTGATAATTTCTGTCACATACGAAAAACTCTAAACTTTTAGTCTCCATCATCATTTATGTTTTTGATGTGTCAACAAAAAGAATCAGACTCTGTAAAGTATTTGAAGAGATTTATTCTAAGCCGAATATGCGTGACCAGTGGCTCATGACACAGCCCTCAGGAGATCCTGAAAACATGTGCCCAAGGTGGCTGGGCTCCACCTTGGTTTATGCATTTTAGGGAGACATAAGACATCAATCAATATGTATAAGATGTACATTGGTTTGATCTGGAAAGGCAGGACAACTCTAAGCAGGGGGCTTCCAGGTCATAGGTGGATTCAAAGATTTTCTGATTGGCAATTGGTTGAAAAAGTTATTATCTAAAGACCTGGAATCAATAGAAAGGAATGTCTAGATTAAGAGAAGGGGTTGTGGAGACCAAGGTTTTATCATGCAAGTGAAACCTCCTGGTAGCAGGCTTCAGAGCTCTTATCAGACCTAAAAAAGGTGCCAGACTCAGTTAATTCTCTCCTGGATCAGGGAAAAGACATGGAAAGAAATGAGGATTGTCTACATAAAGTATATTTTCCTCACAAGAGACAGGCTTGCAAGACCATTTCAAAATATATCAAAGAAATATAATTTGGGGCAAAATACTTTGATTTCTTTTAGGGTCTGCTATCTGTCATGTGATGCTATACTAGAGTCAGGCTGGAATTTGATGTCTTATTGCTATGAATAGTCTGCTTTGTCAGTCTTAACATCTGTTTTAATGTTAATGCTAGTCAGCTGTGCCTGAATTCCAAAAGGGAGAAGGGAATAATAAGGCATGGCCCACTCTGCTTCCTATCATGGCCTGAACTAGTTTTTCAGGTTAACTTTGGAATGCCTTTGGCCAAGAGGAGGGTCCATCAGTTGGTTGGGGGCTTTCAATTTTATTTTTAGTTTACAAATGTCACAACTTACATCTTTTATATTGTGTATCCCTTAATGACTATCCTGGTCATTTTTTATGTTTCAACTTTTAACCTCCATACTAGAGGTATGTATGATTTAAACACTACCATTACAGCATTTGAGTATTCTGAATATGACTATGTGTTTACCTCTACTAGTGAGTTATATACTTTCATGTGTATTCATGATAGTAATTATCATCCTTTTAGTTCTGCTTAAAGAACTCTCTCGAGCATTTCTTGTAAGGCAGGTATAATGGCAGTTAATTTCCCCAGCTTTTTCTTGTCAGTGAAAGTCTTTATTTCTCCCTCATTTCTGAAGTACAGCTTTGCTGGGTATAGTATTCTTGGCTAGCAAGTTTTTTTTTCTTTTTTCTTTGATTTTTCTCTCAGATTTTTGAATATATCATCCATTCTCTACTGGATTGTAAACTTACCACTGTGAAATCCACTGATAGTCTGATGGGGATACACTTATATGTGACCTGACACTTTTTTCTTGCTGCTTTAAAAATTATCTCTTTGTTTTGACTTTTGATAGTTTGATTATAATGTACCTCAGAAAGGACTTCTTTGAGTTGAATCTACTCGGGAACATTTGAGCTTCATGAATCTGGATGTTCATATCTCTCCCAAGACTTGAGATGTTTTCAGCAATTATTTCATTAAATAACCTGTCTGTCCCTTTCTCTGTCTCTTTTCCTTCTGAAACTCCCATAATGCAAAATTTATTTAATGGTGTCCCATAAGTTCCATAGGCCATCTTCACTCTTTTTCATTCTGTTTTCTCCTGAGTCATTTCAAAAAAATCTATCTTTAAGTTTACAGATTCTTTCTCCTCTGCTTGATCTAGTTTGCTGCTGAAGCTCTCTATTATTTTTTATCTCACTGATTAAATTCTTCAGCTCTAAGATTTCTGTTTGGTTCTTTTGTATGATATTGGTATTGTTTGGATGTGTATCCTTGCCCAAATCTCTTAATACCCAATATTGGAAGTAGTTCCTGGTTGGAGGTGTTTGGATCATGAAGACAGATTTCTCATAAATGGTTTAGCACCATCCCCCTTGGTACTGTCTTCATGATAGTGAGTGAGTTCTCCTGAGATTTGGTCATTTAACAGTGTGTAGCACCTCTGCCCTCATTCCCTTGCCTCTGCTTTCACCATATGATGTGTCTGTTCCCCCTTCTGCAATGATTGTAAGCTTCCTGAGGTCTCCCCAGAAGCAGATGCTGCTGTGTTTCCTGTACAGCCTGCAGAACCATGAACCAGTTAAGCCTCTTTTATTTATAAGTTACCCAGTCTTGGATATTTCTTTATAGTAATGCAAGAACAGATGAATACAGATATCTATCTCTTAGTTGAGTTTTTCATTCAGATCATGTGTTGTTTTCCTGATTTAATTGAATTGTCTGTGTTCTCTTGTATCTCATTGAGTTTCTTTAAGATTATTATTTTGAATTCCTTTTCAGGCATTGTGTAAATTTCCTGGGGTCAGTTACTGGAGAATTATTGTGTTCTTTTGGTGGTGTCATGTTTCCTTGTTTCTTGTGTCCCTGCATTGATGTCTGCTCATCTAGTGGTGCAGTTACCTATTCCAAACTTAACAGAGTGGCTTTTGTAAGGAAAGACTTTTACCTCCAGAGGGCCTAAGGGTGTCACTTGGGCAGAGTGTGGTGGTTCTGGCTTTGTGTAGGTTAGTGGTGTAGTTTCTTTGTAGCTTCTTCAGTTGTTATTTATGTTAACAATGACTGTGAGTGCCTCAGATGGCCTAGGCTGCAAGAGTTTGTGGCAGTGATCATGGCTGAGTAGGTTATTAGGGAAAGTGCTTCAGGGATCCTTTTGTCTAGTCTTCCTCACAGTAGGAAATCTTAGCTGAGGGGATCTCTTCATATTGGGTCTGGAAGACTCACAGGCAGCCACAGCAGCACTGCAATCCAGGGTTAGGTGCTCCGAGTGACTGTGGAGCTGGGTTCTTGGTCTCAAGGTCTTGTGAAACCACTGTATCACCTGGGACTTGCCATGAAGGTTCACTCTCCAAGGCACGAGCCGATGCATTTCTTTCACTAAGCCAAGGTCTGTTGCTCTGAGCCACATTCCAGCAGCTTGGGCCCAGAAGCCTGAGATGTAGCTGTAGTTCTGACATGGGGAGCCAGGGCATAGCACTGACACAGCTCTGGGGAAGAAGGGGTATACTCTGGAGGCTTGGGCCCTGAAGAGCAGGGAACAGTTTCAATTTGGAACCTGGAACCAACAAGGCACAGGGGCAACTCGGGATCTGAGAAATGAGGTACTATGTAGTGGTGATTCTGGGCCCTGGGATGGTGGGACATAGCAGTAGCCCAGGCTCTGTGAGACCAGGTACAGCAGCAGCAGGGACCCAGGAATTGCAAGATGTTGCTGTATCTTGGGCCCCAGAGGGAGGGGAGCACTACAGCAATGACCACTCCCTGGAGAGGTGGGATACCTCATTCGCTGGGACTGTGGTGGGGCTAATCTAGTTCCATATAGGTGGGGTACTTTGGCTGCAGCCTGGAGAGCAGGGTGGTATAGCCCAGCCAAGTCTCTGATTTCCTGAGATGTGAAACACTGCGTCTTCTCAGTCCCAGAAAGCACAGCTACGTGGCTCAGCAGTACCTCCTTTTGTGCTGGGAAGTACAACTATTCCACTATGCAGGATGCCCGAAGTCCCTGAGGGTGGGGCACTGCTTCAGCTGTAGCACCAGGTCAGAGGTGTGGCTGCTCCAGTAGTTCAATGTTCCAGGTCCCCAGGGATGGGGCAAAACTGCCGCTTGGCTGTAAGGGGAGGATGTACCAATGACTGGGTTGGGTGGAATGGAGCAGGTCTATAGTAGCTTGGCCCTAGCGGGTAGGAGATTGCAGCAGCTCAGCTTTGGGATGGTGAGCTATTGGTCGGGCATGGTTCGGTGGTAGTCGAGCCTCAGGGATGGAGGGGTGTAATGGCTGCTTGCCTCCAGAGCAGGACACACCATAGCAGTGGCTCTGGTTCCAAGATGGCACAGAGCAGTGGCAGCATGGGCCACAGAGGGGCAGGACACAGTGTTGGCTCTTTCTCTGGGGGTAGCTAAGTGTGTGGACTCCAGGGAGTCCCCACAGCTGGACTCTGATCCTGTGAGGACTACTGGAGTCTCCAGAAGTGAAGACTGCAGGTGTTCACGGTGGTGATGGGGGCTGCTGGGGTCCTCTTGCCTAACCTCTTACCTGCAAGGAGTCCTTCCAACTTCTGAGCCGATTCCACCCGGGGAGATGGGGTGGCAGAGGCAAGGTGTGTCCTTCCCTTCTCTATGTGGCCATCCTGGGATTCCGTGCTTTACATGATTTCTCTGCTTCTTTGCTGTTCTCTGGACTCTCCTTTAGTTATTTTGGTCAAAATGTCGTTTGTTTGTTGTTTTGGAGGGTTTTGTTGAGTAGGGGAGAGAGCTAAGAGTTTCTAGTTGGCCATCTCACTGACATCCCAATGATAATTTTTAAAGGAGTTAATATTTAGAAATGTTTAGAACAATGCCTGGCATATAGTAATTACCATTTAGTGTTTGTTAAATTAATATTATGATTTATTTCCGATATACTGTTTTTGTTTTGTTTTTGTTTGTTTTGAGACGGAGTTTTGCTCTTGTTGCCCAGGCTGGAGTGCAATGGTGCGATCTCAGCTCACCGCAACCTCTGCCTCCCAGGTTCAAGCAATTCTCCTGCCTCAGCCTGCCGAGTAGCTGGGATTACAGGCATGTGCCGTCACACCTGGCTAATTTTTTTTGTATTTTTAGTAGAGATGAGGTTTCTCCATGTTGGTCAGGCTGGTCTCAAACTCCTGACCTCAGGTGATCCGCCCACCTCGGCCTCCCAAAGTGCTGGGATTACAAGCATGAGCCACCACGCCCAACTTTTTGTTTTTGTTTTGAGACGGAGTCTCACTCTGTCGCCCAGGCTGGAGGGCAGTTGTGAGATCTTGGCTCACTGCAACTTCCGCCTCCCGGGTTCAAGTGATTCTCCTGCCTTAGTCTCTTGAGTAGCTGGGCTACAGGGGCCCGCCACCATGCCCGGCTAACTTTTTGTATTTTTAGTAGAGATGGGGTTTCACCGTGTTAGCCAGGATGGTCTCAATTTCCTAACCTCGTGATCCACCCGCCTTGGCCTCCCAAAGTGCTGGGATTATAGGCGTGAGCCACCGCGCCCGGCCCCTCCAATATGTTAATTTTCTTAACTTTCCCTCACTTTGAAAAACTCCCAGTTTCTGTCACCCCAAAAGTTCTGTTCAGTAAAATCACCCGTCAGGCAGAGTGAGGGCAGTGAAAACTCATCAGCTCCAGCCTCAGCTGCGACCCTATACAGATCATCAGTTCTTTAATTGTCTCTCAGTAATGCCTGCTGTTGTCCTGTGCCCAGCAGTTATCTCAGCCCTTCACTGCTCATGTCAAGGGCTTTACTTTACCATGTCCTGTCTCACTGAGTAGATGTTCTTACCTCTTACTGGACAGAAAAAAAGGAGGTCTAGTGTATACAACATCTACTTTTAGACCCCTGCAGCTACAACTTTTATCATTTGTATTCATTCTCACTATTTTCTACCTCCTAAGGACTCTGTCTTATCTAGCCTCCTTGCAAATGCCTTACTCTCCAGCATCTTCAACCTTTTCCTCTCCTCCGCTTTTTCTGCTCATCCTGTAGGTGTGAGAAGCAGTAAAGCCCAAGGCTGTGCAGGTACCCCGTATCCTGATCTTTTGGGTATGGACCTTGGCATTGCTGCTTCCTAACTCTGTGACCTTGGACAAATTACTTTGTTTAATAACTTCACTGTTGCTCACCTTCCTCTTCTGTAAAATGGGGAGAACAGTGTACCTATCTCATAGGGTGGCTGGAAGGATTGTATGAATTAATGTAAAACACATGGAACAGTGCCTGGCATGTAGCAAGTTCTCAATAATTGCACGTTATTGTGAGACATTCCAATTAAAAAAAACTTTCATACATGTCTTCTCTTAGCAACTCCCTTACCTCTCTTCCCTTCACATTTAAGTTTCTTGAAGAAAATAAGCAGCCTTTGATATTTTTGCCTTGCTCTAGTACTTACTTTTTCCTCTTTGTCAAATGCATTTCTCAACTCTCCCATTAAGCTACTTTTGCTTATAGCTTATAAAAACCAGTTTCTGTGTGTATGTGTGTGTGTGTGTGTGTGCGTGTGTGTGTGTGCACGCGCGTGCACGTGTGCATATGCTTATATTGACCATTATGGGGCATCTGACATTAAACCACTTCTTCATTCTTCAAGTCTGTCCCGGGGCCTTCCAAGATACCGTTTTCTTTTCTCTCTCTTATCTTTCTGGCCCAATCTTCCCGTCTTTTTCTAGGCTTCTCTGATACGGTTGTTATTCTCAGGGCTGTCATTAGCCCTGCCTTCTTTTTATTTTATTTTTTTATTTGTGTAAATTTATGGGGTACGAGTATAATTTGGTACATGCATAGATTGGCGTAGTGGTAAAGTCAGGGCTTTTAGGGTATCTATCACCCAAATAATGTACAGTGTACCCATTAAGAAATCTCTCACCATCCACCTGCCTCCTACTTCCTCACTCTTCTGAGCCTCACTGTCTTATCACTGGACACTCTACATCCATGTGAACCCTGCCTTCTTTTCAGGGTACCCATTGTCCTATCATCTTAGCCACATCTTCATTGTCCACTTATATGAGAGGACTATCAAACTGAACTCTGAATTCCAAACTCATCTATCCCAAGGCCTACTTACAGTTTTACTTAGTTGTGTCCCAGGCTCCTTAAAATTTCTCATATCCAAAGTTAAACTATTCATCTTCCCCACTGAACATACTCCCCCTTATTTATTCCATATACACATAAATAGCACCACCATGCACCTGTGGCCAAAAGCCAGAAAATGGAGTGCCATCCTCCACAACACCTTACTCACACTACCTTGATGCCTAGATGGTCTTAAAGTCTTAAAGATTCTGCTTCCTTATTACTTCTAAAATCTGTTCCCACCACCCTACTTCTACTGTCTTTTAGCTAATCTCACAATATTCAATATTTCTTGCCAGGATTATTGCAATTCCCTCCTGTTAAGTCTCCCCACTTAAACTCCAGCTGCACCAATCTACACTTTACAATTCTGCAGAGATGTCTTTTTAACATGCAAATATGCTTATATTATTTCTTTGCTTACACATTCCAATAACTCCTCTAAATAAAACTCTTAAGTTGCTTAGACTGACACAAGGCTCTCATGAATGTGTCCCTGCCTGCCCTTCTGCTTCTACCTTCTAGCATTCCCCTTTGTAAATCCTATGCACTTCTCTGAGCACATCATTTTCTGTCTTTTCTTTTTTTCTTTTTCTTTGAGATGAAGTCTTTCAACATTGCCCAGGCTGGTCTCAAACTCCTGGGCTCAAGCGATCCTCTCGCCTCAACCTCCTGAGTAGCTGGGACTACAGCCACGCACCACCATACCCTGTGATTCTCTCTCTTCTTACCTTCCTGGCTTTGCCTGGAATGTCTTTTTCTGGTTCTCTGATTGAATTTTACTCACCCCTAAGATTTATTCAGGCATTATCTTCTCCTGGTAGCCTTCCCTGACCACCTCTAGCCTGTGTTAAATATCCCTTTGATTCAGTTAGAAATTAGTTGCAGCTAACAATCTATTTAGCTAGCTTTAAAAAAAAAAGGCAGGGAGTTGGGAGGATTAAGTACTTATAAAATTATTGGAAGGGTTAGAGGAGCAGACTATAGGCTGGGTTTCCAGGAGTGACCCTCAAATTAACACTGCAGAACCAGCTCACCAAGGGATCACTGCCTCTGCCATGATCAGGAAGCCAGAAAAGAAGGAAGGTGCCACCACAATTCTTAGCTCTAGGTCCATACTGCCTCTGCCGAGATCCATGTCAGCATAGTGTCTAGGAAGCCAGGGGCCAAACACTGGCACCACTGTCACTGAAGAATCAAAAACCTCCACAGCCATGCATGTCAGTCTAAACAATGGCAGAAGTAATAGATGGTCTCTCCCTCATGGTAGCCACACACATGTTCCACGTCTTTCAGTCTTTGCTTCTGTTTGGCAGAGGCTAGGTCCATGAGGGGAAATGGAGCTGCAAGGAAACTGTGAAGTGTAGTCTTTAGTTTTCCAGTCCCAAAGAAGCAGAAAGGCATGCTAGAAGGAGGTTGGAATAAAGTACAGGGAGCCAGTACATGTATCTGCCTCCCACTTCTTTATGCTCTCATACCATCATGTACACCTTCCACAATATTGCCTACCATTCATGTTCTACTACCTGCCTCATAAATCATGCTGCTATAAAGACACATGCACACGTATGTTTATTGCGGCACTATTCACAATAGCAAAGACTTGGAATCAACCCAAATGTCCAACAACGATAGACTGCGTTAAGAAAATGTGGCACATATACACCATGGAATACTATACAGCCATAAAAAATGATGAGTTCATGTCCTTTGTAGGGACATGGATGAAACTGGAAACCATCATTCTCAGCAAACTATCGCAAGGACAAAAAACCAAACACCGCATGTTCTCACTCATAGGTGGGAATTGAACAATGAGAACACGTGGACACAGGAAGGGGAACATCACACTCTGGGGACTGTTGTGGGGTGGGGGGAGGGGGGAGGGATAGCATTAGGAGATATACCTAATGTTAAATGACGAGTTAATGGGTGCAGCACACCAGCATGGCACATGTATACATATGTAACAAACCTGCACATTGTGCACATGTACCCTAAAACTTAAAGTATAATAATAATAAAATTAAAAAACAAACAAACAAAAAAACAAACAAAGAAAATTACCTGTCCCTCTCATTTGACTAGACTGTAACCTGTCTGAAGGCAAAAACTATTCTTATTCATCTCTAAATTGTAACTGGCACATATTAGGTTCTCAGCAAATGCCCATTAAATGATTGAATGAACAAGAAATGTTGCTATTATCTTAGAATTCTACTTTAATCCAACAACCAGCAACTCTTATTAATTCTGTCCCCAAAACAGCCTGCCAGCAAGCTTGCATCATCTCACCTATTGCAATAATCTCATTATAAACTTCTATAATTTTGTTCCATTCTGTGGTATAACCTCTGTATCACCAAATGCCACTGATTTTAGGGAGGTTTTCTCTGTTACCTGCTCTTTATACCATCACCCCCTCCCCATCACTCTACATCTGACCAGCAGTTACTTTCACCCTCCTCTCAAGTTTTAGAGCAGTGCTTGTTACACTGTTACATGGGTCCCTGGGGTTCCCAGGGGTGTTTCTAGGGCCTCTAAACGGAATAGAGGGAGGCTGAGCAGGTGAGGTTCTGAGCCCCCTCATCCCCCTTCAGCCAGAGCAGCTCTGCTTCAGTCTGATTTGTGTATTGTGTTCCCATAAGATTGTGAAAAAGTTTATATTGCTATGGGAAAAAATTTAAAAACACTTTAAAAAGCAGTTTCTAAAGGGCTTTCTATGTGGATATAGCAGTCATCTTCTTGTATTAAGTTTAATTATGTATGTCTGCTACATAGGGGATTTTTGAACCCCCTATGTTTAATCTGATAGAGGTAGCCAATAAGCATTTGTTCTTTTGGAATGAAGAGCTAAGGCTTAAAGAAGACTTTATGGTAGGCAGCAACTTCATGCAGAGCTCTAAGCGAGAAGCAGGCTAGACTTTTTCTATTTCCCAAGAAAAACGAAAAGTGAGACCCAAAGGGTGCGTTACAGGAATGAATGTTGTAGATCCATCTAAACAACTGTCAGTTTGACCCAAGCAGCCGTGGACTGCCTTGCAAAAGCCTCCCTGACAGTGGAATCATTTGCCAGGAATATCATAGAAGTGATCTCTGTGGGGTTGACTGTCCCCTCAGAAGACCCTTTGACTTGTGCACCTCCTGATGATCTGTTTTCATTGCAAGCAGTCCACACTGAGACTCCAGATGGCTCAGTATCTGAATTTTTTGAGACTGTAATGTCAGCAGTATCTTTTTTAACCTGGAAAATGAATTGCTTTGATGCTTTTATTTTATTGAATTGGTTATTGTGTGCTTCTAACTAAAGAAAGTCCCCTAAGACTATTTTAGAAAGGCAGTCCCAGAACTGGAGTGCTGTCAGATGGGGGAGCCAAGGCTGTTGCCAAAGCAGTGTTGGCGTCTTCTGGTCACAGATTTGCTAGGGCAGCACATTTACAGGAAAATTTATAGCTTCTACTCCTTAGGAATAAATGGGAATTAACTTGACTGAGGTAATGAATTGTAGGGGCTTCTGTAATTGTCTCTGGGTGGTCAGCAGCTACTTGTCAGCAGCATTAGAAGTCAAGGGTTTACTTTGCTGCCTATTTTACCTTACGCTTTTACTGCACTTTGATTGAGTTTTCCCACTTGGAGTTTGGGTAAAAGTACATTTTATTCCCAGAACAACTAACTTTTTAGTAGAAACCAAAAGATTGCTTATTTATTTCCTTGTCTTGGGATCTTTTGTATGGTGTGTTTTTGAATGTACTGGCAGGGGAAACTAACAATGACCCTGGAGTTGCCATGGTTCTCAGAGAATTTTGACACAATATACTTAAAAATGTTGAAAGAATTTACTCACTACTGAACCAAGTACCCATCTTTCCTGGAAATGTTTTATAAGATTGAAAAGTACCAGATGTAGCTTGATAATTCTGTTTCATTAATATTATTCTAAATAATTCCAGAAGACCTGGCTAATGTCCTCGGGGAAGAATAGTTAGCACAATTAATTGTATTTCTATTTACCTTTCTATTTCCAGAGGTGATGGTTTAATTAAAGGCTTGTGGCATAATATTTTTCTTTATAGGGAAAACTGTTTGATTTCATGAATCTCATGTATTACACTAAGGAAACATACTCAACAAATAAACTTTGAAGAACATATCTTCATATTAAGACAGGATATCCTCTTCATCCTCAATTAGCCTTGGAATAGAAACCTAAACAAAAGTACAATGTATGAATTCTATTATAGATATTAGCTAACCTGGACATTCATACTAAATACATGACTTGTGTACAGCACTATATAATTTGTGATAGTCCGAATATTTTATTCTGCAGCTTAGTCCATCCTGTATCGCTTAGCATCTCGGACATATATGCGCACATACTGTGTTTGCTGCCCAATCCTGTTATGTCACCCTGTTAATTATTTGCAACACCAGCTCCTGGAATGGGTATTCTTTCTCATTAAACCATTGTCATGTAGCTAAAGATCCACCGTTAAATTCTGGTAAAATCATTAGATGTCTCATTTTCTTAAATGTGGTGCTTCATTAGCAAGATAGTTTAGTTATTCAGCATTTGCAACACAATGAATGAGAAAGGAGTTTATTTAATTGTCCATGGCTTAAGCTAACAGGATTAAAAACCCAGATAGTATGTGTTATAAGCATATGGCTCCTTTTCATGACTAATCACTTGAGATATGTAAATGGTGTCACCACAGAAGCAGCAGAAGGAAATATAAAAATATGTGATATAATTATATTTCAGAGGAGGAATAACCAATTATATTATACAGGATCAGCTCTAAAAGAATGAAGAAATGTCTTGTATGTGGCTAAGGATCAAACAGTGCTTTATTTTATATGCTCACACAAGTAAGTTCCAAAACCAAAGTCCAGGATTAAAAGGACTGTCATGAGGGATACAAAATGCTTAGTACAGACACAATCTTTGATGCAAATGTCACAGTTCTAAAAATCACTTGGTAGCACTGGGCAGCCTTTGAAATTTGGTTCATATGTCGTGCTTGTCAGTACGCTACCCGTTCTGCCACAGGCTTAAAATTGGTCCTTTCTTGGTTGATTTGGGGTGTGGGGGGAGGGAATGAAAAATGTGTTGCTCATTCATTATATGTACATGGCAACATCTGTTCCCTGCTAATGTTTCAGCTGCGGTGCTGCCATTAGAGTATGTTAAGTAACCATAGAAATGAACTTTCTGGTTGAAATTACTAAGGTAAAGGTAAAAATAGGTAGGCACGTTACTTGGGCTAATGTTCAGCTGGGATGCACCAGCTGCTGAAACACTACACGTTTTCATGTTGTTCGGTAAATAGTTATCATCCTGACACCTCCAAGTGCAATCTGCCCCGGCTGCCCCAGCTCCTCCCTTGGGACCCTCTAGATTTTACTATAATCCAGCCACTAAAGGGATAATGCCTGGTACAGCAAGGGCTCCAGGACCCTGCTGGAGCATTAGGTTCAATATTTTGAATGGCACCCCTGTAAATTGCCACACTTTCTGGAAAGGAGACTTCCAATAAAAGACTGGAATGTTTCTACCCCTCAATATTGAGCAGTATAGAATTATCCATTCAAGTTCCTAACAGGAAAGGGATGCCCACTGAAATTAAGATAATTTGATCAGAGTCTATTTATAAGGGAACTATTTACAAGATGTTCATTGGCAGGTGGGTGTGTGGGTGGGGCAGGGGAGAACCACAGGGGTAGTGCAGTAACCCAGGGCTAAGAGCAGCAAAGCTGCCCTCACCCTGGGCCCCAGTGCATGGAGGAGGGGTGGCTGTAATCTAGAGAAGGCTGCCTTGAGAGAAGTGACCTTAAATCAAGGACAGTCAACCTGAAGCAACTCTAAAGGCAGGGATTGCGATTAGCCATAGACAATGCGGAGGCCTATTTCCTTTAAGATCCCCATTGGCAGAACCCAGTGGGAAGCTAGGAAGTATGATAGCCCATTGACATGGTCTATAGGTTGTGGCTCCCGGGGCAGTGCTCAGAGTGGAGAGGGTGGAGAATGGACCTGGATGGGCAAAGGGAAGACACTCAGCCCACCATCCATTCATTGCCCTTCTCCTGTGGAATTTTTAAAAATAGTTCATACCCCACATGAAGTGCTCTACATTTCACAAGGATGAAATATTAAAATTTAGCTCGTTTCTTTAGGTGTATCACATTGGACTAGGAAATGTATATCTTTTTGTTTTGTTAACTAAGTTCATTCTCCATATTATATTTAATACCAAACCAAATGTATTTCTCTCAAATTGATTTTTCACAATCAGATTTACACAAAGTTTCAATATTAACATGCTAAAGAACAAATAAGTATGCAATTGTTCAGCAGAGATTCCTGAAAATAAAGTCACAGAAACTGACAGATGTAATTACTCCTGGGGTAGGGCCATGTAATTATTTATTCTCCATAAGATTGAGTCCTTGTGATGCCTGCAAGTGTGAAAATCCATCTCTGTGAGTAAAAACCTACTATTTGTCTTGGAAAGCTCACAGTTATTTCTGACCATACTAACTCACATTTCTTCCCCATACAAGAACAGATGCTTACTATTTACATGTTGAAAGACCAAGAGATAGATTATAGGCCAAAGAGAAACCGTGCTTCTTTTTGGTTTTGTTCCTTTCTAGCCTCACCTTCAAAATGTTGAGCATCCAGCAGCCTTGGTCAGAGTAAATTTGTGCTGCCTGCTACTTGCCTCCAGGTTCCAATTATCTATTGCCATGTACACTCCTTTGGCACTTTCACACTTTGAGGAAACCACAAGGTAGTGGAGCACATGTGTGACTAGCCAGCAGCAGGAGAAATGGCTTTCAAGATGTGGGACAGAAAAAATCCTATTGCCCCAATGACATAGTTAATTTGGGAATATTGCCACTCCCTTAATCCATGAGGGACCCTTGGCCACACTAGGGTGTTTGGACCAGTTACTCCCAGGGGTAACTTTTTTTTTTTTTTTTTTTTTTTTTTTGAGACAGAGTCTTGCTCTGTCACCCAGTCACCCAGGCTGGAGTGCAGTGGCACGATCTCAGCTCACTGCAATCTCTGCCTCCTGGGTTCAAGCAATTCTCCTGCCTCAGCCTCCCGAGTATCTGGGACTAGAGGGGTGCACCACCACACCCGGCTAATTTTTGTATTTTTAGTAGAGACGGGGTTTCACCATGTTGGCCAAGCCGGCCTTGAGCTCCTGACCTCATGATCCACCTGCCTCAAACTCCCAAAGTGCTGGGATTACAGGCATGAGCCACCACCCCTGGCCTCCCAGGAGTAACATTCTTATCCCCACTGCTGGTGACAGGGGAGAGCTGAGTTCTAGATTCCAGTTAGGCAAATCACATAACTTCTTGCGAGATGGCTATCATATTTGACTTAAGAAGAGTTTTGTGAGGACTGCTCAGTACTGGTGGCCTGCCCTGGCCAGAGGGACACTTTCCTTTTAGCCAAGATCCTGGAATGCCATTTCTACCTTTTTCACTCAGGGTGCTGTCAGCTCTCCTTGTGCTGTACTAAGATTATAATGTCCTCACCTCCTAGGATAAAACCTAGTGCAAATATATACAGCTTTGGATTTGGAGAAGTGTTTCATCCCAATGGAAGAGGAAAGGAAATGAGTTTTAAAATTCTCTGAACATTGAGTTGTTGTTTAACTCTATGCTTCAATTGGGTAGCAAGAAACTTGGATAATGAAAAAGTTACAGATAATTCTAAGTCACCAAACATTAGTTAAGGGCCTACTGAGTGCTCCACACTATACCAGGTACTAAAACATGATAGAATATGATGTCTACCTTGGCCTCAAGAAGCCTGTGGTCTGATAGGAGAGCACATTTAGACTTAGAAGTACCAGGAGTACAGAGTAGGGAGTGTTTAGCTGTTAGAAGGAAAATAAAAACAGGGAAGACACCGCTTTTTAGAAGAGGTGACACCTGAGCTGGGCTTTGACAGATAAATTCTTAGCAGAGGAAACAACCTAGGCAAAGGTATGGAGTATGAAAAACAGCATGGTCGGTTCAGAGAAGGCATGGTTGAGGCAGATGGGTCTGGAGAGGAGCAGAGATTGTCATGGAGAGCCTGGTGCTAGGAGTTTGGACTTTATCCATTATGGAATGGGGAGGTCATTGTAAGGTCTTAAACCAGGCAGGGACATGGTCAGTTGGACATGAACCATCAGCCTTATGTGCAGGAGATTAACTAAATATTCCTATTCCAAACATTTGTGTTGGACCTTAGCATACACTAAATAGCTTTCCAATGTGCTTTAATTTAAATAACAGTGAAATTAATTATATGTCAGTCAACAGACAGAAACCACATCAATTATTTTAACAGAGAGAATTTAATATAAAGAATTGTTAACTAGGTGTGGAGGAACTGAAAAGACAAAGAGTACATTACAGTATTCATGGTGGTAGTAACTGAAGGACAGCCCTAGAACTAGAGGGACATGGGAAGAGGTCAGAATTATTAAAACTTAAAAAGCTTTGGGGGATGGGGAGGATGGTGGTGGGGGTTGTACACTATGAAGTTTGTGAATATTAGAGAAACTGCAAACTAGAATCAACTGTTGCTACCAAATGAACTGCCTCTGCCAGGGTAAAGAAGTAGACTGCAGAGGCAGTGACAAGTAGGAAGCAACCAGAAAGCAAACAGAAAAAGGCAGGTTCCTTCTTCCTTTTCCAGCCTTACTGTCTCTGTCTAGCACTCCTTGACAGAGCCTACTCTGGAGCCAGCAGGCAAGAGAGTCCCAGCCCAGAGCCACAAGTCAGAGCATAGAAGTTTAGAGCTGAGAGATTATAGTTTCGTAACTAGCACGATTGCCATTCCCAGAGTGGATATCAGTGGATTACAAAAAACAGGACAGGCATCCTAGGAACTAAAGATTTCCTAAAACATTAACAGGTGTTCAATCACATTTTAGACTTATATTCATCATTATCTATGGATGCTACAACTGTCTTTGTGACCTCTGATTCTCATTTTCTTTAATGCGTGAAGACTTACTGCATAGGACTTATTCACATCTCACCACGCAAGACTGTTGGCTTGTAGACGATGGAATTTTAGGTGTAAGAAATGAATGGGCCTAGCACGTCAAAAAGTGAGCAGTGTCATCTTGGGCCTACAACATTGCACCTCTCTTCTCAGTCATCTTGGATTATCTGAGGCATATATGTCATTGATAGAAAAATCTTTACCTCCTTTAGTTCTTCTACTCCATTAATGTCCCTGCAAGTACTCTGCTTAAAGCCTAGCTTTTTGTAGGCCTTTGTACTTGTTTGTAGAATTAAACCCAGGTGTCTTGGAGTCATGTGGATTAAACATTTGGTTATGTGCTGCTTGTGTTTTTCTCCAGATGATTTCTATACCTAAGTCTTGTCATACCCACTAGGTGGCAGTCTTCTTGACCGCAGGTCTGTGTGGTGGGAAAGCACAGATTTAGAATCAACAGCACAAAGTTCAAATCCCAGTTCTGACACTTACTAAATTAGTGTTACTTAACTAAAGTTAGCAAGTGACATAATCTAAGTCTTAGTCCCTCATCTGCAAAATGGTGGACAGTATCTGTTTTCATTAGGTTGTGCTGGTGAAGTGAAATGATATCATAACATAGAACCTGGTACTTAATAGGTGTTAAATGACAAGCTTACCTTTTCCTTTCTTTATTTTCTATCTCTGTAACATATCTTTTCATACCAGGAATGTGTAATATTGGCAACCTGACTTACCAAATAGAGTAGCTGTGGAATCCTTTTAGGAGAGAAACTGAAATATCTTTATACAATGTCCCTTCTCCCCAGGCACCTAGAACATTGGGTACACCAATAACACTTTAAAATATATATATAATGATTGGAACTATTTCTAAAGAGGAAGGTCATCTTCAGTGTATGTAGACATGAGCTGCCGGATATTCTGTCAGAACAATAGCTATTCATTGTGTTAGTTTCAAAGCTGGCTCCGACAAGCTAGTATTTCAGTGTTATTCCCACACAAACAAATCTTGAGCAAAATTTCCATGACCCAATAGATTGGTGTAAACAACTCGCTGCAAGAACTTTTTACATGTAAACCCATGTCATTCATTCAAATGTTCAGTGCTTTCAGGGAGTTTTGTAAGTGCAGCCTAAGAATTAATGATTTTTAAAAAAGCAAAAACAAAAAACAAATGCTCATCAACCCCTACCCTCAGGATTGTGTTTTGTTGCAGAGTATATGCGGTAAATAGCTCAGTTCCTCCCACCATAGCTGTAGATGGGAGACACAGCCATCAGATAACATAGTCTGATGGGAAAGTCCTTTAAAGGCACTGAAACATTAACAGGCTGGCCGAGGCGTGCAGGCTGCCAGAGGTCCTGACTCCTGGGCCAAAGAATAATGACAGGCTTTCTATTTTTAAATAATAGTTAGCATTTGATAGCACTTAATATTTGCAGTGACCTTTACAGCTATTGTTATTAGTTATTCCTCCCAGCAGCTCTTTGAAAAAAATGACACAACTGTTTTTACTCAACTCCCCCAACTCCTTCTCCTTCCACTGCACTCACAGGATCAGTGGGGTTCTCAGCACATAGTGATGACATTTGCTTAGATGTAAGCTCCATTTCCTCATGAGCAGTGATCTCAGTGATAAAGAATCTTTTCAAGTCAAAACAATATTAAATACGGTGTGTTTTCATATATCCCGTGTGAGTCAGATCATGTCACTTCTCTGCTGAAAACCCTGCAATGCTTCCCCATCTCACTCAGTGTAAAGCCACGGTCTTTACAGTGGCCTGGAAGACTTGTATAATCAACCCCTCCTTCACTGCTTGCACCGACCTCACACTCCTCACCCCCTCCCCATCTCTGCCCTAGTCACATGGGCCTCCCTGTAGCAACTCCAGCCGCACAGGCTCTTGTCTTAGGCCTTTGCCCTGGATATTTCTTCTGCCTGAAATGTTCTTCCTTCACACGTGGCTGCCTCTGACACCTTCAGCTTTTGCTTAGATGTCACCTTTTCAATGAGGTCTCCCCTGCCAACCTAATTTAAAACTGCAGCTGTGATCAAGTACTTATTGCCTCCTAATGTACTATATTATTTACTGAGTTACTGGGTTTACTGTTTATTTTCTCTCCTCCACAAGACTGTAAAATCCACAAAAGCAGAGATCTTTGTCCATTTAGTTCACTGCTATATACCAAGCACCTAGAACAATACATATAGAAGGCATGTAATAAATATTTGTTGGATGAACAAATGCTGTTTCTCTAAAGATTGTTGTAATAGGTTTGACCTGTAGACTTAGAATGCATCTCAGTATGTGGTTTATCTTTATATTCCTTAGCAGTAGTTCCTAAGCTTGTTTTCCAACCATAGCAAACAGTTCATTTTGATAGTAATTCTGTAGAGCTAAATGAAGCACACAAATTCTAAAGGTTGGAAGGAAGTGCTGCAGCAAAGAAATGGATTTTGTAGGTGTTATAGTCCAACCACCCATCTATTCTAATCCCATCAACTGCATCCCCATGGGGCATTGTATCTCTCCATCTTTACAGAAAGGGAGAAGAGGACAGAGGTAAAAGAATAGGTTCTGTGATCAGGAGGCCCTGTCATGTAATTCTTGTTCCACCCATGTCTACTGTGTGACCTTGAACAAGATACTTTAGCCTCTTTCTGCCTCAGTTTCCTCATCTGTAAAATGGTGATAGAAACAACTGCTACCTCATAGCCGGTTTTTTCCCCTAACATTTTTTTTTTAACTGTGGTAAAATACGTATAAAATGTACCATCTTACTCAATTTTAAGTGAACAGTCTAGTAATATTAAATATATTCATAATGTTCTGCAATCATTACCACCATCCATCTCCGTAACTCTTTTCATCTTGTAACATGGAAACTCTATACCTCTTAAACAATAACTCCCATTTCTACCTCCTCCCAGCCACTGGGAATCACCATTCTACTTTCTGTCTTTATGATTTTTTATACTCTAAATGCCTTATATACATGGAAAATATAGTCTTTTTGTGACTGGCTCATTTCACTTAGCATAATGTCTTCCAAGTTTATCTATTTTGTAGCATATGTCAGAATTTCCCTCCTCTTTGAGGTTGAATAGTATTCCTTTGTATGTGGTGTGTGTGTGTGTGTGTGTATATATATATATATATATATATATGCCATATTTTGTTTATCCATTTATTCATCCATGTACTATTGTGTTGCTTTCACATTCATAGGGTTTTGTGATGATGAATGAGCTAAGGGAGGTAGAATTTGGCATATAGTAAGCACCAAATAAATACTAGCTGCTATTATTATTATTAATCCTGATTTTTAGAAAGTCCTTAACATTAAGCTTATTTCAGTTTTATTAAGTTATATACAACTGATATAACCCATGATATAACCCACTTTAATGACCTGGGGAGTACAAATAATAGATATATCTTTTATTCCCCTATTAGTTGCCAGAACATCTTCCTGATAATACTAATAGGAAGCCCAGTATCTCTCTCTTAAGGCCCTATCGCCTCTCACCTCTTCTAAACATCCAAGATTGCCAAGAACACTCTGGTCTTCATTCATTCCAAAAGGGCTAAGTCCCAGTTCTAAAAGCAAGCGGAGAAAAAACTGAGCAGTCCAAGTGGTCTGCCAATATTGCTGCTTCTTCCTGTGGGGTAATATTGAAAACTGGCTCTACACAGGCCAGCAGCCACTTCCCCACTGCTGCAGGGATTCTCTCACTGACTTAGGTCTTCTTCATGGACCTAGGACTTGGACTTCAAGATTACAGCTCTTTTAGTTCATAGTGCTCAGTCATTGTTCTCAAATCACACCCACAACCAGAAGAGTTTCTAGTCTCAGCCATGGGATACATGGGACCAGCCTTCTCACACCTCTGTACCCTTAATCCTGCTGGTAACACTGGATCATCAGTCTAGACTGTCCCTTTTCTCATGGTGAGTTTCCCCTTTGGAATTTTTGATGTCCTTTTCTCCTCCAGGCTTCTTGTGGGGTCTATCCTAACCCATCAGGAAGGTTCTAATAATGTCTCCTGCTAGGAGGCTCCTTGACCTCCCTGCAATTGTTCAGCCTTTCATCAGAGACCAGCTCTGCATAACAGGGGTATTGGAGGGGCAGGCTTTGTCAGGCCACATATAACTTCTACTAGACTGTCCTCTCCAGGGCAACAGAGTGTTAAATATCTCACAGCATCATGAGTAAGAGTGGCCCCTTAATGACTCTTTGCCAAATGGGGAAGATCGGTGTCCACTTAGACAGAAAAGTAACTGTCATTACCCAGCTATTTAATTTCAGGTTGCTTCCTACCAGATACCCTGTTACACTTCTGTTCACTGGGTCTGGTTCTACTTTTTTTTCAGACATGGGGTCTTGCTGTGTTGCCCAGGCTAGAGTACAGTGGTGAGAGCATAGCTCACTGCAGCCTCTAATTCCTGGGCTCAGGTGATCCTCCTGCCTCTGCCTTCCAAGTAGCTAGGGCTTGGAAGGTGCAGGCCACAATGTTGGAAGGTGCATGCCATGATGTCTGGCTAATTTAATTTTTTTTCTTTTTAAGAGAAGAGGTCTCTCTGTGTTGCCCAGGCTGGTCTCAAACTCCTGGCCTCAAGTGATTCTCTCACCTTGACCTCCCAAATTGTTGGGATTACAGGCATGAACCAACTCACCCAGCCTGGTTCTACTTCCTGATGTCAGTAGGAACCTCTTCCCTATGACAAAACTTCACCAAATGAATCCCCAGAGGCCTCAGCTTATTTTGTTCTCCACTGGCTCCCCAGCTTACTCACTGGGTAATCTTAGTCACATTTTTAACAATCACAGTTAATGTTTATTGACCTTACTATTTGCCCAGTACTGTGCTAAGTGCTGTAATATATTAACAAATTTAGTCTTTAAACAACCCCATCTACAAAAAGGTCACCTTTTTGTAGATGAGGTAACTGAGACTTAGGAATAAGGCTTAGTAGTAAGGCTAAGGTCACATATCTGTTAGAATTTGAGCACAGCCTCTTGGGCTCCAGAGCCCACAGCGATGCAATACTGTATCCCTAACTCAAATTTATAGAACAGAGATGCTTATCTCAGAGTGTTGTGGTGAGGATTGGATGCAATAAAGTGTGAAAAGTGATTCGCACTGGCTCTTTAAGTGTTCAAAAAATGTTCATTTGCCACCCTTTTCCTTCCATTCAAGTGAGCATCTCATATCTTAAATACTGCACATTTTTTAAGTGCCTGACACAGAGTGGGTGCTCATTGGGTAGTAACTACCCCCATTATTACAGTGCATGCTTTGAAGTCCCCTCCCAGTCCTGACTGTTCTCTTCTAGTTCAGTTGGATTCTTCCTTTCTTTTTTTTTTTTTTTTTTTTTTTGAGACGGAGTCTCGCTCTGTGGCCCAGGCTGGAGTGCTGTGGCTCGATATCGGCTCACTGCAAGCTCCGCCTCCTGGGTTCATGCCATTCTCCTGCCTCAGCCTCTGGAGTAGCTGGGACTGCAGAAGCCCACCACTATGCCCGGCTAATTTTTTGTATTTTTTAGTAGAGACAGGGTTTCACCGTGTTAGCCAGGATGGTCTCGATCTCCTGGCCTCGTGATCCACCCGCCTCGGCCTCCCAAAGTGCTGGGATTACAGGCGTGAGCCACCGCACCCGGCCTCTTTCTTTCTTTCTTTCTTTCTTTCCTTCTTTCTTTCTTTCTTTCTTTCTTTCTTTCTTTCTTTCTTTCTTTCTTTCTTTCTTTCTTTCTTTTCTTTCCTTCCTTCCTTCCTTCCTTCCTTCCTTCCTTCCTTCCTTCCTTCCTCTCTCTCTCTCTCTTTCTTTCTTTCTCTCTTTCTTTCTTTCTTTCTTTCTTTCTTTCTTTCTTTCTTTCTTTCAGGTTCTCACTCTGTCACCTAGGCTGGAGGGCAGTGGTGCAATGATGGCTCACTAAGGTCTCAAACTCCTGGGCTCAAAGAATCCTCCCACCTCAGCCTCTAAAGTAGCCACCATGCCCAGCTATTTTTTTTTTTTTTTATTCTTTGTAGAAACAGGGTCTCACTATGTTGGCCAAGCTGGTCCTGAACTCCTGGCCTCAAGTGATCCTTCTGCCTCAGCATCCCAAAATGCTGGGATCTAAGATCCAATCTAAGATCCAGCTGAGGCACAAGCCACCACACCCAGCCTCAATTGGATCTTAGATTTTGGTGCCCAGAAGTGTACATGCTACACCAGGGGTGGGCTTGAATAAAGCAGAGTGGAAGGGGACAATCACCTGCCTCCCCAGAGTGCACGATGTCCTATTACTAGTATGTTTAATAATACTAATATTAGTATAATAGTATACTAATATTATTAGTATATCTTAGGAGACATTACTATTTCTGCTAGTCATTTACACTGTCAGTATTGAAATTATGGTCAGTCAGATCCTTGACATCTCTTTACTTAGGCTGTTGCTCGTCCACACCTCACTTGGCCTGCCTTTCATTTTTCCTTTTAGAAAAAAAAGAGATACCTTTTCCAAAAATATCTTCTTTTTTTCTGATTAAATACTACAAGTTTGTTGTGGAAACTTTGAAAATGCAGAAACGTACAAAGAAGGAAATCAAAGTTACCATGAACAGCATGATCCAGAGATAACCTCTGTTAATATCTGCATATGTATATTTCCAATATGTGTATGTGCTTCTTTTTTATAAAATTAGGATCATGCTGTTTGCCATTCAAAATATATCCTGAGTCTGACACTTTTCACCATTTTTTCCCAACATAAGTCACCTCTATCTTTTTCTTAAACTACTGTAAAACTACTAAACTACTATCCCCTAAAATTGGTTTCCCTGCTTCCATTCTTACTCCCCTACACTCTGTTCTCCAAAAAATAACCATTGTGATCCTTTAAAATCCTGACTCTCTCCTGCTCAGAGTCATCCAGTGGCTTCCCATATCACGTAAAATGAAACCCCAATCGCTCCTTACTCTGGCCTGCAGGGGCCTGTGTGATGGGCCTTCTCCAGCTTCGTTCTTCCTTTCCTTCTGTTCTCCCCTCTGCTTACCTACTCCATCTCCAGGGCTTCTTTCCAGCTCAAGCCCTTTCCTGTTGAGAGCATTTGCTTTCCCCAGCGCTACGAGGCTCAGTCCATTTCAGCCCCTGATCCCATACCCTCTCTCAGGGACCACCTTGCCCAAACAGTACCTCTGCCTCCATCATTCTCCTTTCCCTTTCCCTGATTCATTTTCCTTATTAGAGTAATTAGTCTTCTGTAACATGACTGTATTTTTATTTATGTACATATTTATTTGCTTGTTTATTTGTACCCTGTGATCTACGTCTTCCCATTCTCCCACCCCTGGCCACTGGTAATGACTGTTCTACTCTCTGCTTCTATGTATTTGATTTTTTTTTTTTTTTTTTTTTTTTTTAGACGGAGTCGCATTCTGTCTCCTAGGCTGGAGTGCAGCGGCACGATCTTGGCTCACTGCAACCTCCGCCTCCTGGGTTCAAGCGATTCTCCTGCCTCAGCGTCCCAAGTAGGTGGGACTACAGACACCCACCACCAAGCCCGGGTAATTTTTGTATTTTTAGTAGAGACAGGGTTTCACCATATTGGCCAGGCTGGTCTTGAACTCCTGACCTTGTGATCCGCCCGCCTTGGCCTCTCAAAGTGCTAGGATTACAGGCGTGAGCCAGCACGCCCAGTGTATTTGATTTTTTTAAGATTCCACATATAAGTGAGATAATATAATATTTTCTCTATGTCTGGCTTATTTCACTTAGCATAATGTCCTTTTTATGTTGTCACAAATGGCCGGATCTCCTTTTTTAAGGGTGACTAATATCCCATTGTGTATATATATCTATAGATATATATAGATATCTATAGATATCTATAGATACATATACACACACAACACAATTTCTGTTTTCATCCATTTGTTGAAGGACAACTTTAGTTGTTCCATATCTTGGCTATTGTGAATAATGCAGTGAACATAAGAGCACAGTTATCTTTACGAGGCGGTGATTTCATTTCCTTTGGGTATATACCCAGAAGAGGATGCCAGGTCATATTACAGTTCTATTTTTAGTTTATTTAGGAACCTCCCTACTGTTTTCCACAATGGCTGCACCAATCTACATTCCCACCGCATTGCAAAGGGGTTCCTTTTCTCCATCCCCTTGTCAACACTGATCTCTTGTCTTTTTATAATAGCCAACCTAACAGGTGTGAGATGATATCTCATTGTGATTTTGATTTGCATTTCCATGATGATTGGTGATGTTGAGTACCTTTTCATATAACTGTTGGTTATGAAAGTATAAAAAGTAATTTTTATACTTTCTTTGGAGAAATGTCTATTCAGGTCCTTTGCCTATATTTTAATCTGGTTATTCATATTTTTGCTTTTGAGTTGTGTGTGTTCCTTATATGTTTTAGATATTAGCCCCTTATCAAATATATGGTTTGCAAATATTATCTCCCAACCTGTAGGCTGCCTTTTCATTTCGATTGTTTCCTTTGCTGTGCAGAAGCTTTTTAATTTGATGTAGTCCCACTTGTTTATTTTTGCTTTTGTTGCCTGCCACATGATTTTAATGGCTGTAATAGTCTATCATATGTATGTACTATAAGTCTCCTATTGTTAGACTTTTAGGTTGTTTTCCTTCTGGGGTAGTGTAAGTTATAGTCAATATCTTATTTTTACAGCTTTCATCTTGTGAGATTCCATCACTTCCTGACACAAAGTGATCCCATTTATAATGGGATCCCATTTATAATGATAATTTCTATAATCAGGTACTATTCTAAATGCTTTACGTACTAATTTAATCTACCTCATATAGTAAGGTATATACAATCATTATCTCCACTTTCCAGATAGGGAAATTGAGTCCGATAGTGTAAGTAACTTCTTTAACATCACACAATTAGTAAGTGGTAGAGCTGGGATTCCAACAGGTCTCTACTTCCGCAGCCTGAGCTCTCAACCCCTCCTCCACCTCACCAGCTGCCTCCTGATCTTTCTCCCAGCAGATGTCAGCAAACTTCCTTTGTCTTGCAGATCATTACTGTTTTTGTATAGAGAGGCACTGAAGACCAAGTCATGTGCCAATTCACATCTTTGTACAGAATAATATTATCCTGTTCTCCAGTCCTTTTAGCGGATTATAGCTGAGCTCCTCTGAATATTCCTTACTGTATTATCATGGAGCTTGTATTTCTCTACCTTGTCCACAAAGAAAGTGTGCTGACTTGTTTGTCACCATTTTCTAACTAGACAATGGAACAGTTACTACCTGAGGAACCCTGTCAGAGAGGAGATGAGGTTAGTCTGACCAGCATTCATCTTCCTGGGTCAACACAAGGTGTCTAAGCTGCGTTAGAATTTTGCTAAAAGTCCCTGTTAATAAAACGGAGACATTTGCCCCTCTGCAAGTTTCTGCAAGTTCTACCATGCTTCATAAAGTCTCATATATTATAATATTTCCATTTTTTTCAGATGTCAGATATTGTAAATGAATTCCTGTTATTTTAGGGTCCTAGAGCTGCTTATTTTACTGTTCCTGTTGCAGTGAGTATTGGGGTGCCTGTATAGACGGTGCTGAGATGTAATTCATCTGAGGCTGGAGACTTAAATGCAGCAGCCAGGTGCTCTCCTCCTACTTCCTCACTATCACAGACTTTAATTTCCTCTTGGCCATATTTTTGTTCTTCTTTCTGGCTCGAAGGTCATTCCTGATAAAGAAGATGGAAGCAAACTAGGAGTTGAGTAATTCTGTTTTCACTGTATCATCTCTAAATTAACTGTGTCATCTGCCCCCAGCAGGAGGCCAAACTCTTCTCTTGTTCTTTTTCTTGTTCTGAACCCACCCCAGTGGCTCCTGGTGTATTTTATGTGTGCATTCTCCTGTGCCCCAGCCTTCTACTTCCGTGACTTGATTCTTTCTTTTGATGCCACTCCTTTGTATCTGCTGTTGGCTGCAAATTCCTCCTTCCTGCCTTTGTGAGTGTCCTTGTAAAATATAAGCTCATTGGAGACAGTAATTTTTTTGGATAGTTCCCTCTCTTCCTCCTCTCCAGAGTAGAGTCAGAATTAAATTAGGTGGAGCCTCCAGTCTTTCTAGAACCAAGTTCTACATGATTAGAGTCTCTGACCATGGAATCAAAGAGCATTTAGCCTTGTGCCTTACATATAGGAAGTCTGCAATAATGGTAACAATAATAACAACAATAATAACCTTTACTGAGTGTTCACCATAATAGTAAACCATACTAGGGGCTTTATATATGTGATCTCATTTAATTCTCAATGTTGACATATAAGGTAGGTCTTATTATTCACGATTACAGATGAGGATATTGAGATACAGAGAGGTGACATTTGCACAGCCGTAAGGACAGCGCCAAGAGCCTGACTCAGGTCTGTCCAGATTCCTGAGCGTGTACTTTAACCTCCACATTCTGCTGCCCTCTGAGATTTAATCCACTGAATCACCTTCTTTTCTCTGGACTTGTAGAGTTCTTCATTCTTGCAGTCTCAGGAACATAGACGGCTTGCATTCACTTCCTTGGCTCTTGAGAATCACATAGTGACAAGGTCCTTTTCTGTCTAAGTGCCAGTCGATTCCATTGTGTTATCCACCTAGTTCACCTTTAATGGCCAAAATTAGATCCAAGCAGTAGCTCCCTCACAACATCCTTGTCCCTCTGTGACATGAAGTTGTCAGTAGAGCAAGGCCTGAGTGAATTGGATGCTCTGCTTCTGACAGAGTGGGGCTCCTAACAGACCTCTGGATTGTTCTTCCATCATCCCTCAGCCTGCAGAGAACAGAGCCTGATGGTGGGAGTGACAGGTACACCTAATGGGTGGGCCCAAGGGCAACCAGCCTCTCCTTGCCCCCTCCCCACTGAGCTTTCTGTGCTCTGGGAATATTATGCTGGCTTGAAGGTTTTTCTTCAACTATGATTTACATGCCACCTATTCTCAAAAAGAATGTGAAGTAATTTACAATAAAACATGTCTAAAACAAGACAATTAAAACATATTTTTAAAAGAGAGGCAGATGGAGAGAGGTCAGAAATCACTTGGTTTGAATCCCTGACAAGAAGTTATAGCACATGAATGCATTTTGATCAATTCTCGATACAAATGTCTGGGTGTGTAGGAATGGGGAAAAAACTCTGCGGAGTGGGGAACCTTGAACCTCATGGGCCCCATCCTCCACCTGGAGCCAAAATCAAGTGACATCATGCCTAGCAATGCCTGTGAAAATATTAATTCAGGCCGGGCGCGGTGGCTCACGCCTGTAATCCCAGCACTTTGGGAGGCCGAGGCGGGCGGATCACGAGGTCAGGAGATCGAGACCATCCCGGCTAAAACGGTGAAACCCCGTCTCTACTAAAAGTACAAAAAATTAGCCGGGCGTAGTGGCGGGCGCCTGTAGTCCCAGCTACTTGGGAGGCTGAGGCAGGAGAATGGCGTGAACCCGGGAGGCGGAGCTTGCAGTGAGCCGAGATCCCGCCACTGCACTCCTGCCTGGGCGACAGAGCGAGACTCCGTCTCAAAAAAAAAAAAAAAGAAAATATTAATTCATACTATCTGTCTCAGGAAGCCTCGGGGAAGGCAGCAGAGGAACCGCTGCATGTGTGAACTCTAAGTTTAGTGTAGCCAGTTTGCCCAAGGGTCAGAGCCAAGATAATTCATCACTGTCACAGACAAAAGGCCTCCATAAATTTGTCTTTAAATTTTAATACCTAAATCACATATTATACAGACAGAACTCACACAACCCATCTATTGCTCTGTTATAATTTTTAAGGACAAAAATGGTATAAATCATAACAGGACTTTTAAAATTATCACAGTTGTTTCAAGAGATGCTATGCTATAGCTTTTCTGTTAGACAAGATTCCAGTAGGAAATGGATGACTGAAGAATGAATGAATGAATGAATGAATGAGTGAGTGCCTACATGGTCCCATGACACCAGTGAATCAGTTTCATACTAGCTGTGACAAACAGTTCATTCAGTAGAGCTGAGCATGACTTCTGGCGGCACTTCCTGTCATGATGTAGGCTGATACTGTGGGAGCTCTGAGTCAGAACTGCAGCCAGCAACATGACTCAGGGCATTGAGGTCAGGGCAGGGGAGCTCAGGCACTCCTCTGACCCTTGTCTAGGTGTGCACCTACAACTCCCTTGATAGGTTTACATATGACCAACTTCATTTGATAGACAGAAAAATAGAGAAGGAACGTTGGTGATGGAGGGTTGGCTTATGACTTTCTATATCATTAGAGATGTAACAAACACTCGCAGTGACCAGATGAATCAGAAGGAAGATTTCTTGAGGTCCCTGGTAGGCATATTTCCTCTTACCTTCAATTCTATGGGGCATTTCTGTAGTTTGTTGAATGGAATCAAAGTGTTAAGGCAACCTAGAAACTAAGTACTAGCCAGGTTCAGTTAGAGGCAATCAAACAATGAAATATCAGGCAACAGATTTAACTAAAACTGTTCTCTTAATCCTTTTTTTTTTTTTTTTTTTTTTTTTTGGAGACAGAGTCTTGCTGTGTCACCCAGGCTGGAGTGCAGTGGTGTGATCTCAGCTCACTGTAACCTCCACCTCCCGGGTGCAAGCAATTCTCCTACCTCAGCCTCCTGAGTAGCTGGGACTACAGGCTCCCGCCACCATGCCCAGCTAATTTTTTGTATCTTTAGTAGAGATGGGGTTTCATCGTGTTAGCCAGAATGGTCTTGATCTCCTGACCTAGTGATCCACCTGCCTCAGCCTCCCAAAGTGCTGGGATTACAGGCGTGAGCCACCATGCCCGGCCTCCTTTCTGTTTTCTTAATGTGAAGGTTTTTAAGTATGTAGGTATTCATGGGAGAAGTAGTAGTTATTTGTTGTAGGCAAATACTGGTGTTCTCTCAGCTATAGGAAGTCATTAAAGATGGGAATGATTAGGATAGGGAAATGGCATTCGTAAGTCTGGGTGTGGCTATTTTTTTTGTTAGCTTGATAGAATTTGATAGGCAATGATTTTTAAACTTTCTTGTAAGGCTGGATTAAAATATATAATTTAAAATCTTTGGGGTGATATTATAGTAAAACCCAGTCTCCACAAGTGATTGTGTGAATTTACTCAATGCATCAAGTATTTGTTGATCACCTGATTGTTAACCATCCATCCATCCATTAATCTATCCATCTATTCATCCATCCATCCATCCATCCACCATTTATGCATACACTACTTACTCAGCATATGTTATGGGCTGAATTGTCCCGCCTATCACCCCAAATTCATATGTTGAAGTCCTAACCCTCAGTACCTCAGAATGTGACTATATTTGGAGATATGTCTATAAAGACGTAATTAAAGTGAGGGTGGGCCCTAATCCAATTTTACTAGTATCCTTATAAGAAGGGGAAATTTGGACAGGTGTGTATAGAGAGGAGACTACGAGAAGACACAGACAGAAGATGGCCTTTTACAAGCCAAGGAGAGAGGCCTTAGAAGAAACTAACCCTGCTGACACCTTGATCTCAGGCTTCTAGCCTCCAAACTTGTAAGAAAATAAATCTCCGTTGTTTAAACCACTCAGTCTGCAGTATTTGGTTATGGTAGCCCTAGCAAACTAATGTACTTCCAATATACCAGTGCACTATGCTGGATATGATATGCTAGATAATACTATGCTATACCAGTGCACTATGCCAGATAATACATGTACTTCCAATATACCAGTGCACTATGTTAGATATGAATGAAGTATCATCTCTGCCTTCAAACAGCTTCCAGCCTGCTAGGTACAAAACACTGCTAAGTGTCAAGGAAACTATAAAGCTACAGTGATGAATCAAACCTTTAGTTTCATGAGGTGCTTAACATTCTATAAAACCAGCCCTTGCCCCCATTGGTTTGTATGGGGTTACAATTGGCATGTGCCCCTATTTTATTTTGAATTCTGACCCCAAAAAATGTTTTTGCGTATGTCAGTTGGGAGTTAAGTGAAATTTATATCAGCCACAAGAAACTAAAACCTGAAGAGGTATGAGAGGTTGTGTTTTACTTTTTAATTCATATAGCATGATTTAGGTATAAAACAGCCTTCAGAGTATTTTTGTGGCTTTAAACCCATCAGAAAACTCATTTTTGCAGTAAAATCCTATCTTCATGGCAGATCCATTTATTCTGGGATCACACAGCTTCGGCTGATCTCCAGAGTAAGCAGAAGATACAGTAGTGACAGCTGGCAGCCTCGCTCACTTAGATTCTGTTTGTGCAACTGCTGTTAATATGGAGCCGCTAACCTAGGAAAAAAATCATGGCTTGAACCAAGGTGGAGGACATGGAGCAGGGCCCTGTGGCTTTTGGAGTAGAAGTGGTCACACACGTTAACAAACAGCATGAACCCAAACTATAAAAACATAGAATTTTGAGAGCTCTAAGGAAATTTGGATGTTATCTGGTCAAAGCCCTCATTTTGTAGATTTGGAGCCAGACACACAGGTTAAATGTTAAGTGGCTTGCCTACGGTAAAAAGGCTAGCTAGTAACAGAAATAGGATGAAGACGTGTCTCTTGCTCTGAGTACAGCTGTCTTTTCTGCCACTATAGGTTTGGGTTTGGGAAATTAGTAGCCCAGAGCTGATTCCCACACAAACACCGTGTCTGTAATTCAGGTGTGTTGCTGCTGAATAGAGTGTTGTCTATTCTTAGTGTTGGTCTGAACTGCTGGGCTTCCTATCTGTATTGGAAACTGAGTCAAACAAGTATAGCCCTCTTCTTCCACCCAAAAATAGAGCTGTTTATCCCTCACCCCCTCCCACCCCCTCTGCTCAGGTGATGGGTACACCAAAATCTCAGAAATCATTACTAAAGAACTTATTCTTGTAACCAAACACCACCTGTTCCCCAAAAACCTATTTAAATTAAAAAAAATAGAGCTGTTTAATATAACAAATGTAGAATGAATGCAAAGAGAAAATGAATGCCTCTTGGGTACCAGCTGTGTGGCAAGCACTGTGCTGGCCCTTCATGGCAACTATGAGGAAACTGAGGTTGAAGACATTGTATCTCTTGTTTAAGATCTCACAGTACCAATTGACAGTTCTAGGATTTGTTCTATTCCAGAGCCTACAAGTTTTCCACCAATCTATGTTCCCTCCCTCAGCATAATTAATAATTGTTATACTATAAGGCTAAACTAAATTTATATCAAGATGTCCCAGAGAGTTATATCTTATTTGTTAACCATTAACTTTTCCCAATCAGACACTTAATGCAGCACTAGTTCCATCTTAAGACTAGAACAGAACACCATGGATGATGATTTTGAACCTCTTTTGGCCAGAAATGTGCCCAGAGTTCTAAACCTTGGACAGCTTTGCATCAAGACCTTTGGAGGCAGCTTTCACCTACTCATATACGTGATTCACCATCTCCATGGGGCCCTCTTTTCTTGATTATTAGGTCTGACTTTATTTACAGCTGAAATGTGATTCCCTTTTATGAAGATCATTTTTTATTCCAAAAAAGACCTTGGGTATTATGTCCTGTTCTCATGGTCAGAAATCTGAATGCTTCAATATACTGCATTTTGCTTTTCTTTCATAGCCAAATAAAAGAGAAAGACCACAGTTATACATAGTGTGTCAGTCTGGCTCACTCAGATTATGTTTGTAAAATTCCTTTTTCTATAGAGCTAATATTTACTCAGCACTGATGTCCCAGGCACCATATGGTATCCCAGGGACCATACTAAGCCCTTTCTATGGATGGTCTCTCTTAAGACTCAGAATAACCTTTTGTTTATAAACTGTCACATAGGAGGGTCAAACAACTCAGCCTGGTTCATACTGCCATCAAAAAGCAAAGCTGAGCTTCGAACCCAGGCTGTGTGTGCAAATCCCTGAGCTTTCAAACCACTGTGCATGCTGTCTCCCAACTCTTTGTTTTTTCTGTGCCTTTCTCTAGCCAGGAGGTTTTTCTCCACCTGCCCATTTATCTTCCATAATTCTTGCTCTTGGGACAGATGATTTCCAAGGTCCCTTCAAGTATTGAAATTCCATGACTGATTAAAAATTATAATGTATGCAGTTTGATTAATTTGCACTAATGCCTGAGTTCATTCACAATGTTAATTTCTTTACAAGGTTCCAACAGTTTTTTAACTTACAGATCTCCTTCTGATGTTAAAGGAATCATGCTGCTTTTCCTATAATAATATTTAAGTCCCCAGTTTTAAAAACATAAGGTTTAAAAATATATCTGAAAGGATTTTACCATGCATGCAACACACCAATTTTCCATATGGACCAAAATAGTCTTTTTAAGACCCTGTTCTCTCAGTTGTCTTTCCCAAGTCTCACAGATGCAGTGCTAATTGCATGCAGCTTCAGGTCCTTTATAACATGAGGTAACAATTTCAGTGTCTTGGGCTTGAATGCTGCATTTGTTAGACATGCCAGGCCTGGAATTGGTGTCAGCTCGTCAGGATGCTGAATCCACATGGAGAGCAACTCATCTGAACGTTGGGAAGCTTCCTGGAGAAACTCCTGTTGTGCTCCTCTCAGGCATGGCGTGAGAGCCAGTGGTGTGACTGGTTCCTTAGCTAGGATGCATCTTGGTCAGACTTGGCAGCACTGGGTGATGGCTCTTTGGGACCAGTGCAGGTATTTGAGTCTCTCTAGTCAAGTTGTACTTGTTGAAGAATGATTCCAGAAGTGACGTTTATTCACAGACCTACTACTTGGGCTACTTGGGCTAGCTCCAAGTGTCTGAGTGGCTCGGCGGCTGAAGGCAGACTGCACTTGGGACACATCTAAAATTCATTCTGACTGGATTGAGAAAACAAGGAGACCAAAAAGAAAAGAAGTGGCAGGATTCTGCAATCACATCTGTAACTGAGGAGCCACGGGATATAACTTTGGAGAATATCTTGACCTGATCTTGCTTTGCAGCTTGTCTGTAGTTCTAGTCTTTAGAGTCGCGGAAGCCTGAGTTCCCACCAAGCTCAGCTCTTAATGGCTGTGTGATAATGAAGACGTCACTTGATCTTCCTGAGCCTCAGTTTCTTCATCTGTAAATTGGGATGAGATACCTCCCTCATGGGTCTGTTGTGAGGACAACATGTGATGATCCTGCCAAAGCTCTCTAGGCACTCTGTGCTTAGCTGTGTGGCCAATGCACAGTCAGCAGCGACACGATGCTATTTTTACTGCCTTCTTTCCCTCTTTCCCCAAGAGGACACACTCCTCTAGAAAAATAAGGTTCATGCAAACCTGCACTTTAAGAGCATTTATACAGATGTGCACGATGCAGTGCATGTGTCTTGATGGGGCTTTGTTAAATTGAATTTTAAAATTGTGTTTTAAATATACTTAGGGAAGTACAGAAAGGTACCCCAGAACAGGTTGTTTTATAAAGACAACAATAATTTCTGAATTATTTTCATTTCAGCTTTTTATATACTGTGTAGTCACAAAATGAGAGACCCTCCCCCACTCACCCCACCCTCACAGCTCCCCAGAGGAACAATAGCCATGAGCAAACAGTGCTTGCCTCCTGACCTTCGGGTGTTTCTCCTAAAGGCTAGCTCATTTAAGGGCAGCAGTCAGGGGCTTGCTACTCTTCGCAGCCCTGTTTCTTTTCTTGTGATGAGAAGAAACAAGCCCAGGCTGACAGCTGGCCAAGACTTGAACTAGAATGTTGAAGTTGAAAAGTCAAAATGGGTCTGTGTCAAAGGACTAGCAGAGGGGAAGGGACTGTCCTCCGGGGAGCTGAGGAGTGAGGATGGTCCTCACCTCGATCCAGCGATCAAATTCCCCAAGTAAATCCATGTAAAACATGAACTGTGGCCAGCACTTGTTAAGCAAGGAATATTAAAAATCATTGTCATTACTGCTGCTATTATTGTTACAGGCTTGTTCCAAGACTCTGGGTTTTGGCTCAGCTTGTCTAAATGGTCTTCCATCTTAAGGAATCAAGGGGTAGATTTTGGAACCACTAGCTCCATAGCCAAAGAAGGAGCAATCCAGCAACTTAGGCATTGATTCCGCAAGCCGTCCCAGAGCCTCTGTGTAGTCCTTACTTTCCCTAAATTGCCATGACTAGCTGGCTCAAGTTAGGCCTTTCTAATTTACCTGGACCGTTGCTGTCTCCTGTGCACGGCTGCGGGGATGAGCACCTTGTTGTGCGTTCCTCCGCTGGGCTGACGGAAATGGTTTGCAGCCAGACTGCTACGCCACGCGGTCTGGCATTTAGTCCTCAGAAATCTGATTTAGAGAACGTATACATTGCATCACAATCTAGATTTCAGAGGAAAGTTTTGGATAGAATAACCCAGACCCAAGTCTGGGTAATTTAAAGCCTGGGTGAAATGGGGCAGAAAGAGCCCAGAATATACAGGTCTGAATCTTGGCTGGGGTGATGTGGAAGACTGGAGGCGCCAGACGGCTGGCCTCCCTCCAAGTGTTTACCATGCTGGTGCCATGGGGCTGGGGCTGGGCAGTCCATGTGCTCATTCTTCCCTTCTCTTCTCCTCCTCCTCCCCCTCCATCTCTCCTCCTCCTCCTCATGTTTTCTATAGGCTAGAGAAACTCAGGAACTACTGACCCACAGGGAAGGCAAGCGGAGATATGAGACGGAGGAATCAAACGCTGCCCTGGTGGAGGACGCTGTGGGTTTACAGTGGATGATTTCCTCTGCCTATGAGATAAAAGGGCTGGCTCTGTACTTTGAACCCCAGCCTCACCCACCTCTGCCTGGGTGTGGCTCTTACTCTCTGGAAGACTTACTCAGGGGAGAGGACAGGACAGTGTGAGGCTTGAATCTCCAGGAAATAGAGTCTGTGGGCAGCCATTGACTCCGAGTCAATGAGAACAAGGTGTGCTGTTTCCTCTGTGCTGTTTCTTCCCTGCCCCACTCCCCGCCCCTTTGTCCTATGGTGCCCAGGCTGCCTGCACTGCCCAGATACCACAGGCCTTGCCAGGGACCTCCTGAGAGGTTTCTGAGGCTTGCAGCCAGTGGTCCCGTTAGTCTGCACGTCTCCGAGTTGCCCTCCCAGAGGAGAAAGCATATGCTGCTGGGACCGACTGCAGCTCCTCATGGATGCACCTGCCACCAGAAAATTGTTGTTCAGTCTGGGATTGCTTTCTCTTCCCAAAGCACAATCTCACATGCAGTCATGAGCCCAGTCCAGCCTCTGGGACAGAAGATTTCGTGCTTTTATAAACCAACAGCACTGCAGGTGCTGCACAAGGTAAGTGTCTCCCTTATTTCTTTCCCTCCCCGGAAGCCTCTGTATCAAACTAGGAGTTACCTTAATAGGGTCAAAGGAGGGTGTGGCTGTTTCACTTCCTGTTGTCAGCAGCCAAGTGTGCCTGAGGACAGAGGGTGGTGGGCAGGCATCCATTATGTGTAGGGAGGCAGGTATTGTACTGCTCTGGAACACACTGAGGAAGGGGGGTGCTCTGGCTTCCCTGACACCACCTCCCTGGTCAGGCTGCCGCAAGGCACCCAGATGTCAGTTGTCTTCCCACAACCTAATCATTCACAGCTGCTCCAGGGCCACACTTAGGATCTCTTTCCAGCGGTCCTCTTAGTCTGCCCCAGGGGCATGGCAAAGGAGGGCCTTTCATCCAGGGATCTCACACTCACAGAGACTTCACATTTGGATTTTTAAAAATTTATCTCTGAAGATATGCTAATAAGACTGAAAAGATGGAAATGATCATCAGCTTTAAACTTATGCCTGATTTTGGTACCAGGCCCATGAATTTTTAAGATTAATCCTGCCATTATCCCGTGAATAGGATGGTTATATTACCCTGTGCGTTTTTTTTTTAAAGCTTACACGTGTTAAAGCCTTAATTTATTAAATGTAAACTTCTAAAATATAGTATATCACAATTTTTGAAACCCTATTTGGGGATTTCTTCATTTTAATATACCTGAAGCCTCAGATAATGGGCGTGTCCCTGGTCTTTGTCCTCCAAGCGGCCCATTGGCCACTCCCCTCTTGATGGACTGTGGAGAGAAGCTGTTCCCTTTCCACGTGGTCATTTCAACTTCAGAAAAATCTCAGGTGCAATTGCCTGTTTCATTACAGCAGCTAGCCTATAATGAAAGAGGCCTTCGAAGCTTAGGCATGCCCAGTTTGGCCCCTTTCTTCATTTTACACACTGTTTTCTCCTCCCACAGGAAGGCTTCTCTCTACGGGGCTCAAAGCTACAGGCTCTCCACCATAGGGAAAATGGCCGACTAATATTCTTGAGTTCTTTACCCTTAGGCAATGGGGCTCAACTGTGACTGCACATTGGAATCAGTGGAGAGTTTTCCAAACATCCATCCGATGCCTGGGTTCTACCCCCACAGAACCTGATTTACTTGACCTGGGGTGTGGCCTGGGCATTGGAATTTTTTAAAGCACCCCACATGATTTTAATACACTACAAAGTTTCAGAAACAGTGCCCTAAGACCCTGGTTCTCAAACATTAGAATTCATCAGAATAATGTCCTCGTGGGGAGGGTCTTGTTAAAGCATAGATTGCTGGGCACAGTTTCTGATTCAGAGTTTCTGGATGGTACCTGGTAATCTGCATTTCTAATGAGTTCCCAGGTGATGCGATGCTGCTGTTCTGGGGATCATGTATTTACAACAGTTGTGCTAAAAGAAAGACAGTTAGAGTGGTGGGTTGGGAGGAGAAATGTGAGTGAATGCATGAAAATGTAGTTATTTCTTATTCTCAACCTCTGCAGTTGGCTTCAGAGTCAGGGACACCCCTAAATTACAGCAGTTACAGAGTATATTGGTCACCAAAGCTGCCACTGTGCAGAGACCCAAGCTAGGATAGAGCTGAGCCCCAGCAGCTGGACCCTGGTTGGTGGGGTAAGGCATGGTCTGAAACAGTCTGGGGCTACAGATCAGCTCTGTCCAGTGAGAATATAATACAGGGCACAAGGGTGAGTCACTTATGTAACTTCATATATTATAACCACATTGAAAAAACTAGAAACAGGTGAGATTAATTTTAATAATCTATATTATTTAACTTAACCCTCCAAAATCTTATTTTAACAGTCATCAACATAAAAAATGATTAATGAGATATTTGGCATTCCTTTTTCATGCTAAGTCTTTGGAATCGTACATGTGTTTTACACTTACAGCACATCTCAATTCACACCAGCCACATTTCAATGGCCACACGTGGACAGTGCCAGCCTGGATAGACCTAAGTACTGGGGCCGTCTGCCCCTGACGTAGGACTGATCACAAAGGTCCTCACTTCTCCCGGCAGCACATGGCCCCTCCTTCCATGCCTCTCAGAGCTCTTGGAATCTGTTCTCAGCATCTGAGAATCCCTCTGGCGTTCTTTACCATCGGTGCTTTGGACAGCACAAAAGGTTAACCAGGTTTAGTCAGGTCTGCAGGGCTTGTTCCCTCATGTCTGTGCATCTGAGGTCAGAATCTGAGAGGTTTTCATAGCCACTCCCACTCTCTTTCCTGACTTCACCATCTATAGAGATGAGTTCAGCGCCGGGTTTTTGTTGGAGAGAAATGGGTGTCTGAAATGGATTGAGGAAGAGAGTGAGGGGAAGCTGTAGTTGGGCCTAACAGTAGAACCAGGATGGAGTTTCTTTCGAAAGCTGCAAGCAGGAATGACGCTGATACTTCTGGTGCCTACCCCTGTCAAAGGACTCCAGAGCAGTGTGAGGTTTGTGACAGGACCAGGGTGACAGTCATTGTGCTCTTCCAGCAGCATGCTGACCTCTCTCCAATTAAATTCACTAAACATACAAGTATTGAATGGCTACTGTGTTCTCAAGTATTGAATGCCTACTGTGTTCTCAAGTATACTGATAAGGCAGTGGGCTATAATTATTGGAACTACACATTTTGGAATCAGTCAAGCCTGAGTTCAAATCCCCACTTTTGCAATGTGATCTTAAGCAAGTTACTTAATCTCTAAGCTGTGGTTTCTTCATTTGCAAAATGTGGGTAATACCTACGTAGTAAACTCCTGTGAAGATAAAGTGAAGTGATACATGTCTTTTCTTAGCACAGTGCCTGACGCACTCAGTGAAGGCATTCAATGAATGGTAGTAGGCTGGGACTAGGTGAGGTGAGCAAAGTGCCTAGGGTGCAAAATTTAGGGAGGTACCCACTCTCATGGTTGTGCAGGTGACACTGCGTGGTGCTGTCAGCACCATCATCATTGTTGCAGTTGTGTAATTACACTGTAGTGTCATGGGCATTCCTGAGCTACATAAGGCATGGCCTTTTCTCTCAAGGAACACAGGGTCCCTGAGGGGAGAGAAGACATGTATGTATACAAGCAAGCCAGGACTGGGAGATGAGATGATTGCCTTGAGGGAAGGAGGAGACATTGCTTCCACCAAGGGATTCAGAGACTACATCCTTGAAGAATGGACAAGATATCTGCAGGCATAGATTGGAAGGAATGACAATTTATAGAGGGAATGGCTTAAAGCCGTGGAGGCAAAAAACTGCTCAGGGAACATGGAATGTTGCTATACTGGTGCATAGAGGCAGCTAAAAAGGAATGCTAACAGTCTGGCTGCAATCCAGTTGTATAGGGCTTTAAATACCAGGCTAAGGAGTTTAGACTGTATTTGGCTTAAAAAAAATGCTGGGGGGAGTCATAGATAGCATCCCCGGAAAGAGGGACCAGAAAATGAGGAATACCTTTTCCTTTTGAGACAGAGAGGTTTTTGAGAGTCAGAATATATTGCCATTGTCCTACCAAACACAAGGCTTCATGTCTCGAGGCACATGAAACTTGTAAATTGTGTCATCCATTACCACCCCTTCTTGATCCTACTCCCCTGGAGTAACCCCTATTACTGTTGTCGTATATATTCTTTCAGACTTCCCTCTATACGTAGACAATATATAGATTCACAATTTTTAACCAAAATTGGATCATGCTGTATTTACTGTTCTGTCATTTACTTTTTTAAGTGTCCTAAAATATATATAACATAAAATTTAGCATTTTAACGATCTTTAAGAGTATAGTTCAGTGGCATTAAGTACATTTCCAATGTTGTGCAACCATCACCACCATCCATCTCTACAACTTTTTTCATCTTCCCAAACTGAAACCCTGTACCCATTAAAACACCAATTCCACATTCTCCTCTCGCTCTAGACCATGACAATCATCATTCACTTTCTGTTTCTATGGATTTCACGACTTTAAGTACCTCATATATGGAATCACACAGTATTTGTTTGTAACTGGCTTACTTAGCATAACGTCTTCAAGGTTCATCCATGCTGTAGGATGTGTCAGAATTTCCTTTCTTTTCATGGTTGAATAATATTCCATTGTATGTATATATCACATTTAGTTTACCTATGTAACCATCGTCAGAGTTGCTTCTGCCTTTTGGCAATTGTCTGCTATTTACTTTTAAATAATATATCGTGGCCATCTTTCCATGTGAGTTCCTGTAGATCACCTCATTCTTCTTAATGGCTGACTAATAGTTTGCTGTATGACAGTGACTAGTGTAGAATCACAACACCAGCTAGTGGGGCAGCAGGGATTTGAATCCAGTTTTTTTCTGGCTCCAAAAGTTGAGTGTTTTTCACCATTCCAGGGGACATGCGGGATGTGTACATTTTGAACCATCACATGGCTGGCATGGTCTTATGCAAGTATAATATAATGTGCTACAATTTGATTAGGTTTTGAGAGGCTTCTGATCAATGAAGTGATGAGTGCTTGTGAGACCAGGTCTAGCTTTGATTTTGGAGTCCCTACTCTCTGTACTCCCACAACACAGTCATCACCAGCTTTTAGTCACTGCTGACCTGGCCACCTCTCAGGGTAGCTCTGGAAGAGTATTGAATAGTAGTAGCATCTTTAGGAAAGAAAGGACCACAGAGTTCATCTGGCTCAACCCTTTGTTTTAGGGAAGGAGGAAACTGGAACCTGAGAGATGAGCCCAAGGCTACCTGTGAGTTTCCCTCTGCCTCCACTGAGAGGGTGTGGCTGCTAAGTCCTATCAGAAGATGCCCCACACTGTTTTCATTCCAATTTTACTGACTCATAGTTACTCTGTTTATGCTGGAAACTCATTTCCCCAAGTGCACTGTTTTTATTGTTTATTTCTCTTGTATACATGTATTCTTCCAGCAGCCTGCCCAGGTTTATTAAAAGATATTTACGTTTTCTGATCACTTCTACTTCCTTCTCTTCCTCCCAGGAATGGAAAATCAATCTGAGTGTCATTAAGAGCATACTCCCTGAAGAAGATTGCTGATGACAGTGGATTTGTCACCCAGCTCAGTGTCTTTTCCTGAGCAATAGGAATTTCTTCCATGGGGAATGAAACCTAGTGTTGTTTCCCTGTCTGAATCCAGGCCTTTCACTGACCTGCCAAGTTTTCATTCCATTGTCTCACTGTCATTGGCTGATCTGATCTCTACATTGATTAATTAGTTTCAAGCCCCTTCATACTGATCTAATAAAATTGGCTTGTTTAATTTGTGTCAGGAAATTTCTGAGAATGTTTCATTTAGACTCTGATAAGGTACATTTTTTTTTTAATGTCCTGCCGGAGACATCCCTTACGAGGGAGAGCTTGTCCTTCCTGCCATCTCTTGAATTACGCAGAGCAAACGCTGAAAGGATGGCGGGATTTCCTGCTGCCAGGGTCAAATGCTTCCACAACAAGCAGATCTGTCTTTCAGGGTGCAGTTTTTTATGTCCTCTCACCAGAAACACATGAGAATGCCATCTTTCCACCTCTAGAGGTTGTCTGAGCTGCTGGTAAGCATCAAAACATAGCCATCGAGAGCCAGGACAGAGCCACGGCCACTTCACCAGCTCCAGTCTCATGCCACTTGATTTATAAATGCCTTTTTTTTAATGGGCTGTCATCCCCTCAGGAGAGGTTGGAGTAAAAGTCTCAAAGTTGAGTGTTTGCTCTTCTGTCACAAAGAGAAATGGATGGGAAGAACAATACAAATGGCCTACAGGCGAGCAGGGGACTCTGCAGAGCCGAGCCCCATCCTGGTCTGATTCAGGCACTCAGTAAGCCTGAATGGGGCGCGGTTACTGGGGCGTGGTTACCCGCTGGCTGGGATGAGAATTCTCATAACTACTTTCCCAGTCGGCAACTGCCAGGATGCAGGGAGCTTGTTTAGTTAACACTATGAGACCACTGGATCCAACTAATCTCTATTTGCCTGTCTCCCCTAAGATAACTTTCATAAAAATGTGTAAACATGTTCTGAGAGTCTTCTGAAAATTCCCTCAAAGCCCCCTGACCGCCTGCCCTCTAGCTGGGGCTGTGGGGGCGGTGGCTGAGGCGCCCCCCTCCGTGGGAGGCTCCTCATACATCTCTGTCAGGAAAGGCAAGAGCCGCAGCCAGAAATGAGCTCCCCCAACAAAGCAGCCTCCCTGTGTGCTGCTGTGCAAGCTGCAGCATTTGGCTGATTCATTTGTCTTCATTAATGTTGCTTATAGCGGAGGCCTTTGTCACATATATGATTATGTGAGATTCGATTCTCTCGAATGTGTAAACACAGAGCTCTAGTGCGAGGCTCCAAGCAGGCAGCAGCCTGAAGCAGCTTTTCTGGCTGTTGGGGAGCCGGCTTATGTGATCAGCCCCTAGGGATGGGGCCGTACTGTCAGGGACTGGTTCTTGCAGTGATAAGGGAAGAGCTGCCTGGCTCTTCCGCCCCAGGCCTCAGGGCTTGCCTCTCCCTCCAGTCCCCTCATAGAGTATATCCTCCCCCATGCCTCCTTCCCCTCCACGCCACATGCCCCAGGCTCCCTGAACATTACCACCTTAATGTCTCCTAGCTTCGTTTCTTCCTGCCTCCCCTTCCAGGGTCCCACCTTCATCTCAGGCCTTCATCATCCCGAGGCTGGATTCCTGCAACAGCTTCTTAATCATACTCCCTCCCTCCGGTCTTGTTTCCCTCCAACCTGTTTGACACCCTGCTGATATCTTAATCTCTAAAATGCATATCAGTTTGGGTTGTTCCCCTTCTCTAGGAAAAGGTCAAACTGTTTAATAGAATGGTCTAGGAGGCTCTTTAGGACTAGGCTCCCAGAACCATTTCAAGCATCAGCCCACCAATGTGCTCATTCTCCTACCCCTCTCTTCCTCCCTGTTTTGGGGTTATACTTTGCCACAGGGTTCCAAAACAATTCTAATTCATGCCTCATATCTTAGGCCTTTTAGATAAAGCAATTTTTAAGATTTTGAATTTACCCACTCCACTATTTCTCAGATTAAAATGAGAACTTGGGAGGCCGGACCAAGTGAAATGTCCATGTCACTGTTTTACTAGGCATCATTCTGCAGGTTTCTTTTTGAGCTGTCCTACTCAGGCCACTTTAGTGCAGGAAAAAGAAGTCATTACCAGAGGAAAGAAGGAAGGGACGCTTATTGAAGGATGTGCACGTGTGGAACCCAGAGAAGTCTGGCTTCAGGAAGGGCGAAACCAGGACAATACTAGAGCCCGGCTGCACCCCGTGGCCTCTTTGCCTCTTTCTGTCCTCCTTGCTTTCTCGTGACCAGCATCCTCTGTTTACTCATCTTGTACACAACCCAGAATAGCAGCCACATGCCAGGGTCTACATGAACTTCTGAATTAGCACCCACCACCCACTACGGCTTCCTATTTTCTAAGAATGTAATGGTGCCGAGTCATCTCTCTGTGGATTGGTTGTCCTTGGCTCAGAACTCCTTCCCACTCTCTTCCCCCATAGCTTGGACCCAAGCTGGGGGCCACAGGGGTCTCCTGCCTTCTTATTAGGCTGGGAGTGGGGCAGCTTCTCAATGAGAGGCTACAGTGGTTTGCCGGGGCTGATGTAACAAAGTACCACACACTAGGTGGCTTGAACAGCAGAAATCTATTGTCTCAGTTCTGGAGGTTAGAAGTCCAAAATCAAGGTGTCAGCAGGAATGCAGTCTTTCTGTTTTGTAAGACTTGTAGGGAAAGATCATTTATACCAAGGATTGGTCTATAACCCTGAAAGCAAATGTGAATGTGGTCAATAATAACTACACTGGGCAGATCATACTGTACACCACTGTTGTGCATTGTCAAAACATTTTCACATACATTGTTTTATTTGATCCTAGCAATAACTCTGTGAAGTAGGAAAAGTAGAGTTTTGCTGTATTCTCTATGCCTCCATTTCTTCATCTGTGAAAAGAGGATAGTAATGATACCTACTCAGAGGATCGTTGCATGAGTCAAACGCATTAATACTGTAAAGCACTGGCACCCAGACCCACAGCAGAGCTGAGGCTGGCCCTCATGGCTCAGGGGTGGGCAGACCAAATGTGAAGCCAGAAAGGAGGTACCTCTCCATTCCTGTCCCCTAGTCCTGTCTTAATATCCTAAGGTTACTTGGCTAAAGGCTCGTATAATGCTATTTCTTTAAACTGTGTTTTCACTTATTTTATTTCCTGTCAAAGCTACAGGCATACCTTGTCTTACTGCCCTTTACTTTATTGCCGTACACAGATATTGCTCGCTTTCTCTCTCTTTCCTTCCTTCCTTCTTTCTTTCTTTCTCTTTTTCGCTCTCTTCTTTCTCTTCTTTTCTTTCTTTGTCTTCTTTCTTTATCTCTCTCTTCTTTCTTTCCTTTCTTTTTTTTCTTTCTTTCTCTTCTCTCTCTCTTTCTCCCTCTCTGTCTTTGTAACAAATCGAAGGTTTGTGGCAACCCTGCAATGAGCAAGTCTATTTGTGCCGTTTTTCCAAAAGCATGTGCTTACCTGGTGTCTCTGTGTTACATTTTGGTAATTCTTGCAGTATTTTGAACTTTTTCATTATTATTATATATATTACAGTGATCAGTGATCTTTGATGCTACTATTGTCATTGTTTTGTGGCACCATGAATTGCATCCATATAAGACGGTGAATTATTTGAGAAATGTGCATGTTCTGACTGCTCTACCCATCAGCCATTCCCCCAACTCTCTGCTTCTCCTCAGGCCTCCCTATTCCCTGTGACACAACAATATTGAAATTAGGCCAATGAGTAACCCTACAGTGGCCTCTAAATGTTCAAGTGAAAGGAAGAGTTGCATTTTCTCACTTTAAATCAAAAGCTAGAAATAATTAAGCTTAGTGAGGAAGGCACGTCAAAAGCCCAGAAAGACCAAAAGCTAGGCCTCTTGTGCCAACCAGCTAGCCAAGTTGTAAATAAAGAGGAAAAGCTCTTGAAGGAAATTAAATGTGAATGCATGAATGATAAGAAAGCAAAACAGCCTTATTGCTGATATGGAGAAAGTTTTAGTTGTCTAGATGGAAGATTAAACCAGCCACAACATTCTCTTAACCCAAAGCCTAATCCAGAGCAAGACCCTAACTCTCTTCAATTCTATGAAGACTGAGAGAGAGGAGGAAGCTGTGGAAAAGTTGGAAACTAACAAAGGTTGGCTTACGAGGTTTAAGGAAAGAAGCCATCTTCATAACATGAAAGTGCAAGGTGAAGCAGCAAGTGCTGATATAGAAGCTGCAGCAAGTTATCCAGACGATCTAGGTAAAATCATTGATGAAGGTGGCTACACGAAACAAGAGATTTTCAATGTAGATGAAAAAGCCATCTATTGAAATCAGAAGATGGCATCTAGGATATTCATAGCTAGAGGAAGTAACTGCAGATGTGGTGCCTGAAGGTGGGACTGAATTGCTACAAACTTGAACAGATAAGAGTGGCTTCTTCTTCTTTTTTTTTTTTTAGGTGGAGTCTCACTCTGTCACCCAGGCTGGAATGCAGTGGCACAATCTCTGCTCACTAACTTCTGCCCCCTGAGTTCAAGCAATTCCCCTGCCTCAGCCTCCTGAGTAGCTGGGACTGCAGGCATGCACCACCACCCTGACTAATTTTTGTATTTTTATTAGAAACAGGGTTTCACCATGTTGGCCAGGCTGGTCTCAAACTCCTGACCTCAGGTGATCTGCCTGCCTCGGCCTCCTAAAGTGCTGGGATTATAGGTGTGAGCTACCACGCCTAGCCAAGAGTGGCTTCTTATGGATGAGCAAAGAAAGTGGTTTCTTGAGATGGAAACTACTCCTGGTGAAGATGCTGTGATCATTGTTGAAATGACAACAAAGTATTTAGAATATTACATAAACCTAGTTGATAAAGCAGTGACAAGGTTTGAGAGGATTTACTCCAATTTTGAAAGAAGTTCTATTGTGAGTAAATGCTATCAAACAGCATCACATACTACAGAGAAATCTTTCCTGAAAGGAAGAGTCAATTGATGTGGCAAACTTCATCATTGTCTTATTTTAAGAAATTTCCACAGCCATCCCATCCTTTAGTAACCACCACCCTGATGAGTCAGCAGCCATCAACATAGAGGCAAGACTCTCCACCAGCAAAAAGATTATGGTTCACTGAAGGCTCAGATGATAGTTAACATGTTTTAGCAATAAGGTATTTTTAAATTTAAGGTATGTACATTTAAGGTATGTAGATATAATGCTATTACACTGAATAGACTACATTATAGTGTAAAGATAACTTTTATATGCACTGGGAAACGAAAAAATTTGCTTTTTAGCAATCTTTGCTTTACTGTGGTTATCTGGAACCAAACCCACAATGTGTCTGAGGTATGCCTGTGTTTGTTTTTTGCCAAAATTAGGAAAGTATAAAGAATATATATTTTAGAATAAAATAATATGCAACTCTTCAGTTATGCCTGTATCTGAAGGGCATGCAACGCAGTCCTTTACCAGAGAGAGGGAAAAACGTACACCCACATGTGAGTGTATGCACACACAGCTTCTTCTTAGAAGACACAAGGGATCTGGAAGATGGTACAAAATGTTTCTTTAGCTGTCCATCAAGGCTCCTTTCAGTCCATATGTCAAGCCCTTCTCTCTCATTTTCCTCCTACCTCTCCTGTCCTACCACCTCTTAGAGATTCTTCTCTTTTCCCTCCCTGCAACCTCTTAGCTCTGTTCTAGAGTGTCTTGTTCTTCAGAGGCTGCCTCTGAAAAAAGGAATCATGTGATAAATTGATTTATTAGGAAGCATTTCCAGGAAAATTTGGTGGTGGAGTGGGATCAGGGGGGGATGTATAGAGAGGTATCAAGCAAAGTCCCACAGAGGCACTCTTGGAGACAGAGAAGATCACGCATCAGAGTCATCATCATCGGGAAGGGGTGAACAAAGAGCTGAAGTCATTTACACCCCTGCAACCAACAGTCATTTGTTGTTTAGGCATGACTCCTATCTTCCTCCCCCAGTTGGAAATTCCCAGATACTTCAGCTCTCTGTGCAGGCCTGAAGGTGGTGCTTTAACAGGAGAACAGGGGCTGCCTGTTGGGAGGGAAAGCACAACCAAAGCTGGTGTGTGAGGGGAAGGAGATCTGCTCCACTGGGTGTGTGATGAATCCCAAAGATTCTGGTTCTTAAAAAAAAAAAAAAAAAAAAAAGATTCTGGTTCTTGACGCCACCCAGTAAGGGATGACATAAAGTCTCTCCTGTGCAAGGCCGAGGGAGTGTTTAGATTCTTAGACTGGAGAATCTACAAAACAAACATGCCTTTCTACTACTCATGTGTGTGTCCTGTTTCTCCTGGCAAATCTTTGACGTGTTTTGGCTAAACAGGGTCTGTTTTTTAATTTGTTTTAGAAAACTGAGAGGAGGGAAAGAAATGACAAAAGTGAAGATGAGAGAAAGCCCCACCAGTCCACAAACATGAGCATATTTTAGTTCCACTTTCTCGATTGTTACATAAAATCAAGGATTGATGAGCCTAATTTTCATGCCAATTAGAAACATGTCTCTGGTCCATGAGCTGATAGTCTCTGCCCTGCTTGGAACAGTTCCTGATTCAGCGTCCAGTGCCCACCCCCTCACGGTGTCCTAAGATTCTCACCCCACATCTTGGTTTTTCTTTTACTCTTCCATTGTTTCCTCTCTGTCCACAATTGGTCTTAATTTCTTTATTTCCTTGTTTTTTCTTCTTTGAAAGACATGGGTTGAATAATCAGGAAGAGATGCTGAGAGAGGATGCTCAAACACCAAGTCTGGATCATTTTGGAAACCAGGGTTTTATGTGAGGCAACAAGAGACCTGGTGAGGTAACATTCAATGGCAGGAATTTTAAAATATGCAAATGAATGAAAGCAGGGGTCCCCAAGCCCAAGGCCATGGGACCAGTTCCATGGCCTGTCTGGAACTGGGCTGCACAGCAGGAGGTGAGTGGCAGATGAGTGAGCATTCCTGCCTGAGCTTTGCCTCCTGTCAGATCAGCGGTGGCATTAGACTCTCATAGGAGCACGAACCCTATTGTGAGCTGAGCATGTGAGGGAACTGGGTTTCGTCCTTCTTATGAGAATCTAATGCCTGATGATCTGAGGTGGAACAGTTTTATCCCCAAACCATTCCCCACTCCCCACTGCCCCCACTCCCTGTCTGTGGAAAATCTGTCTTACAGTCCCTGGTGCCAAATGGTTGGGGCCCACTGAATGAAAGGGAATGGGGAGGTACGGAAAGAGTCTGCTGTTCAGGCCCAGCATGTCAGGGTGATTTCTGAGGAAAAGACATATTCTCCCTAAAGAGGAAGATGGGGTTTTGGCCTCCAGAAGACAGGGTGGTGGAGAGGGAAGTGATTAGCAGGGAGGAGGCTGCTGGCAGCCAGCACCTGTGGTAGGGAATTGGGCCACTCACCTTCGGTGCCCCTTGGCGGAAAGGCAAGGTACTTCCTAATGGAGACTGATGAAGCCGGAACTCAGAGAGATAATGAACTGAAACAGGATTCCTCTCTGAACTGGAAGTCAGGGCTGGCGATAATGAATGCAGTTGTCTCTACTGAGCCCAGAAGCTCCACTATGCATGGGACTTTGTGAAATGAGGCCTTCCTTGTAGAACAACAGATTGTAAGGAGAGGAATCTATGTTTAAATTGCTGTTAAACTGAGCTAAGAAAAGTCAAGCAATAGCCTTCCAACTCAACAGATTAATCCTGCAAGCTAGGTGCTTGGAAAACTCTAAGAGGCTTGAAGGCTTCTCAAATCTTCTGGCAACTTCTGAAAGGGAACAGGTGCAAAATTCCTTCTGTCACAAAGGAGATTAAGCATCTCAAGGGCAACTGACAACTCCAAGGTTGTTTTTCTGAATGGAGGGACATCCTTAAATTGCAAGCTTGTAAGATTATGGGGCAAACAAAAGGAGACAGAATTTCAGGCATAAGCACTTCGGTGAGAATCTAGAGAGATGTTTTCTGGTCTGGGGTAGTACCAACAAAATATCCCAGACTTTGAGGCACATTAAAAAAGGGACTGAAGGAATGTCTATTTTCTTTTTATTTTTTATTTTTGAAACGGCATCTTGTTCTGTTGCCCAGAATGGAGCGCAGTGGCAGAATCTCGGCTCACTGTAGCCTCCCCCCGCAAGGTTCAAGTGATTCTTCCACCTCAGCCTCCTGAGTAGCTGGGATTACAGTTTTTCACCACCATGCCCAGCCAATTTTTGTATTTTTAGTAGAGATGGGGTTTTGCTATGTTGGCCAGGCTGGTCTTGAACTCCTGACCTCAGGTGATCCACCCACCTTGGCCTCCCAAAGTGCTGGGATTATAGGTGTGAGCCACCGCGCCCGGCCAGGAATGTTTATCTTTTGACAAGGTCAGATAACAAATCTATGATCCTGGACTCCCAGTGTAACTCCCAACATCACTAACATTTCTACTCTGCAAAACAAGAGAAGTGTGGTCTGGACTGGAGAGATTTGCTTTATAAAAAGGATATTTCATTGATTTTTTTTTTTTTTTTTTTTTTTTTTTTTTTTTTTTTGAGGTAGAGTCTCACCCTGTCGCCCAGGCTGGAGTACAGTGGCGCGATCTCGGCTCACTGCAAGCTCTGCCTCCTGGGTTCACACCATTCTCCTGCCTCAGCTTCCCGAGTAGCTGGGACTACAGGCACCCGCCACCACGCCTGGCTAATTTTTTTGTATTTTTAGTAGAGATGGGGTTTCACCGTGTTAGCCAAGATGGTCTCGATCTCCTGAGCTCGTGATCCGCCCGCCTCAGCCTCCCAAAGTGCTGGGATGATAGGCGTGAGCCACCGCACCCGGCCTCATTGATTTTTAAAATTGATATTTATCTGTATATCTTTTTTTTTTTTTTTTTGAGATAGTCTTGCTCTGTCACCCAGGCTGGAGTGCCATGGCGCAATCTTGGCTCACTGCAACCTCCTCCTCCCAGGTTCAAGTGATTCTCTGTCTCAGCCTCCCGAGTAGCTGGGACTATAGGCATGCGCCATCATGCCCGGCTAATTTTTGTCTTTTTTTTTTGTAGAAACAGGGTTTTGCCATGTTGGCCAGGCTGGTCATGAACTCCTGGCTTAGAGTGGCCTCCCAGAGTGCTGGGATTACAGGTGTGAGCCACTGCTCCCAACTTGTATAGCATTTGATATTTGCATTGTCATTCACTAAATTTCTAACTCCTGCCTTGCATGAATGCCAGTAATATGTATAGTTTGTGCTTTAGAAAATTTTGTGTACATTGAACTTTTGTAAGTCAATCATAATTTTAATGACTAAAGGGTAGTAGTAACACCATACATTTATAAATTACTTCCAAAATTTACGAAACATTGTAGTATATAGGATCTCAGTTTTCATAGTGTCTTTGTGAGGAGATATTGTCATCTCTATTTACCAAACGAGGAAACTAAGACTTACAGGGATTGAGTAAATGTGCTCAACCAGCTGCTGCTTCCTGGCTTGTGGAAATCAGTTCTCCTGACTATAAATCTTATTTTTTTGTTTATTCTGTACTCAGTTAAATTAATTCCTTCATAGAGTAAATGGTCATTCTGCCAAGTTAATTTTTCTATTGTATGTGTGTGTATGTAATGTCAACAGATATTTATTTTTATTTACCAAGTTGTTGTAAGGTGGCATATACCCATAATGGGTCAATATTCAATGTCAACTAAGACTAAAATAAGGATTATCATCCTCATATTGTGGGTGAAAAAAAAAAAAAGAAAGAAAGACTCATGAGGTTAAGTGGATTTCCTAAATGCCTGGTAAAATGTTGATATCAGCACTGGGTATTTTAAGCCTCCTGTTTAGCCCATGAAGCACCCCTAGATTTTCATGTCTTGCTTTGATAGGCTGGTTATCATAATGCCCATAAGAACTGCTCCTGTAGAGTTACAATGTTTGAGCTTACACAAGAGTCAGGGACAGATCCGGGTTACACAGTCTGGCAGACCAATTTTAAGAAAAATAATACAAAACTCATGAAGATTCTGAAGTTTAAACTTCCTTAGCTTCACGGTAAATCCACTTCTGCCAAAACCTGGCAGGATTCTCCAGCAGCTCTCTTTCTAGCAATCACCACATACCACATCCCAGAGTCACAGTGTCTCAATGGGCAGGAATGAATTGACTTTTGTTTCCCTTCGTCAGTGGGGACACGTCCTGAAGAGGTGGAGTGAAGCCCCAATTGAGGGCAAAGATATAGACAGCAGCTAGCCATTTGAAATGCATTCAAGTCTCTAAGATCAGATAAATTTACTTTCCAGAGAACCAAAACAATTTAAAGAGATGACGGAGGAACTGCTTTTAACAGTCTTTGAACAAGTTGCCGAAGAATCAATATCCACAGATCAGAAGGAAAATTGTTACCTCACATTTCAAAGGTAGATTCTGGAAATTACAGGCTGATAATCTTCACATTAGCTACCAGCAAATTTCTGGAACAGATTATCAAACAGTTTGTTAAAATATGTGAAAAGGGGAGACATGATTATTATGTTCTAATATGCATTCACCAAAAATAAATGATCACAAATTAACTTCATTTTTACTTTTCATTGAAATTTGGTGTTAGGTTGTTTGCATTGCTATAAAGGAATACCTGAGGTTGGGTAATTTATAAAGAAAAGAGGTTTATTTTGGCTCATGCTTCTGCAAACTGTACAAGAAGTGTGATGCTGACATATGCTTCTGGCGAGGCCTCAGGAAGCTTCCAGTCATGGCAGAAGAGGAAGAGCATGTCACATGGTGAGAGAGGGAGCAAGGAGTGGGGGGAGGTGCCATACTCTTTTTCTGAGATGGAGTCTCACTTTGTCACCCAGGCTGGAGTGCAGTGGCATGATGTCAACTCACTGCACCCTCCACCTCTTGGGTTCAAGCGATTCTCCTGCCTCAGCCTCCTGAGTAGCTGGGACTACAGTCGTGCCATCATGCCACCATGCCCAGCTAATTTTTGTATTTTTAGTAGAGAGGGGCTTTCACCATGTTGGCCAGGCTGGTCTTGAACTCCTGACCTCAAGTGATCTGCCCACCTTGGCCTCCCAAAGTGCTGGGATTACAGGCGTGAGCCACTGCGCCCAGCCACTTACTCTTTTTTTTTTTTTTTTTGAGACAGAGTCTCGCTCTGTCACCCAGGCTGGAGTGCAGTGGCGCAATCTTGGCTCACTGCAACCTCTGCCTCCCTGGTTCAAGCAATTCTTCTGCCTCAGCCTCCCAAGTAGCTGAGACTACAGGCACGTGCCACCATGCCTGACTAATTTTTTGTGTTTTTAGCTTACTCTTTTAAACAACTGGATGGCATGTGAAGTTGTAGAGTGAGACTGTTTACTGAGTGGAAGACACCAAGCCATTCATGAGGGATCTGCCCCCATGACCCAAACACCTCCCACTAGGCCCCACCTCCAACACTGAGGTCACATTTCAATATGAGATTTGGAGGGGACACACATCCAAGCCATATTAAATATTAAACCCAAAGATCAGGGGGATACATTTGGGTTTAAGGAGGCTATTGGACAGAATCTTTTATGATATGTTTACAGACAAGTCGGAGAAATGTATATCGAATTATGGAATAGTTAAGTAGATTGATTTGGCCGACTGATAGAGTGAGGTGGATTAGTGCTAAAGTAGAAAGAAGAATTGCTCATTTCTTTTCAGCATTTATCGGGGACAATGGAGATACAAAGATGAATAAGACAGGGCTCCTGCCTTCAGGAGTTCAGCAGAGAAAAAATATATCTAAACAACTAGTTATGATGATCATGGAGAGAGCTGCACCAGGGATATGTGAGGAATATGAGATGACAGAAGGAGAGCCACTGGGTGAGGGGTGGGAGACCTGTATGGTAATTAGTGATGTCCAGCTGTTGCAGACTCGCTTATCAAAGAGTGAGGATTTCAAGTAGAGATGAGATTACTGTCTGTCAGGCAAGAATATTGAATCAGATGGACCTTTCACATGCTTAGTCCTGAATTTGCTCATGGTTAAGCCACAACAGCTGGTCTTGGCATACCTACGCCTGCTCAGAGCTCTGAGCATAGGAATCCACAGCCGGATTGGTGGAACTGAATGATAGATAATAGAGTCTGCTTGGAGATCACAACCACATCAAGATTAGAGAGGGACTGAAAGCTTGTTAGCTTGTTGAGATTATTGGGATCCTCATAAAAGGGAATATATTTGGCTATTGAAAAAATTACAAGCTAAAGGGTCCCAGGAATTAAGGGAACTTCCGGTCTGGCAAATGAAAGCTGACAAAATGGGCGGGAGGCTCCCCATTCAGAGGGATTATATTTATGTCTGAAGAGTGCTAAAATTCTCCATACTCTCCTCATTTCAAGGCTTTTTCAAGCCATTGAAAAGACTGATTCTGCCTTTCTAAAGAACAATGTGAGTTATTTAGCATTTATAAGAAATATTTCTGTAATGCCACCTCAGGGTTTGAAAATAACCTGGATGAGGCACATGTTAAATCTGAAAATCCTAATAATGTCAACCTTGTTTCCTGTGCAGAGCATGGTTTAAAATGAAATATTAAGTCGTTGAGTCATTTAAGTACCTGGAAACAATTCACATTGGACTGGGAAGAATTTATTAGAAAAACACATCTCAATCCCTCAGCATAGGAGCCTGTATCTCACTGTGCACGGTGGTCACCAGCAGAATTCTATGAGTCTATCACCTGCAAGTGGCATGGCCTAAATTCTGACTAGGAATCTTTTCCCCACCCCAAATTCACTGTAACAAGATAGTCACACATCTTCAAAATTCTTTATAAATGGATATCCCTAGGGGCTCACCCTTTCTCAGATTGGCACCCTCCTCTGAGGACAAAAACTGGGCATGTGGTGTGAGCGAAGCCCTTTTCATGAGGCCAGCTCCTAATTACGCACAGCCTTTCTCCAGTGTTCTCAGCCTCAAAGCCCGGCAAGCACAATTAACTCATGTTGCAGGGCTCTGGATAATGCTGGTCATTTAATGTGGTTGAATATCACAGCCAGGGCCTTCCTGTTTCCAAACCAGTCAATAGAGTTGTGGGCCCTTGAGTGTGTTTCACAGCCTTTTGCCATCCCCATGGAAAACAAAGACAAGTTTGATGTGTGTGCCCTGAATACTTAGCATAAGATGCTGAAGTCTAGCCATTTACTCTGCACGGGAATGGAAGGTTGTGGTTTTTAGACAAATTAGGGTAGAGCTCAGTTTGCTAGGCAGCACCATGCCTCTGTATTCACAGGTCTCAATGTGACTAGAAGGATCTTTAGTCACAAAATATTATCTGTTCTCCTGCATAAACACACAGGCATCATACTTCAGTTCCTTCAGAAACTTAAAAATATTTTTTTTTTAAATTAACCATCCATTTTTGTACCCTGGCATTTCATGTTTTATTTGTAAAACCACTTGTGTTCTTTAAAATTTAATGGAACAATATTAAATAAATAATCCAGAAGCAGCATAATAAAACACCAGTACATCCAGACTGACTCCATGCTCTGAGGAATGGGTGATGTATAAATCTTGTCTTCTTTCTATTCAAGGAACAAACTGCCCTGCTAATCTGCACATGTGAAAACCCAGCTGGGATAGGCCTTAGCCCCTTGGCTCTCAGTAACAGAAGGGAATACTGATTTGTACATAGGCAGCCTCTTCATTTTATCCACAATAGCTTGGCAGTCAGATTATTCCTACGTTTTGGTTGAAAAAGAAATACTATGAATAGCAGTAGAGCATGTGGAACCAGTGGACGGGAGTGTACTGTGAGTGAGCATCCAATCCATTCCTCTCTCCTCCCTCTTCCTCCCCACCCTCCATTTGTAAGCAACATGATCTCAAACATCATAGGCAGGCAGGAATCAAAACTTACAGAGATCTTACAAAAGATGCATCCTCACACACTTACCCAGGTTACGCCTAGCAAGTACACGGCACTTCGTGGCATACACTTAGCTAATTCACCTCCCTCTGTCTCCATTCCACACTCCAACCCTTATTCCATTTAACTCATTTTCTCTACTGACTTCTAGTTAAGCATCTTTAAGTCAGCTTATATCCATTTTGGAACAAGGTACAGAATAGATGAATGGATGGATAGATAAATCGTTAGAGACAGATAATTACATTATCATTTACTAACTATTTATGGCATAGAGGTATTTTAAATAAATAGAGAGAAACCAAGGTGACATTCCTACCAAATGATCAAGCCACACTAAATCTTTCAGTTCTTTTAAGCTACTCTTCTCTCATTCTCCCTAGACTCCCTAACCAACTAACTCATCAAAGTCTTATTTTAAGAAACACCGACTCTGGGAAATCTTTCATCGTCTCCCAGGGCTAGGTTAGTTGCCCTCATTATGTGCTCCCATGGCATGCTGTCCCCCACCAGAGCATCCTCATGCCAGTCTGTACTGGAACTGCTTGTGTACATACTGGTGCTCAAAAGAAGGATGCTTCAAGAAGAAAGAGATGCTGCAGATGGCTGTGCCCAGTGTCGTGGCAACTTCTGTATTCATCATAGACATCCTCTGGACCACAGCTGCAGACGTGGGAGCCGCCCCACCATCAAAGCTGGCTGAGAAGAGACTCTCGGCTGTGATGACGCTGGCTTAGAACTTGCAGTAACATAAGTAGAACCTGAAGTCCAGGTGCTTAGCAGGGTACAGCAGACTGTACCAGTGGTTGCTGAGGAAGAATTATTTTTTTTAAATATACCAGCCTTTGACCGCCTACTCTAAGGTTTCATGGTCCTGTTTTCACACTTTCTTCCAGTGGTGTTTCATTGTGGTCTTAACAACCTTGACATCGACACCTTACTTTAAAAGAGAAGGAGCCACTCTTCAAGTATGTGCTCAGGGAGACTAACCATTTCCTGGGCACCATCACTCCCAGCTAAGCTTTTGGTCTGGAGAACTTGGGGCCTCCTTGCCATGATTTATCATTCTGGTGTCATTCCCGGACCGCCTGCCTGCTCCCCCCGTTCAGCTTTTCATCCTCATTTCAAGGCTGTTTGCTCAGCCTTTGCTATAGCTGTTGCAATTGTGTTTTGGATCTTACCTCCTGGCATGCTGTAGGGCTTGGCTGAGGAAGCTGCCAGAGGCTGAGCCCAGCAGAGGGGTGCTCCCAGAGCTCATGAGGAAGGGGAGAAGGTTGGGAAGGGACTCTGAAACACACTTGTGCTTTCTGAGCCGGGAAGAGGATTCATGAAGCAAACAGCTTAGAATGTCTTTTGGAACAGTCCCAGTAACAAGGGTCACCAACGTGGTATGGCTTCCTGCCAGGCTGTCCTTAATTCTTCCTGCCCCCTCAGACTCTCATGGTGTTGTCACCTCCCAACAAAATGATTGTAATTCTCTCCAAATTGTGCATCATTTGAAGTGACCCCCAAAGCGGCCCTGAAGGCAGGGCGCAGCTGGTGGCTGGGCCTTCCGATTCTCAAGGCTCTGACTCCATTTAGGGCCTTGGGAGTCGGAAGGCCCATCAGCCTGCTGAGTTCTGCCTCCACCCGCTTCCCCTACCCCCATCCTGAGCCTGCGGGAAGCTGAGACAGCAGAGACATCAAGAAGAGGAAAGGGCTTTGACTTGGACATCTAGAAACCCAGGAGTCCAGAATTGTCTCTTACACTGACGTCTCCTGTGTTGCGTACTTTATAGGAACAGAACCACCAGCCTCCATCTTTGCCTAGGATGGACAGATTTAACGCTATTGATTATGTTTGATATGTTAAGTTATTTACATATACTGTTAATTCTTAGGACAACACTTAAGTAATAGTATCCCAAATTTACAGTTGCTCAGAAACTGTAATTTAAGTGATTTACAGTTGCTCAGAAAGTGAAAGTAAGCACCTAAGGCTGCACAGCTAGTAAGTGCTAAAGCTGGAATTGAGGTCTTCTTATCTTCAAACCCAGACTTTTTTTCTTCTGACTGGATCTCAGATCCAGCCCTAGGGCTCTTCCTTGAGTGCGGCTGAAATTGCCCTGAACATACCCAACAACCTGCATAGAGAGCTGGAGCCAACCTGATGATCTCAGTCAGCCCAGCAGGCTCCTCCCAGGTCCCCTCCTCATCGTGCTTAGATGAGCTGTCACTGGCCTTGTCCTTCTTACACCCGGGCTCAGCCACAGCTAACACTAGGTTACATCGTGTGTATCAACACCAACCACCCGGTAGTGACCACATGAAATACAGCATTGACAAGGAGTCCAAGGTTAGCCTCAGTTTGGAGGGAGAGAGTAGCCTAGACTTGATTAGCAGTGCCCTCATGGCCTTGGGAGGGAGAGAGCCTACATGCACGAAGGGAATTTGCTGTCTCTGCACTAGCAGTAAGCTTGTTTCCTTGGCCTTATGTCAAGCTTTCAGTGTTTTTTTTTTTGTTTTGTTTTTAATCTTTATTCAGCTCACATACTTTCCCTTTGGATGTGCAGTATCATTTTTCCCCTGATAAGAGTAGCATATTTAAAAGTACACATTTACATTTTATCATAATTATCCTCCTCAATATAGCAATTTTTGGAGGAAGCGTACTCTTTTTGCCCCTGAGTTCTGTGGAAATCTTGGAAACAGGGCCCAGGAACATATTCACTCACTAAGTCTTTATTGAGTGGTTATTATGTGCCAGGCACTTTTAGGCACTGGGGATACAAAAATGAAAATGACATTGACTCTCCTTGCAAGAAGCCCATGTTCTAGTCTGGAAAAACCACATTTAACCACCAACTATAGACATGACATGACATGAAGCTTCACCACTTTCTCTAAGGGAAGCCTCCATGATGTTCTTGGAACTGGAGAATGCTTCTTACCAACTTTCATTTTCTGAAGAGGCTAAGCTGTTGAAGGAAGAACTACTTCCTCCGGATTATTATCCTGTCAGTGATTTTTAGTTCCCAGTGTCAAAGATCCCGTAGTGCCTTTAAAATGCTCTCAGGCAAAAACTGCCAAACTGGGCTAATAAATCTGACTGGGGTAGCCATAGGCTATTTGGCAACAATTCTCAGAACAATCCTGTTCACCCTGTTCAGCCTCCACAGATTCTAGTGCTCAGTACTTGGCTGCCACCATGGCTCCTGGACCACCTCTGCCCTGGGCTTGAGACCTTCAGGCTATGCCCCTTATTCCCAGGGCAACCTAACCCCCCAGGCTTCAGATTGGGAACTTCCTCCCAAAACAGTGCTTGGGGCTTTTTCATGTGAATTCCACAGTTAATGCTGCTGCCGCCGCCTCAATGCTACCCTCTGAGGCCAAGCTTGACATGCTGTTATTGACCTGGCATACCCAAATTTCATTTCTGGTAAGAGCCATTTCTGGTCACCCACCAGAATGGGTGACCCATGCAGTTGCTAAATAGTGCCAGAGCGTGGGGAAATGCCTGAAGTACTTTGGCGATGTCCAGGTATTTCACATTTGCTTTCATTGTGATTCTGGGCTGAATTTCAGTGCTCATCAACATGTTTGGCAATACAGAGACACAGCCTTGGCCTAGAGAAGGCTTAAGCCATCTGTTCTCTTAAGTGATAGAAAGGATGAGACAGAATTAGCTAGAACCAGGAAAATACAAGCAATGCTTTCTGAAGAGCATGACCCTGGTAGAAATTTTGCTTTGTGTGCTCATACAGAGATCCATAAAACTGTTGAATGTAATGGTCAGAAATCTATGGTCAGAGACACAATGTAGGTTAATGTTTACCAAAGTCTTGGGGAAGAGGAGAATGAGTACACAGTTTTTTAGAGGAGGTGGGGAAACTGTTCTAAAATTAGATAGTGGTAATGGCTGTACAACTCTGTGGATATACTAAAAACCACTGAATTGAACACTTTAAAAGGGTGAATTTTATGATGTGTGAAGTATATCTCAATAAAGTCATTATTTTCAAAAAGAAATCTATGATCTATAGCAAAAAAGAAAAAAAAAACCCTAATTCACATTTAACAAATACTTGTTCAGCATCTACCATGCACCAGGCTTTGTCTGAGGCATGAGAGGCATTCAGAAATAAAGCAAACAAGAAGTTTCTAGCTCAGAGATGCACCAAAATTCCTCCTTGCCCACATCTAAGGCTTACCTGGAATTGTGTCAGTTTAGAGCCAGATGTGGGCAACAGTTACTGCCTTTGGACTTCCTAGCAGAGAGATACTGCCTGTCTTTGGCAACCCTGGAGCCCTTGCATCTCCAGGGAGTGTTTCACTGATGAGCTGGCTAATCTCGGTGGTTACTTGATAATCACAGAAACAGAGCTGGCTGCAATGAATCTTCTTGTGGGAACCATCCAAGCTTTTCTCTGGAGCTCCATAATGCAGAAATTCAGTACAGAGAGCTCTAAAATGAGACGTCCTCCTGAGTGGATAGCACTCCTGCGAGGTGGAATTGCCTGGCAGTTTCAAGCTCCTTAGTAATTGGACCTAATTTTCATCCTCACCTTGAGGGGTTAAGTCCACTTGAGTAGCAGTCATGACCTGGACACAATGAAGCCCTACTTTCACTTCCTCTCTGGGAGACAGGATCTGCCTTTGCAGGGGCAATGTGTTATTTGCATGAAATTGTTTCAGCCATGGGACCTGACCACACCTCCATCATGACCAAAATTAAAAGAGCTTGGAAGAATCCTGCCCTCCACAGGTTAACACTTTCTAGCTTCCGGAAGTGTCCAACATCTGTTCTTCAACCTTCCCTCCAACCAGAGCAAGGCCAGGCCCTGAATGACCCCACTAAATATAACCCAGTTGTTCAACACCCACCTCTCTCCTGAGGAAAAAAATCAATTGCAACCAGATGAGAATTTCCATATGTGCCAAATTGAGCCCCCAGGCAGGAGAACAAAGAGACAGTGTTGAAAAGATGTCACCCAGTAGGGAGACAGGCAGGAGCCCACATCCTGGGGACCCACTAGTGTAAACCGTTCTGAGATGTGTATGTGTTCTCCAGGGAAGAAAAAGCTGTACAGGCAAGCGCAGTCCTAGTGTTGTATTTGGGAACTCCAGGAGAAGTGAGGATGGGCCAGTGGAAGGATAGTACTTAGGGCATCTAGAAACCAGACACTTCCAATTTGGAAGCTATCTGAGGAGCTGGGTGGGGACTCGTGATGCCTTCTATAAAGACTTGGGCTAAGTGGAGAAGTTTGCTTGGCTGAAGCAATACGAAAAGGATAGTTCATTTTTATTTTGGATAAAGTGAAACTTCAGCTTTAAAAAAAAGCTGTTGTAACCAGAGCCCATCTCACAGATAAACACAGAAAAGCACTGTTGGCTGTAGCCATCCACCCTCAGGAATTGTGCCTTGGAAGTCACAATAAGTGGCAGTTTGAAGGTCATGAACAGGTTCTGTCCAGCTGTCTAACAGGAGGAGAAAACAGGTGAGCAGAAGGGGAAGCGTTTAAAATAACAAGGGGGCTCTTTAAATAGAGCTATAAAACTGGGTGGCAAACCTAGTCCAAGGGTTAAAAACAAGCTTTTCTTCCAAAGTTTCTATGGCAACTAGATAACATCTACAGCAAGAGTGTAGTTAATGAAATATTTCTTCTAGACCAACATGTAGCAGTAAGTAATGAAAGCTGACTTTGTGCAAGCTCCAGTACAGGTTACATTTTTAGCTGCTGCTTTTTTTTTTTTTTTCCTTGGCCAGAACTGGGAATGGAGTTTGGTGAGACTCCATTTACTATAGGCCCTGATTTCTCTTTCTCATAGCATGGAGTCTTTAAAGCTGGGGCAGAAAGTCTGGTCTTGATCCAAATCACTTGGGATGGAGAGAAAACTCCCTCCCTCTTCCCCCGCCCCCAGCAACAGTTTGGATTCATTTGACATAACTTGCAGTGTTAATTTGGACATTTAGAATAAATGCTCAGGACTAACTAATTTTATCTCTACACAAAGAATAAACACAATCTGGTGAGGTTAGTGGGAGCTATTCATGTGGTACATGACTAAGAAGCAATGGGAACGCTTGATGTAGAGGCCTTAGAGATATTTAACTCAGCCAGTTACAAGCAGTGGGACTTGGGGCAAATTATTTAAGCTTTCTGTGTCTCAGATTCCCATAAAATGAGCCTGAGGATGGAACCCAACTAAAAGTTTATTTAAGGATTAAAAGAGATTAAAATTTTAAAGGAGAATAAAATGTGCCTAGCTCTGTCTGGTATACAGTAGGTATTCAATAAATACGTACTGAATCTGATTAAATTTCTTTGGCTACAAACTACCTTAGGGTTCTAGAGAAGTTTCACTATATTTCTCACCAAGAAGATTGAACCCCAAGTCTTTTCTATTAGGGTGGCTTATCAGAGAACAATTTCAAAATATTGGATCATTCTACATGTGGAACATAAAATTAGAGAAATAATAAAAGTAGCAGTGCTTTTTGGCACTTATTTTGTATCAGACAATGTTCTAAGCACTTTATGTGCATTTGCTTATAATCCTCATAAACCCTCTGAGGCAAGCAATATTATTGTCACTGTTTAACATGTAAGGAAATTAAGACATAGAGAGGTGAAAACTCTGGATAAAGTCCTGGATGGTTTAAGTTACCACCACCACTACCACTGTCATTATCAGCACTAACATTTCATGAGCCTGTCATGGTGGCTAAGCACGTTATGTGTGTTATTTCATTTCATGCTCATAATTTGGTATCACCATTTTACAGTTAAGGACAAGAAAGCTTGTTACACTAAGTAATTAGCCCAAGATCAAAAAGCTAGTAAATGGTAGTCATGATTCAACATAAATAATTATGCCACAAATTCGTAATATGACATAAAGACAGTTTTACTTTTTTTTTCAGATCCTTATGCCTTTTATTTCTTTTCTTGCATTATTGCACTGGTTACAATCTCTATGTTCAATGATGCCTAGAAATGATAAGAATGGACATTCTTGCCTAGTTCCTGTTCTCTAGGGGAAAGCAGCCAGTATTTCACTACTCAGTATAATGTTTGTTACTGTAGGTTTTTACAATGTTCTTTATCACACTCAGGAAAGTTACCTTCTAGTTCTCATTAGCTGAAAATTTTTACTACATAAGGATGCAGAATTTGTCAAGTGCTTTTGCTGTTTTATTGAGACAATGATATGGCTTTTCTCTTTTATTCTGTTAAAGTGATGAATTTCAGTGATGGATTTTCATATATTGCACCAACTTTAATTCTGGAATCAACCTACTTGACCTTGATGTATTATCCTTTCTATATTGCCGCATTTGGTATGCTAACACTTTATTATGAATTTTTGTGTTTATATTCATGAGAGATATTGGTCTGAAATTTTCTTTTCCTCTATATTTTTGTTGCATATTGGTTTCATGGTTTTCTGGTCTCATAAGAGGAGCTGGGAGTGTCAATCAGAGTTCCACCAGAGAAAGAACCATAGGACATATGTATATATGTATAATATATGTATATCCAAGTGTGTGTGTGTGTGTGTGTGTGTGTGTGTGTGTGTGTGTGTGTGTGTGTTTAGCTAGGCAGGTGGACAGACAGAAAGATAGGTAGACTATAAGGAATTGGTTTATCCAATTGTGAATGTCGGCTAGTCAAGTCAAAAATTTGTAGGGGAGCCCATCAGGAAGGGCAGGCTGGAAACGCTCAGGCAGGAGCTGAAGCTTCAGTCCACTGGCAGAGTTTTTTTGTCCTCAGAGGAACCTCAGTTCTGCTTTAGGGTCTTTCGACTGATTAGGTTAGGCCCACCCAAATTATTGAGGATAATCTCCTTTACTTAAAGGCAATTGGCTGTAGATGTTAAATCTATAAAATATCTTCAGAGCAACACTTAGATTAGTGTTTGATTGAATAATTGGGAACTATTATTTAGTAGAGTTGACACATAAAACACCATCAAGTCTACCCCTTGTCAGCTTAGCTCCCATAACGCCTTAAACCATACTCAGTTTCCAAATAAAGAAAACAGCAAAGCCATACTTCCATCAAACATTATACAACTATCCTGTATATATATATATCCAATAATGCACAGATCTTTCCCCCAGTGAAGATGTGAAGGCATTGGGTGATGTTCACTCTTCTCTATGATATCCAGTAACTTAAATACTGTGGTGTAATGTTAACTATTACTAATACATGTTATAGTAGATGATCTAGGGCTAAGACAGGGAAGAAAACAAAAATGTTTAAAATATGTATTAAATTAGATATATACATACACATCTATTATGACAAAATAAGAGATATAACAATTACAATCCTTGTTTCTGCAACTTGTCATATAGTCATAGCTGTTATTTATAACTACCTTCTTCCATGACCATTTCCATATTACTTTTACCTGTAGCAAGCACTTCAGCTGGTTGTAGTCTTTGCCTGGTGAAGTGACCCAAACTCTCATTCGTGAAGGAACTGGGGCATTAGCAGTCCTGCTTGAGTTGAGTTGTCGTGGTTTCCCACTGACTTCAATCTTAGGAAATGGTAGTTGTCTTAGCTGGGGCTGCTAAATCAAAATACCAAAAACTGGGTAGCTTAAAGAACAGAAATTTATTTCTCACATTTCTGGAGGCTGAGAAGTCCAAGATCAAGGGACTGGCTGATTTGGTTCCTGTTGAGGATCTTGCCCTGGTTTGCAGATAGACACCTTGCTGTACCTTCACATGGCAGAGAGAGATCGATCATCTCTCTTATGTCTCTTCTTATAAAGGCTCTAATCCCATTTATGAGGGCTCCACCTCCATGACCTAATTACCTCCCAAAGTGTCCACCTCCAAATACCACCACCTTGGGGATTATGGACATATGAATTTTAGGAGGACACAAACATTCAGTCTATAGCAGTAGTACTAAGAGACATCCTAAAGGATCTCCTTTATTCTAGACATGCTGTTCTTTACCTCAGTAGTGTAGTACCAGTCCAATTTTTCCTTGATAGGACCAGTAACCCCAGTCAGTACAGTAATCTTCTTCTTTGCCTGTTGACTCAGAGTTATGAGGATCCCAAAGTGGCCAGATGACAGTCATAACTTCCAGTTCAATTAAATCATTCTTGTGTTTCCTGGTGGAAACATTTCTACGTTTAAAAACAAGATTTCTAGACCAGCAGACCACAGGGTCACAAGAATGGGAAGCAAAAGTCTTGCAAGTAGAGCTGTAGAGGTAATAGTGACTGGTGCTATTTCCTCCCATTGATCCCTGGACCTATGAATTTTGACTGTGGGAGAAGGAACACCACACATTGCATGCTGATTAAAAGCATATACAGCCTCCTGGAGGATATTACCACAGTCCTGCAAGGTATTGCCACCTGGCTGGCATCATAACTGAGTTTTCAAGAGGCAATTCTGCCATTCTATCAAGTCAGGTGCTTCAGAATGGTGGAGAACATAGTAATACCCGTGAATTCCATAAGCATAGGTCCTTTGCTGTCACAGGATATTTAGGGTGTCACTCTGCCAGCCAGAAACCTCTGTGGCTGGTGGCATCTCTGCTTGGGTTTTGCTCATCCCCCCTGGGCTCGTTCTGCCCACTTGGCCTAGCAGGCTGCAGTGGCTTGCACTACTGGCCCAGATCCCATGCCTGCCAAGGGTGAGCCAGGCATGGAATGATGAGGGATGTGTGAGCGAGCAAGCACAGGATCCAGCCACTGTGCACAGCCAGGCATGATGGCTGAGGGAGGGTGGGCAGCTCCAGGCACCAGCACAGGTGCCCATATCTGAGCAAGGCTGTGGCTGGACCAGGCATACCGCAAGCGGCTTCTGCTACAGGCACCTGGGAATGCGGTAGCACCTAAAAGCTCAGAGATGCCAGGAACATCAGAACCCCAAAGAGGGTGTTACAGCATGTCACATCCCAGACTCAGGGACCCCTGAGATCTGAGCCCCCAGAAAAGGCTGCAGCTTTTCTCTCCTTCTCGCTGTCTGCAGCATGGCGAGCAGTGCAGGGGTGTGTTTATGGGGGGGGGCATGTTTCGGCCCATTTGTGTTACATCTCCTTCAGTCCTGCTGCCCCACTCCAACCTGCAGCTCCTGGACTGGCCTGGCCCTGCCACTGCTTCCTGTCATGTAGGGTGGCCACCCAGCACTGGCCGAGGGCAGGACGGCTATAGTGTTACAGCAGCTCTGGCTTGGGGAACCCTGACGTCTGGGCCCCAGAAGGGTTGCCACTCTTCACTCCTGTAGTCTGGGAGGATGTCACTGCCTGCAGCTCAGCAAGCCAGCCAGGAATGTGTCACAGCCACTTTTGCTCCTGCCATTCAGTGGGTCCTGAGCTCTTGTCCCGTGTCCAGGAAGAATGAGGTTATGCAGACAACTGAAGGGTGAGCAAGGTGGAAAGGAGCTTTATTGAGTAACAGAACAGCCCTCAGGAGACCCGAAGTGGGTAGCTCCTTCCCAAAGGCAGGTCATCCCTAGGAGTGTCTGAGTCTGGCTGAGATTGGGGTTTTAATATGCTCAGAATGGAGTAAGTGCATGCTGATTGGTCCGTGGGCAGCCATGGGAGGGCCTGGAAAAAGCACTATTTAATTGACCTAAAGGAATCAATTAAATTCTCACCTGGGTGGTGGACTCCAGCAGGAACTGGCAGCCTGGCCCCTGTGCTTTAGGCAGTCCCTAGCTTGAAGGTGGGGTTTCACCAGGGACCTGCCCCTTCCTACCTAAGAACCTGTCTGCCTCCCACCGCCAATAACATGCCATCTGCAGTGCCCAGGCTGTCTGTGCTGAGGGGCACTTGCAGGCCCTTGCCAAGCTGCCCTCAGCACCCCCCCACCTCCATCCCTGAGCTTGTCAGTGCCCAAAGTTTCAGAAGGAGCTAAGGCAGTGGGTGGGAGTGCTGGCGTGTCAGTGCCACCCCAAGTGTACGCACACCCAGCTGGGTCATGACAGTGCCTGGGCTCAGCTACAACCATGCTCTGCACCAGAATAGGCGCCCAGAGTGGGGAGAGGCCAGGGAGCAGGAGCAGGCACTTTTGGACCTGCAGGGGCAGGGAGCTTCCTGGGCCTCCAAGAGCTCATGGATGCCTGGGTCATGGGCAGCAGCTGGGCAGGGGCAGCTGCAGCTGCACCCGGGAGCGTGGGCTCCTGCTCCACCAACTCGGTGTGGTGTGGGGCTCCTGGTGGGACCATCTGTTCCTGGACCCTGCCGGCTCCACAGAGTGTACAGCCCTGGCCCACGCCTCTCCCACTGTAGCTGGCATCTCCACAGCAGCCCCTCCAGATGAGCCACCACCACCATCATTGCCACACTTAATTTGTTGTGAAGTGAGTTTCTTGGTCAGAAGCAATGCTGTGTAGAATACCATGATGGTGGATATGTCGTTTTTGTAAGACCATGGATGATAGTTTTGGCAGAATCACTGTACACGAGGAAAGCAAATCCATATCCAGATTATTTATTCTGGTAAGAAGAAATCACTGCTCCTTCCATGGTGGAAGTGGTCCAGTGTAGTCAACTTGTCACCAAGTAGCTGGTTGCTCACCCCAGGAATGGTGCCATATCAAGGACTCTGCTGCTGGCCAATTGAGTACTCAGCGGTAACTGTATCCAGATTAGCCTTGGTGAATAGAAATGCCATGTTGCTGATTCCATGCATAACCTCTTTCTATGCTACCATGGCCACTTTGTTCATGAACCCTTTGAGCAATGGCATGAGTGGCTGGGAAAAGAGACCGACTTGCATCCACAGAAAGAGTCATTCTATGTCCTTAATTATTAAAATCTTCCTCTGCTGAGGTCATCCTTCAGTGAGCATTCATATGGGACACACATGTCTTCACTTTCTCTGCCCCTTCAGAGAAGACTACTCCCATACCTCTTCCTCAGACTTTTCTTGTCACCAATTTTCCATTCATGTTACTTATAAGTCCCTTCCCATCCAGCCAGATCATTTGCCATAGCTCATGAATCAGTATAGACTCATATCTCTGACCATTTCTTCTTCTAAGCAAAATGAACAACCAGGTGCAGTGCTCAAAGTTCTGCCCACTGGGAGAATTTCCCTTCACCACTGTTTTTCAGGAATGTCACAGAGGGGGCCTGTAGTGCTGCAGCTGTCCACTCTCAGGTGGTGGCTGCATTTCATGCAGAACAATCTGTAAACCAGTCCTGAGGTTTCCCTTCCTCAGTCAACTTATTGTAGGGAACTCCCTATGAGGTCATAGAGGTGGGATGGGAGAGACAAGGTAGCATAGCAGGAGTTGGGGCCGTAGGCATTTGCACCACTTCTTCACATAACTTACTTGTGCCTTACTCAAGCCTGATCTCGTATATACCACTTCCATCTGATGATGGAGTGCTGCTGAGCATACCCAACTTCATGGATTGGTGGGTCAGATAACTCCTAGTTCATATTGGGAAGCTCAGGTTGCATAGATAGTAACTTGGTGGCCCATGGTTAAGCATTCAGTCTCTACTAAGGCCCAGTAGCAGGCCAAAAACTGTTTCTCAAAGAGAGAGTAGTTATCTACAGGAGATGGCAAGACTTTCCCAAAGTTTTAAGAGTCTGTTGTGATTCACCTATACAGGCCTGTCAGAGGCTCCAAACAGCACCTCTATCAGCCATTGACACTTCAAGCATCATCAGATCTGCTAGATCATAAGGCCTAAGTGGCGGAGCAGCTTTCACAGTGACCTGGACTACTACAGAGCCTTCTTTTGTTCTGGTCCCACTCAAAACTAGCTGCTCTTCAGTTTCAGTTGGTAAATGGGTCAAAGTAGTGCACTGAAGTGAGGAATATATTGCCTGCATTATCCAAAGAGACCCACTAGGTATTAGCCTTTTTTGCCATTGTAGGAGGGGCTAGATGCAACAAATTATCCTTCACCTTACATGGTGAAGGATACCCCACACTATTGGACCCATAGAAATTTCAGTGAGGTGGAAGGTCCCTGAATTTTTGTCAGATTTATTTCCACCTTCTGACACTCAAATGTCTTACCAATAAGTCTAGAGTAGTTGCTACTTCTTGCTCAGTAGCTCCAGTGAGCATAATATCATCAATGTAATGAACTAGTGTGATATGTTTTGGAAGGGAAAGATAATCACATTACCCATGTACTAAATTATGACATAGACCTGGAGAATTGATATATCCCTGAGGTAGGACAGTGAAGGTATATTGTTTACCATTCCAGCTGAAAGCAAACTGCTTCTAGTTGTCCTTATTGACGGGAATAGAGGAAAAGGCACCTGCCAGCTCAATAGCTGCATACCAGGTACCAGTGGATGTATTAATTTGCTCAAACAATGAAACTACATCTGGAACAGCAGCTGCAATTAGAATCACCGTCTGGTTAAGATTACGGTAATTGAGTGTCATTATCCAAGATCCATCTGATGTCTGTACAGTCAAATAGGAAAGTTGAGTGGGGATGTGGTAGAAATCATTACTCTGCATCTTTAAAGTCCTTGATGGTTGTAAGATTGTTTTCTTAAATGTTTAAGAGAAATTTTTGTAAAAAATTTCAGGCCCTACCTGGGCCTGAAGTTACCTTTGTGGAAGTTTTAAATTACAAATTCAATTTCTTTAATAGGCACAGGACTAGTAAAATTTTTCTCTTTATTTTTGTTTTTCTTTTGGCAATTGGAGTTTTTTAAAGAAATTTTTCCAGTACTTCTAAATTGCCAAATTTATTAGCATGAAAATTTTGTCATACTGCCTTATTCTCTTTAAATGTCTGTAAAATCCACAGTGCCATCCTCTCTTTCATTCTTTTGTTGTTGTTACTTTTTTTTTTTTTTTTAGACAGGGTCTTGCTCTGTCTCCCAGACTGGAGTACAGTGGTGTGATCTCAGCTCACTGCAACCTCCGCCTCCTGGGTTCAAGAGATTCTCCTGCCTCAGCCTCCCGAGTAGCTGGGATTAAGGGTGCCCACCACCACACTGGGATAATTTTTTTGTATTTTCAGTAGAGATGGAGTTTCCCCATGTTGGCCAGGCTGCTTTCAAACTCCTGACCTCAAGTGATCCGCCCATCTCAGCCTCCCAAAGTGCTAGGATTACAGGTGTGAGCCACCTTGCCTGGCTGTTGTTGTTACTTCTTTTTTTCTTTTTTTTCTCTCTCTTTCATTCCTAATTTGAATTATTTTGTATTTTCTCATTTTTTTCTTGATCAATCATGTTAGGGTATTATTACTTTTACTAATCTTTTCTAAGAACCAGTTTTGGCTATGTTAATTTTATTGTTTCTTTGCTTTCTATTTCATTGATAGGTTCTTTCTTGTTTCTTTGTTTCAAATTACTTTGGTTTAGTTTGCTCTTTTTTCTATCTTTAAAAGGTGAAAACAGATTTTTGAATTTAAATCATTCTTATTTTCTAGCATAAGCTAAATTTAAGGCTATAAATTTCCTTCTATGCACTGTTTTAGCTGCATCACACAAATTTTGATGTGTTGTATACCATAATCATTCACTTTGGAACATTTTTAAATGTTCCCTGTGACTTTTCCTTTGACTCTATGAGTTATTTTAAAATGCATTGTTTCGTTTCAAAATATTTAGGCATTTTTCCAGATAACAGTCTTCTAAAAGCGTCTAATTGAATTCCATTATAGTTCCAGAACATGCTCTGTAAGATAGATTTCAATCTTTTGTATTTATTGAGACTTATTTTATGGCCCATCATATGGTCTTTCAAAGTGAACATTACATGTGCTCTTGAGAAAATATGTATTTTCAGTTGTTGTGTGGACTGTTTTCACGATTGCAATTGGGTTAAGTTAGTTTTGTTCAAATTATTTTTATCCACTCTGATTTCTGTATCTCGTTGCTCTACAATTACTGAGAGAAGGGTGTTAAAATCTCCAACCATGATCACTTATTTCTATCTTTAGTTCTGCTTATTGTTGCTTCAAGTATTTTGAAGCTCTGTAATTAGATAAATACACATTTAGAATTGTTATGTCTTTCTGATCAGAACAACACTTTTATCATTAAGAAATGTCCTGGGCTGAGCACAGTGGCTCACGCCTATAATCCCAGCACTTTGGGAGGCCAAGGTGGGCAGATCATGAAGTCAGGAGTTCGAGACCAGCCTAGCCAACATGGTGAAAACCCACCTCTGCTAAAGACACAAAAAATTAGCCAGGCACGGTGGCACGCGCCTGTAATCCCAGCTACTCGTGAGGCTGAGGCAGGAGGATCACTTGAACCCGGGAGCCAGAGGTTGCAGTGAGCTGAGATTGCGCCATTGCACCCCAGCCTGGGCAACAGGGTGAGACTCTGTCTCAAAAAAAAAAAAAAAAAGAAAAGAAAAGAAATGTCCTTTTTTATCTCCTTACCTTTCCTGATGTTAATAAACCACAATTGTTTTCTTATGCTTATTGTTTACATATCTATCTTCTCTATCCTTTCACTTTTAACCTATCTCTGCCTTTATATTTCAGGTTGATCTCTTATGGATAGTATATAGCTGGGTCTCACTTTTTTTTTTCAACTTTTATTTCGGATTCGAAGGATACATGTGTAGGTGTGTTACATGGGTGTATCACATGATGCTGACATGTGGGGTGCAGGTAGTGAGAATAGTGTCCAGTAGCTGGTTTGCAGCCCGTACCCAGCTCCCTCCCTCTCTAGTAGTCCCTAGTGTCTGTCGTTCCCATCTTTACATCTATGTGTACTCAATGTTCAGCTCCTACTTATAAGTAAGAACATGCAGTATTTGGCTTTCTGCTCCTACCTTATTTCACTTAGGATAGTGGCCTCCAGCTGCATCTATGTTGCTGCAAAGGACATGATTTCATTGTTTATTTTTATTTTTATTTTTTTTTATTTATCTTTTTTTTTGTGAGACGGAGTGTCGCTCTGTCACCCAGGCTGGAGTGCAGTGGCTCCATCTCGGCTCACTGCAAGCTCCGCCTCCCGGGTTCACACCATTCTCCTGCCTCAGCCTCCTGAGTAGCTGGGACTACAGGTGCCCGCCACCACGCCCGGCTAATTTTTTGTATTTTTAGTAGAGACGGGGTTTCACCGTGTTAACCGGGATGGTCTCGATCTCCTGACCTCGTGATCCGCCCGCCTCGGCCTCCCAAAGTGCTGGGATTACAGGCGTGAGCCACCACGCCCGGCTGATTTCATTGTTTTTTATGTCTGTGTAGTATTCCATGGTGTGTATGTGCTACATTTTCTTTATCCAATTCACCATTGATGGGTACTTAGGTTGATACCATGTTTTTGCTGTTGTGAATAGCACTGCAATGAATGTATGAGTGCCTGTGTCTTTTTGGTAGAATGATTTGTTTTCCTTTGTGTATATACCCAGTAATGGGATTGCTGGGTCAGTTGGTAGCTCTGTTTTAAGTTCTCCGAGAAATCTCCAAACACGGTGGAATGTTGGCCTGTAGTTTTCTTTTTTTGTTGTGCCTCTGCCAGATTTTGGTATCAGGATGATGCTGGCTTCATAGAATGAGCTAAAGAGGAGCCCCTTCTCCATTTTTTGGTATAGTTTCAGTAGGATTGGTATGAGTTCTTCTTTGTACATCTGGTAGAATTTGGCTGTGAACTCATCTGGTCCAGTGCTTTTTTTGGTTGGTAGGTTTTTTTAAATTACTGATTCAGTTTTGAAATTTGTTATTGCTCTGTTCAGGTTTTCACTTTCTTCCTGGTTCAATCTTGGAAGGTTGTGTGTTTCCAGGAACGTATCCATTTCCTCTACATTTTCTTTTCTTTTTTTTTTTTTTTTGAAACGGAGTCTCGTCCTGTCGCCCAGGCTGGAGTGCAATGGCGCGATCTCGGCTCACTGCAAGCTCCGCCCGCTGGGTTCACGCCATTCTCCTGCCTCAGCCTCCCGAGTAGTTGGGAATACAGGCGCCTACCACTACGCCCGGCTAAATTTTTGTATATTTAGTAGAGACGGGGTTTCACCGTGTTAGCCAGGATGGTCTCGACCTCCTGACCTTGTGATCCACCCGCCTCGGCCTCCCAAAGTGCTGGGATTACAGGCGTGAGCCACCGCGCCCGGCCTTCTCTACATTTTCTAATTTGTGTGTATAGAGGTGTTCATAATAGTCTCTGGGGATCTTTTGTATTTCTGTGGGATCAGTTGTAATGTCATCATTGTTATATCTTATTGCACTTATTTGGGTCTTCTCTTTTTCTTTTTTTGTTAATCTAGCTGGTGGTCTAAATCTTGTTTATTCTTTCAAGAACAAATTTTTAGTTTCATTAATCTTTTATATGGATATTTGCATCTCAATTTCATTCAGTTCTTATCTGATTTTAGTTATTTAATTTCTTCCGGTAGTTTTAGAGTTGCTTTTTTTCTAGTTCTTCTAGGTGCAATGTTAGATTATTAATTTGAGATCTTTCTAACTTCTCAATGATGGCATTTAGCACCATAAACTTTCCTCTTAACACTGCTTCAGCTGCATCCCAAAGATTTTGGTAAGTTGTGGCTCTATTTTCATTAATGTCAAAGAATTTTTTGATTTCTGCCTAAATTTAAATTTTCACCCATGAGTTATTCAGGAGCAAGTTGTTTCATTTCCATGTTTTTGTGTAGTTTTGGGAGATCTTCTTGGTATTGATTTCTATTTTTATTACACTGTGATTTGAGAGTATGCTTGTTATGATTTCAGTATTTTTTAATTTATTGAGACTTGCTTTATGACTGAGCACGTGGTCAATCTTAGAATATGTTCTGTGTGCAGGTGAGAAGAATGTATGTTTTGTGGTTGTTGGGTAGTATTCTGTAGATATCTATTAGGTCTGATATGGTTTGGCTGTGTCCCTACCCAAATCTCATCATTAATTATAGTTCCGATAATCCCCACATGTCATGGGAGGGACCAGGTGGAGACAATTGAATTATGGGGGTGGTTTGCCCCATACTGTGCTCATGATAGTTACTCAGTTCTTATGAGATCTGATGGTTTTATAAGGAGCTTCCCCCTTCACTCAGCTCTCTTCTCTCTCCTGCTGCCCTGTGAGGTGCCTTCTGCCATGATTGTTTCCTGAGGCCTCCCCAGGTTGTGGAACTGTGAGTCCTTTAAACTTCTTTTCTTTATAAATTACTCAGTCTCAGGTGTGTCTTCATAGCAGCATGAGGACGGACTAATACAGTAAATTGGTACTGCAGAGAATGGGGTGCTGCTATAAAGATACCCAAAAATGTGAAAGCAACTTTGGAACTGGGTAACAGGCAGAGGTTGGAACAGTTTGGAGGACTCAGAAGAAGACAGGAAAATATGGGAAAGTATGGAACCTTTCTAGAGACTTGTTGAATGGTTTTGGCCAAAAGGCTGATAGTGATATGGACAATGAAGTCCAGGCTAAGGTGGTCTTAGATGGAGATGAGGAACTTGTTGAGAACTGGAGTAAAGGTGACTCTTGCTATGATTTAGCAAAGAGACTGGTGGCATTTTGCTCCTGCTCTAGAGATCTGTGGGACTGAACTTTAGAGAGATTATTTAGGGTAACTGGCAGAAGAAATTTCTAAGCAGCAAAGCATTCACAAGGAAGCAGAGCATAAAAGTTTCAAAAATTCACAACCTGATGATGTAATAGAAAAGAAAAACCCATTTTCTGGGGAGAAATTCAAGCCTGCTGCAGACATTTGCATAAGAAACAAGATATGTGAGATGTGTGATATGTGAGATTTGATCCTGTCATCATGTTGTTAACTGGTTGTTTTGTAGATTTTATTGTATATTGCTTTATATTGTCTGTAGGCTATGTGCTTAAGTGTGTTTTTGTTGTAGGAGGTATCAATCTTTCACTTACATGTTTAGTACTCTCTTAAGGACAGCTTGTAAGACTGGTCTGCTGATAATGAATTCCTATTGTGTTTGCTTGTCTGAGAAGGATCGTATTTCTCCTTCTCTTATGAAGCTTAATTTGGTGGAATATGAAATTCTTGGTTGAAATTGCTTTTCTTTGAAGATGCTGAAAACAGGTCCCCAATCTCTTCTCTGTGTAAGGTTTCTGCTGAGAGATCTGCTGCTAGCCTGATGGGGTTCTCTAGGTAAGTAATCTGACCTTTTTCTCAGGCTGCCTTTAAGGTTTTTTTTTTTGTGTGTTCACCTGGTGAATCTCATGACCTATGCCTTAGTGATGGTTGTTTTGTATATTATCTCACAGGGGTTCTCTGCATTTCTTGAATTTGCATATCAACCTCTCTAGCAAGATTGGTAAATTTTTCATGGACTTTATCTTCAAAAATGTTTTCCAAATTGCCTACTCTCTCTCTTCTTCCTCTCAAGAATGTCAGTGAGTCATAGATTTGTGCACTTTACATAATCTCATATTTCTCAGAGGTTTTGTTCATTTTTTAAAATTCTTTTTTCTTTATTTTTGTCTGACTGAGTTGAATCAAAGACCAAGTCTTCAATCTCTGAGATTCCTTCCTTAGCTTAGTCGATTCTATTGTTAATGCTTCTGACTGTATTATGAAATTCTTATAGTGAATTTTTCATTTCCAAAAGTTTAGTTTAGTTCTTTCTTAAAATGGCTATTTCACCTTTCGTTTCTTGGATTGTTTTTACTGGATTCTTTGGATTCTATGTATTGGGTCTCAACTTTCTTCTGGATCTCAATGAGCTTCCTTGCCATTTAGATTCTGAATTCTATATCTGACATGTAGTCATTTCTTTTTTTTTTTTTTTTTTTTGAGACGTAGTCTAGCTCCGTCACCCAGGCTGGAGTGCAATGGCGTGGTCTCAGCTCACTGCAACCTCCACCTCCCAGGTTCAAGCAATTCTTCTGCCTCAGCCTCCCAAGTAGTTGGGACTACAGGCATGTGCCACCACACCTGGCTAATTTTTGTGTTTTTAGTAGAAACAGGGTTTCACTATGTTGGCCAGACTGATCTCAAACTCCTGACCTCAGGTGATCTTCCCACCTTGGCCTCTCAAAGTGCTGGGATTACAGGCATGAGCCACCAGTCAGTTCAATCTGGTTAAGAACCATTACTGCGGTGCTAGGGTGCTCATTTGGTGATAAGGGGACAGCCTGGCTTTTTGAATTACCAGAGTTCTTGTACTGGTTCTTTCTCATCTGAGACGGCTGTTGTTCCTTTAACTGTGGTGTAAGTTGAGTATAGTTAGTTGGCTTCATTTCTGGTTGCTTTCAGAGGGCCAAGGCTCTGTACAGGATCTTTATTTGTGGCTGAATTCTTGTCTTAGGTTCACAGGTGCTGTATACTGGCAAAATATTTTTGGTGTTTTAATTAGGGCTGTGATCCAGTACAGTAGATGGCACTAAAGAGTGATGGCTAGCAGATAGGCCCTTAGCCATGTGGCTCTTTTGTATTTTAGCACATTTGCTGTAGTGCTCTGTGGTGGGGCAGAAGAGAGAGATGACTTCCTCACTGGGTTCACTCTTGGGTCTTGGATTAGCCCCCTCCAATCACTGAAGCCACCCCTGTGTTAACTTTGTTAGATGTTCTGGGCCACAGGGCTCCCTTGGGGAAAGGCCATGGCTGACAGACAGCCTACCTGCTTCCTGGGCTGGCCCTGCCGAGGAAGGCATGCTCTGCTCCTGCACCAGCCCACGAACCCAAGCATCTAACCTCTCTCAGTGTTCTGAGAGTGGGGGCTCTTTCCTGACTTGGATACCACCAAGCCAGTGGATCTTCCCTGGCTAGGAGTAATGGGGGACAGGATGCACAGCCTGCCATCCAGGCAGTTCCCTGGGGAACACAGAGCTATGCCCATCCACAGGATTCAGGTTGGGGTGGAACTCCCTGAACCCACACTGGAAGCCCAAGCCAGCAAGACTTGCCTGACTAGGCACAGTGGGGGCAGGGGGAGTCACAAGATCTGCCACCAGTGTGTTTCCCAAGGGAACACAGAGCTGTGCCCACCCACAGAATTCAAGCAGGGGGCACAGTTGCTGTGCTGGAAGCTGAATGGAGCCTTCTCTGGCAAGGAGGAGTGGGGTGGTCGGACTGCCTCCCAGCACCATGACTGTAGCCTCTATTGGCATTATGGCAGCTGGTACTGGGCTGCTCAGGGATTCAGGGACTGTGGGGCTCCCTGTGGTCTTGAGGGGTGCCTCTGCAAAAACTCCAGGTGGCTGGCTGTGTCAGTCTAGAGACTGAGAGGAGGGTGTCAAAGGGCTTCTCTCATTCCTAGGATTGCAAAGGTTCCAGTGGGAAGTGTGGATCCCCCAGGAACTCTTATTGTATCACTCTTTCCATGTGTTAGGAAGCTTCTCCTGGCTCCCCACTAGTCCCAGGTGGGTGGCTGCTCAGAATATTTAGTTCATTTACATGTAACATAATTACTGGTTTTAAGTACACTGTCTCATTATTTTTTTGTTTAGTTGTAGCATCTGTTTTCTGTTCCTGTTTCTCCTTTTCTGACTTCTTTTAAGTTAATGGAATGCTTTTTAGTATTCCATTTCAATTCTCCTACTAATTTTTTTAAAGCTATACGTGTGTGTGTGTGTGTGTGTGTGTGTGTATTGTTGTTGTTGTTTGGTTTAGTGATTGCTCCGGAATTACAATATGAATTCCTAATTTTCACAGTCTCTTTGGAGTAATATTGTACAACTTAATGTAAAATGTGAGAATCTTATCACAGTAAAGTTCCACTTTTCATGCCCTTATCCTTTGTGCTATTCTTGTCATATATTTTGTATCTATCTAGGATATAAATTCTATGATAAAGCTATATAATTTTTGCTTTAAACAGTCTGTGGCCTTTCAAAGAAGTTAAAGGAAAGTGTTAAAAGATGATGTTTTTTATTTATCCACATATTTATGGCTACTAGCGCTCTTGATTCCTTCCTGCAGATTTGAATTTCCATTTGGTGTCATTTCTCTTTAGCCTGAAAAACTTTCTTTAGCCTTTTTTATTAGTGCATATTTGCTGGTGTTCATTTCTTTCCATTTTTATTTATAAAAGTTATTTCAGTCTTATTTATGGGGGATATTTTTGCTTGGTATAAAATTCTGAGTTGATAGTGTTTCTTTTATTAAGTACTCTAAAGATGCCATTCAATTGTCTGCCAGCCTCTAATATTTTTTATGAGAAGTTGGTAATCATATGTGTAATTTCCCCCCATATGTAATTGTCTTAGCCAGTTTAGGCTGCTATAACAAATTCCCATAGACTGGATGGCTTAAACAACAGACATTTATTTCACATAGTTCTGGAGGCTAGGAAGTCTAAGATCAAGGCTCTGGCAAATCTGGTATCTAGTGAGGGCCCACTTCTTGGTTGCTGGTGCTAACTTCTCATTGTATCCTCACATGGCAGAAAGAGAGCAAGCCAGCTTTCTGGCTTCTTCTTATAAAGACACTAATCCCCTCCATCAGGGCTCCACCCTCATGTCCAATGATCTCCCAAAAACCCCATGTCCAAATACCATCAAGTTGGTGATTAGATTTTAACCTATGAATTTGGGAGGAGACACAAACATCCCATCTCTACTAGTAATGTATCTCTTTTTTTCTTGGCTGCTTTTAATATTGTCTCTTTATCTTTGGATTTTAGAGTTTGATTATGATGTTCCCAGATGTAGTTCTCTTTGTATTCATCCTTCTTGGAGTTTACTGAGTTTCTTGGATCTGTAGTTTGATGCTTTTCATCAGATTTGGAGAAATTTTGACTATTATTTCTTCAAATGTTTTTCCTGCTCCATTATTTCTATCATTTTTCCATGGAACTCCAGTTGTATGTATATTAGATGTGATTGTCCCATAGACCACTGAGGTCTGTTCATTTTTTAAGCCTATCCTTTGTCTTCAGAGTGGATGATTTCTATTTATCTCTCTTCAAGTGTATTTATCATTTAATCTGAAGTCTCTAATCTGCTGCTAAACTCATCTGGTAAAATTTTCATTTCATATATGTACTTTCAGTTTTTGAATTTCCATTTACTTATTTTCTGTTTTTCCTGTTTCTCTGCACAGATTCCACATCTGTATACTCATTTTGACTATCTTTTACTTTAAGTGTTTGATCCTATTTGTAGTAGCTGCTTTAAGGTCATAGTCTAATAATTCCAACATCTGGATAATCTTGGATTCTTTTCTTATTTTTTTCTTTATTTCTTTAGTTTGGGTACAGTTTTCTGTTTCTTTGTGTGTCTAGTAAAATTTTATTGTAGCCTGAACATTATAGATGATACATTATAGGAATGCTAGGCTATGTGTTGAGTATTGAGTTTTATTGTGGCTTGTTAAATCACTGGTAGATCTTTTTTGGTTCTGTCAGGCTAACTTTTCTTCTATGTTAGGAAAGATCTATTTTGGTTTTGATTTAGTCCTAGGTATGCTCTTTCTCTGTGATACAGTCCTTACTCCTGAGGTTCCTATTTCTAAGTAGAGACTTTATTCCTAAGGCACCGTTTTTCTGCAATGTTGACTGAATTCTAGACTGGGAAACTCCAATATCTCCCAGCACCACACAACCTCTGGTATTACCATTCACCTTTCAACCTTGCGGCAATCGATCTGTGCTAGGCCTCGTGAAGATTTGACCTGTGCAAGGATCCGTGGTGCATTCTCACTCAGACTTTTGAGACTTCCCCTCTGCACAGTTGCTTCTCTAGCACCCAGGATCACAAATTCCAACTGTTTTAGCAGCCTGGAATCTCTGCCTCACCTGTTCACTCTGCTTTCATTTCATTTCCCTGTGCTGTGGCAAGAATATGTCCCAGGCAGAGAGCGGGGGAAATTGTGGGGCTCATCTCATGTTTCCCTTCTGTCAGGAATTACAGTCCTATGATGCTGATATGGTTTAGACCTGTCTCCTCACCAAATCTCATGTGAAATGTAATCCCCAGTGTTGGAGGTGGGGCCTGGTGAGAGGTATTTGGATCATGGGGGCAGATCCCTCAGAATGGCTTAGCTTCATTCCTTTGGTGATGAATGAGTTCACATGAGATCTGGTTGTTTAAAAGTGTGTGGCATCTCCCACTCTCTCTTTCTCTTACTCCCACTCAAGCCATGTGAGCCGCCTGCTCCCCCTTCACCTTCTGTCATGATTGTAAGCTTCTGTGGCCTCCCCAGAAGCAAATGTTGGTGCTGTGCTTCCTGTATAGCCTACAAAACTGTGAGTCAGTTAAACCTGTTGTTTTTTTTTTTAAATAAATTATCCAGTCTCAGGTATTTCTTTATAGCAACACAAGAGTGGTCTACACAGAAAATTGGTACTAAGGAATGGAGCGTTGCTATGAAGATACCTCAAAATGTGGAAGCAGCTTTGGAACTGGGTAATGAGCAGAGATTAGAAGAGTTTGGAGGGCTCAGCAGAAGAAGGGAAAATAAGGGAAAGTTTGCAACTTCTTAGAGACTGGTTAAATGATTGTGACCAAAATGCTGATAGTGACATGGACAATGAAGGCCAAACGGATGAGGTCCCAGATGGAAATGAGGAACTTATTTGTGAACTAGAGCAAAGGTCATGTGTGTTAGGCTTCAGCAAAGTGCTTGGCTGCATTCTATTCATGCTCCAGGGATCTGTGGGAGTTTGAACTTAAGAGTGATGATTTAGGGTATCTGGCAGTGGAAATTTTTAAGCAGCCTGCAGAACTGTGAGCCAATTAAACCTCTTTTCTTATAAATTATTCAGTCTCTGTATTTCTTTATAGCAATGCAAGAACAGCCTAATATAGATGACTGTTTTTCTTTTTCCAAAAACAATGGCCTCGTATATTTTGTTCATTGTTATAGTTTATTTTAGTGGGAAGGAAAGTCAGGTGTCCATTATTCTGTCATTGTGGGACGCTAAAGTCTCTGAACACATTATCTTAAAACTATTTTTGAAATATGGTTAAACACACACACACACACACATACTTGCTTGTATGTGATGCTTGCCAATGAGAAGACAAAACTTCTATAAAGAAAAATATGGTTATCTGTGATCTTCTTTAATAAATATTTTTAAAATATTGCAATTGAAAATGTAACACCATTAATTCACTCATCAAATAGCTAAGTAGAGTCTACATTTTGTATTTCTTAAAGATAAAATCAGTTCCACAAATATTCTTGATAACCCATTTATAAGGCTCTGAAAGTGGCATAAAGAAAATAAGGCAGGGCCTGAGATCAAGAGGCTTTTGTTGTATCAGGAAAGACAGGTCACACATAGAAAACGAGTTAAATATGAAGGCAAGGCAGAATATGATTATATACTAAGCCTGGTCGGAACAAATAGATGAGGCAAGACTGGCTTACCTTCCCCTTCTAGCTGGAGGGGCACCTCTGCATCAAACACGATTCCCCACACACACCCAAGTCACAGAAGCTGGACTAAAATCGGATGCCTAACCCAAAGGGTACCAACCTATAGATAGGGCTTAACCAGTGAGATTTCCCACTAAGGATTTGAATTAAGAGGCTCAGAGATTGCAGTCAGTTGGTAGTAGATGTTTGGCCAGTAAGATCATGTCGAGTTGGCAATGGAATGGGCACTAGGTCAAGCCAAAGTCATGGCCAAGTTGTGGCTATGAAGGAGTAAGAACCATAGGTGAGCAGTCTTCAGAGAGACTAGGGTAGATACACCAAGAGAAATAGCAATATTCCAGAGGCAGAGGGAAAACTATAGAATTCTACCTGAGAATTTTCCAGTTCAGTCTTCTTTGTGCTTCTAATATTAAATTCCTATAATAGTCTACAGTATCCTTTCAATAACTCTCTTTTTACTTGAGATGGTTTTAGTGTTTGGTTTTCGTCTCATATAGTGAAATACAGTCTAACTAGAATCACGGTTTAGGTGAAAAGCGCTGTAGGAATTAAGCCAAGATAGAAATTACTCCAGGCTATAGAAGTCAAAGAAGGCTTCATGGAGGAGATCAAACCGAAGGTTCATCTCAAAGAAAAAGCTAGTTTGAAGGGACTAGTGTGTGGGTGACCTTTGCATGGCTCAAAAATGCCCTTTGTAGTCCATATTATACAAGCTTTAAAAATAAACCACTAACTTAAATTTTGTACTGTGTTCCCATCAGTCATTGACAGTTTCTCCTTTATTTGCTTCCTATGTAAAAGGGTAAACCATCTAGTTCTTTGAGAGGTGTCAAGATTTCAGTATGCTCTGTTTTACTCTCTTTTGGTTTTGTATGTTACACTTCAGGCAAAGAGCTGCAGTCAAAAGTTACAGAAAAGCTGTTAAAACTCCATGGAATTATTTTTATTTTCACTTCATCCTGGCTGATCCTGCTTATATTTATTTATTTATTCCCTGCTTATAAAATGTAGAATCATTGTGGGTAGCACTAGCACTAAATGAGCATTTAGAACGCTAGGCTTTAATTCCAGCTTGGATAATTGCTTTGCTGCTTCCCAGAATTTTGACTCACTTTCCCCATCTGTAAAGAGAGTGAGTATTGAAGTTCTTAGACCTCGCTTCGTGTCAGAATAATGTGTCATTATGGGAACTAATGAGATCATGTTCATAAGAGGATTTGTTTTCTTCATTGTGGTGAAACATCAGAGATGGAAATCCACCCAGCAATTGTTGTCATAATAATTATAGTAAGCAATTAAAAAACATACAACAGCGGTGGTTTTCTACTTTTTCTCTAATTATAAAGAAGATTAGGAAGGGAGAAGGAAGGGGTTGCAAAATGAAAACCAGACTTGCTTTGAATGAGATAGCATCTGACTTTTCCCTGGAGGTAGAGGCAGATAAACAGTCTCCGAAGGAATAATTTCCTAATCCTTTACTCTGCATCACCACAACCTTCTCACTGTCTCCTTTCAGAGGGGACCAATGAAAACAGCTCTGTTCTTAACGAATGCTTTCCTATTTGTTGGGATAAATGGTGACATTTGGTGTAATGGTATTGCAGGTCAGTTTGAATAATTGCTTGCTGTGAAGAGATCCTGAAGCAGAAGACAAAAACTGTAAGCAACACCAGATAGGAACAGTATGAAATTTGTAATGCCCAGAGAAATAAGGGCTTCATTTTGCAGGTTTTGGATGGTCTGTATTTATGTACAGAGAGCATTCTGTTATGTGTTGGGAGAAATACCAGGCAAGGCTGCATGAGTGATAATGTTCCCGGAAGAGAAAAACGAGGAACTAGAAGGCAACCAACTATCATAAAAGTAATTAATTGTTTTACTTTTTAATGGTCTGGCAAGAATGCCTTTTTAAAAAAATGAATCATACAAATGGGACCGTGATGTCAGACAGACTGTCCATTGAGACTTAAGAGACTAGTTCCTGCTGTAAATTATTTTAATGAGTTCATTTCTAAAATGTTTTATGAGGTTGAGAAGTGTGGTGTCAAATTATTTTTCTTAAATCTCTCATCGCTTTAAATGGCTTTCAGAGTACGTTTCAGGGTAACATTTCCTTTCAGAAATTCCTTCCAAGTTTAGTGGCTGTTGTTTTACCAATCAGGTCTTTCTCCAAGGATGGTTTTAGTGCACGATTTTTCATGACTCAGCTCAAAATGAACAAGACCTCATTGTTGGCTTTCTTGTTTTTGCACCAGCATTATTGACAAGATCTGCATAACTCTTGGAAAAAGGTCTGTTGTCTAACCAAGCTACTATGGAAACCTGATCCAGGCCATTTAGAAGCCTGATGCCTTTTCCTCTTGAATTTGTGAAGAAGTTTGAGACTGGTCAAAGTTCCCTTAGAAAATATTCATCAAGGCAGAGGAACACAGCTTGTTCACTGCATTTCACTTTTCATCTTAAATAAGCTTTGCAAATAGACTCACTGGCCCAGGGTGAAGGGGGCACTGCCGAGAGGGCATTATAAAGCATGAAGATTTCACTTATTTTGTTCCTTATGTTCTGACTAGGCAGGAGCAGGGAGGAGCAACAGCTTGGCTTATTTTTTTCTTTTTCTTTTTTTTTTAAGCACACTCACGAAAGTGATGGTTGGAAAAATATTGTAGATGCCTGCTCTACATCAGTAAATAATTCTATATTCATTAGAAGCATTCAAGCTTTACCTCAAACATGCAGGTTCTAAAGAGAAGCCCAGAAATGCAGTCTACACTCCGCTCTCCCTTAAGAATCTTCCTTCCCCCGCTCCTTTCCTTAAATACCAAATTGAAAAAGAACAGAACACTTGAGGAAGATGAAGAAAGAGTCCATGCATCACCTTGGGAGCCTACTCTGCCTTATATAGAGAGAAGCACTAGGAATGACCTAAGCTGTGTCTAGTCAAGGGCTTTGCTCAATAAATTCTCCAGGCCACTTCCTTTCTTTGTTTATTGCCAAGTATTCTGAGGTCTTAAAAGGGTAGAGGGAGACTTCACTTCCAGTATCTTTAGGTATAAATCTTATCCCAGTAAAACAAGGCTTGCACAATTTATAATGTGGCTATTCATCACTATTTATGATTCATATGTACTTAACACTTTATGATGACTCTGACCACAGCCGTCTCTCATGGAACATATGCCAGAGGAGTAGAGCCTTGGGGATGTCTCCTGTTAATATTGACAGGATTCCTTACTGCATGACAACTGGGAACTGAGTGTCTGTGAGTGAGCGATGGCCTCCTTCTTGAGATTGATGTGTATGATGTACCTGTGGTGTGCTTGGTAGGGTACAGAACCTGAGGAGATCACAGTTTTCTTTCATCCTTCCTAGAGGTGATGATAATATGACCCCACCATTATCTGGGGTAAATGGGATAACTCACAGACTCTACCCCTAATTCTTGTCAATATTTCAAACTCTTTTTCCTGCCAGATCTTTTATGCAAGGTGGAAAATCACTGCTATTGAGGTTTGTCTTTCTCCACTCCTTTGCTCAAGTTATGCAGATCTTGTCAATAATACTGGCACAAAAACAAAGCAAGTGAAAGAGTTTGAATAGTCTGATGCTGGATTATCCTCCTTCAGTGAGCAGGAACCGCAGTCATTTCTGTACCAGAGGGTACAGCTGTTGCTGGGGTGCAGTTTGGCCTTTCTCAGATTTCCCTGAGGAGGAAGAAGTTTTCCCCCACAGTTTCCTTTATAGACTCTAAGCCATTGGTTCAAAGGTTTTCGAGAAGGTGGTCAGATTCCTGGCAGACTCAATGAGAGGCAGATTCTGGGTCTGGGGGAAAAACTATTGTATTATAAAATATTAGATCATTAACTATCAATCACCAAATTTTATTGGGTACCTACCAGGCACTGTTTTAGATGCTTGGGATACATCACTGAACATAAGAGACAAAAATTCCTGCCCTCATGGCGCTTACATTTGAATGGGAACAAACAATAAAAACAAAATAAATAAGTAAGTAAAAAGGCAAGGGATATTGGAATGTTGGAAGGGTACAGTTCTGATTGTAAGCAGTGCTGATTAACCAGGGTGGCCAAGATAGATCTCCTCAAAGAGTGAAATTTGAGGAAACAGTTGAAGGAGTTGAGAGAGTTAGCCTCAGAGATATCTGGAGGGAGAGCATCCAGATGGAAGGGACAGACCAGACAAAGGCCTTAGACAAGAGACTGCTGGTGCATTTGAGGACAGCAAAAAGGCCCTGCAGCTGGAGCACCGTGAGTAATGGGGAGAGTAACAGGAAAGGAGGTCAAAGGCAGTAGGGTGGGACACAGCAGGTAGAGAGTTGTGAGCCATCATAAGGACCTCAGCTTTTACTCTGCGTGAGATGGTCAGCCACTGGACAGTTTGAGCAGAGCAGTGACATGACCTGACCTTTTTAAAGGGTCATTCTAGTCGCTGTACTAAAAATAGGCTCTGGGAGAATGAGCAGAGAGACCAGTTAGAAGGATGAGGCAATAATCAAGGTGACAGATGATAGGGTGCCTCAGAGCAGAGTGGTAGGAATGGCAGAGGAGAGAGAAAGGGAGGACTCTGGATATGTTTTTAAAGCTAAATCCAAAAGGATTTCCTGATGGGTGGGTGAGTGAGTGAGTGAGTAAGTGAGTAAATGTACTCTAGTTCCAGACAGTACTATGATAAGCCTGAGCGGGCTTATCACCACCATAGTGCTTCATGATGATCTCATTCAATTTCTCCCAACAACTATTTGAGATACAGACTGTTTTCATCCATTTTACAGATGAGGAAACTGGGGCTTAGAAAAGTTAAATAGTTTTCCAAGGTCACACAGGTCGGAAGGGGTATATGATTTGAATCTAGGTGTGGGTGACCCAGGCTCCATGCTCAAAAACAGAAGTTGGCAACCTCTTTCTGTAAAGTGACAGAAAATGTGTTTAGGCTTTGTGGACCATGTAGTCTCTGTCCCAGCTTCTCTGTCACTGTACTAAAGCAGTCATAGGCAATATATAACCACCAATGAGAATGGCTGTATTCCAGTAAAACACTTAATTTACAGACACTGAAATTAAAATTTCATATAATTTTCGTGTCATGAAATATTATTATTCTTTTGATTCGTTCCAACTATTTAAAAGTGTAAACACCCTTCTTAGATTGTAGCTCATTAAAAAACAGGCAGTGAGCTGGACTCGGCCCTGGACCATAGTTGTCAATCCCTGCTCTAAAAGATAAAGTCCCTTACCTGATAAGCTTAAAACCTAGAATTTTCCACACACCATGTGTCACCTAGATTTTGATCCTGATAACACTGAGATTTAGAGATAAGGAAGCTGAGGCCCAAAGGGGCTATCACTTGTGAAAGCCACAGAGTGAGAGTGACTGACTGATCTGCTGAATGCTCCTGTGGGCTTCCCGGGGTCATTGCCACGTTTCTTGTTGTTGCTTGCTTTCTGCAGAGCACTGAGGGCAACAGCCAGGAACATCATCAGGGTCCATGCTGGCCTTCAGTGTGCTTAGCTCAGGATCCCCCACTATACACTCTTGAGACCAGAAAGGAAAACAAACCCTGGGCTTGAGAGGAAACTTAAAGAGGACATGTAAGGGATTAATCACACACCTTTCAAGAGACTTAGCTCCCAGCTTCTGAGCCAAACAAAATAATTGTCTGCTGCCAGGCTCTTTGCTTTAAATATAGCTGTCTCAGTGTATTCCTTCTCCCAAGCTCAGACAGTCCTCCTAACTGGGAAGACAAGCATGCCTCCTACATATGGCATTTCTGGCCATTTGTGTCTGTGACAGTCTCTCAGCCCAGGAGTGGTGCAGGACCTGCCACATCAACTGTATTTGTCAGATTCCTTTGAGAATCTGCCTGTGAAGCCCCGGACAAAAAGAGCGCTCATGTGATATTTGGTTCCACGTTAACTGTGAGTCTTTAAACTAACACATATTATAATTTTTGAAGCACTTTTGAGCAAAACTGATTTAAAACATCGGTCAAACAAATGTAAAAAGTACGGCGAGCCTCCTACAGCCTTTAAAGGGGAATGTAGGAGTTAAAAGAGCATCCCAGAGAAGGAGGAGGATGGTGTGTGTGAGGTCAATGGCCTGCTCCTTTTAGAAGTTGTCCCTCGAGTGACCTCTGAATGAGGAGCAGACCACATGCTGCCTGCGCCACAGCACAGGTGAATGGACCCAGGGAGGGCAGCTGCCCATCAGGTGAGAAGTTAGAGACTAGGAGCCGCTGGCCAGGCCTGCAGAGATGATCTGAGACCATTGGTTCCTCTTTTGATAAACTGAGACTGAGAGAGCCAATAGAGAGGTGATGAGGCAAACTCAGAGCTGGGACTATCATGTGGCATGGTACAAGCCGAAGTTCAAGGAAACAGGTAGCCGATGAGAGGAGAAGGTGTGCAATGTGGTAATGGCACAGTGCTGGAAGCAAGATCTTCCCTGCCCTGGCAGCTCTCTCTAGTTCCTGCCTCCAGGATGCCAGGCCCTACCAAGGAGGCTGTCAACATTCCCTTTGTTTTGCTTTGTTTTGTTTCTTTGTGTGTGTGTGTGTGTGTGTGTGTGTGTGTGTGTGTGTGTGTGTGTGTGTGTGTGTGTTTGTTTGTTTCTTTTGAGATGGAGTCTTACTCTGTGGCCCAGGCAGGAGTGCAGTGGCACCCTCTCAGCTCACTGCAACCTCTGCCTCCTGGGTTCAAGCGATTCTGCCTCAGCCTCTGGAGCAGCTGGGATTACAGGTGTGCATCACCATGCCCAGCTAATTTTTGTATTTTTAGTAGAGACAGGGTTTCACCATGTTGGCCAGTGTGGTCTTGAACTTCTAATCTCAAGTAATCCGCCCGCCTCAGCCTCCCAAAGTGCTGGGATTACAGGCGTCAGCCGCCGTGCCCGGCCTCTTTGTGGTTTTTTTTTCAGACAGAGTCTGGCTCTATCACCCAGCCTGGAGTACAGTGGCACAATCTCAGCTCACTGCAACCTCTGCTTCCCGGGTTCAAACGATTCTCCTGCCTCAGCCTCCTGAGTAGCTGGGATTACAGGTGCCTGCCACCATGCCCGGCTAATTTTTTATATTAAAGACCATGTTGGCCAGGCTGGTCTTGAATTCCTGACCTCAAGTGACCCACCCACTTTGGTCTCCCAAAGTGCTGGGATTACAGGCGTGAGCCACCACGCCTGGCCGATATTCCTATTCTTGGATTTCTGTAAGATTCTTCCTATTAAGTTGAATCCCCTTTACCTGAGCTTGCTTGAGTGAGTGTTGCTGTCGACCAGACGAATCATGACTAAAACATCCATTCAGTCATTTGTTCACTCACTCAGTCAGTATTTGTTTCTAAGCTCTGGGAATCCAGCAATGAACAAGACAAAGTCGCTGCTCCTATGGAGCTCACATTCTAGTGGGAAGATGAAGATATTAAATAAACAGGTGAATATATACTATATCAGTCACTGGTAAGTATGATGAAAGAATGTGGGGAATCACGGAGGAGTGAAGGAAATGACAAGTTCTCACTGATGAGGTGAGATTTCAACAGAGACCTTAGGAAGTAGAGGAGCCAATCCCACAAATACTTGGGGGAAACATTCCAGGCCCAAAGCACGGTGAATGCAAAAGGAGACAAATGCTTTCATGTGTGTGAGATCAGCCAGGGCACCCATGTGGCTGGGATGGGCTGACTGAGTGAGGGTAAAAGCAGTGGAAGATACATCAGAGAGGCTGGAGGAGGTTTTGGATTATTATTATTCATTCAACAACCTTTACTGAACCCTACTATGTGCCAGGTATCCTGACAGTTCCTGGAGCTGGGAATTAGGCTACAAGTATCTTCTGTCTTCAAAGGCTCTAAATAAATTTCGCTCCAGCCATGTGACACTAAAATAATCTGCGGCTTGTACTTTGGTACTTGGAAAAGGAAACAAGTGCATTAGGAGAGATAAAGCAATTGAGTGATTCACTTACTTACTGGGGCCAGTGTGTCACATGGAAAAAAAAATACAGAATTGCAGAATTGAAATGGGATGTTAAAGTTTTCTCTTTTTTTTTTTTTTTTTTTTTGAGACGGAGTCTCGCTGTGTCTCCCAGGTTGGAGTGCAGTGGCGCGATCTCGGCTCACTGCAAGCTCCGCCTCCCAGGTTCATGCCATTCTCCTGCCTCAGCCTCCCAAGTAGCTGGGACTACAGGCGCCCGCCACCACGCCCGGCTGATTTTTTGTATTTTTTTTTTTTTAGTAGAAACGGGGTTTCACCGTGTTAGCCAGGATGGTCTCGATCTCCTGACCTCATGATCCACCCGCCTCGGCCTCCCAAAGTGCTGGGATTACAGGCGTGAGCCACCGCGCCCGGCCTAAAGTTTTCTTTATCTTCTTCAGCCCCTGCCTCTGTGAGGGAGTGTCCTCAGGTTGCCCCAGAAGTGCAGCCCTCTCTCCTTTGCTTTGAGAAGATCCAAATGAGGCATTTCCTTAGCTTTCTCTGGAAGTGCCTTGCATAAACCCAACACATTGAACCTGTGCAATTCTGCGTGAAAACATAAAGGCTTTCTCCCACAATGCTCCGCTACTACCAAAAATGTCACCAGGTGACCCAGTTCCTTCATTCAGATGTTATTTTTAGTGAATGTCAGATACAGGAAGAGTATCATTATGAAGCCGAGAACAAATCCCCTGCGTGTGCCTCCTCTTTTCATCGGCACCACCCGTGCCAGAAAAGACTGACACTTGGCCAGTCTTGCACAAGAAGATGATATCCGATTAGAACCCAAAATACTTGTGCTTCAGCCAAAGGATGACTCTGTCTTTTCTCTTCCAAAGAAAATCAAAACTGTCCCCAAATTAAGTTCCTAAATGCGTAACAACTCTGCTAAGTAATGGACTTGAATGTAATTTATCTTTCCCCAGAGACAGAAATACCACTAATAACTATAATTTGGATACAACTGCTTCCCAGATTTACAATCAGTCTAACAGATTGTATTTGTTTCTGTGTCTTCTATGAAAAGTCCAAACTTTGACCTGTGATCCCATAAAGAAAAATGCATGAAAGTGGAATATTACCAAATCTCCCACTGTGTTCTTGGGATAGACAAATCGCTGGTCACTCTTGTCTGCTGTTCTGCTACTGGGGGCTGTGTGTGTGTGTGTGTGTGTGTGTGTGTGCACGCATATCAAGGCATGTGAGTGTATTTGTGTGGTGCATGTGCCTGTGTGTGTGTGTGTGAGAGAGAGACTGTGTATATGTAGGATTTGGAGCATCTACGTTAGAAATCTGCCTTCTACTCATCCTAGTGAATTTCCATTTTCTGTTCCTTTGCTCTTGCAAGCTAAGAAAGGCAAAAAGAAAGTTTGCTCAATTGTCAGAAACACGGATTTTTGCCATCTGTTTGCCAGGGTACAAAAAATGAAATTGCTCAAGTTAACACTTAGGATTTGATGAAGGCAATTGGTTCCTTTGGATAAAGTACATGGTTAATTCGATCAGAGCACAGGTTCAATCCTTTATGTGCCACCTAAAGTCAGGGATGAAACCAGCTTAACAGTCAGTATTTTTACCACCTGAACTTCAACTAGCTGTCCTCGAAGTGTTTGTGGGCCACATTTAGGAAGCCACACTGAGTTTGGCTCCATGAAAATTACGAGGAAATCGATCCAAGGTCTGGCCTTGCCAATGTGAAATACTGTCTATATGATATACCAATTAAGTGACATAAGAATGCCAACACCAGTGTTTATGTAAATATAAGGAACTCCACATCTGTAGACAAATGTCTAATTTTCAGTATGATTATTTTTATACCCAGCAGAGCCTAGTGGTTAAGATCTTGAGCTTCAGAGTCACATAATTTTTACTTCAGAATCCTTCTTCACTTCTTACTGGCTGTGGTCACCTTGGACAAATAAGCCTCTCTAAGCCTCAACTTTCTATCTGTTAAATAGAGGTTTCATAAGACTCCGTGCATTATTATAAGGATTATATAAAATGATGCATTTAAAGCTCTTGCCATAATACCCCCTCACGATAAGCATTCAATAAATATTGGCTGTTATCCTCCAGTATTATTGGCTTCTGTGGATAGTAATATGCCTACTGCATCAGGTTGTTGTGAGCTTTAAATGAGATAATCCTAGCAAAGTGCCTAACTCATAGAAAGAGCTCATTAGATGCTGGCCATGATGGTAGTGATGATAATGACAGTGACCAGAGAGGCAAAGTAAGTATCCCAAATTCACACAGCTGGCTAGTGGATGAGCAGGAAATAGAATCTGAGTATAATGTCGCTTCTGCTATAGCATCCCTGTGGGTTAAAGTTTCAGCTAAGGACTGATAGTGAAAATGATTCTACCTGAATCTTTTTTTTTTAAACTCGGAGCCAGCAGACAACTTCTTTTTTGTTATTTTTATTTTTAATTTTTATGGATATATAATAGTTGTACATATTTATGGAATATATGTGATGTTTTGAGAAAAGCATATGATGTATAATGATTAAATCAGGGTAATTGGGATATCCATCATCTCAAGCATTTATCATTTCTTTGTGTTAGGAACATTCCAGTTCTAATGGGAATGTTAGAAATATTCCATTTATTCTAGGTATTTTGAAATACACAGTAAATTACTGTTATCTATAGTCACCCTATTGTGCTACCAGTTATTATTCCCTCTACCTAACTGTATTTTCATACCCATTAACCAACTTATCTTTATCCACCCTCTTCTCCACTTCCCTTCCCAGCCTCTGATAGCCACCATTCTATTCACCATCTCCATGAGATCAATTTTTTTTAGCTTTCACATACGAGGAAGAACATGCAACCTTGTCTTTTTGTGCCTGGCTTATTTTATTTAACATCATGTCCTCCAGTCCCATCTATGTCGTTGCAAATGACAAGACTTCTTTCTTTTTGTGGTGGAATAATATTCCATCGTGTATATATACTACATTTTCTTTATCCATTCATCCATTGATGGACGTTTAGGTTCTTGGCTATTGTGAATAGTGCTGCAATAAACATGGGAGCGCAGGTATCTCTTCGGTAGACTGATTTTCTTTCTTTGGGATGTGTACCTAGCACTGGGATTGCTAGATCATGTAGTAGTTCTATTTTTAGTTTTTTGAGGGAACTTCATGCTGTTTTCCACAGTGGCTGTACTAATTTACATTCCCATCAACATCATACCAAAAATCTTTTCCTTCACATCGTCGGTAGCATTTGTTATTTTCTGTCTTTTTGATAATAGTCATTTTAACTGGAGTGAGATGATATCACGTTGTGGTTTTGATTTGCATTTCCCAGATGATTAATGATGTTGAGCAGTTTTTCATATACCTGTTGGCCATTTGTATGTCCTCTTTTGAGAAATGCAGACAACTTCTTAATATTTGAAGTGATTGTTTCTCTTTACTTTGGGGAGTCCAGGTTTTTCTAGAACCACATTTCCAATGATAGTCTGTTTCTTGTACCTTCCTTCACACCATGAATTAACCACCTTTCCAATTTTCAAGAAAGTTTGTCATTTCTAGAAAGTTATTGAGTAGCACAGCAGTAGAGAACAACAGAGCCACATTAAGATGAGGTTCAAAATGAAAAATTTGTCTCTATCGTAGAACTCACAAGTAGCAGAAATTGTAAAGTATGCCACTGTTAAATCCTCAAATGCCAGAGGTCTCCTCTCCCTATTTATTTTCCATAATATTGTCCTAAGAAAAATCTTTGGAGAATTTGGAGAAAAGCCTGAAATAATTTTTAAGAACCTTAACTTTAAACTGTCTCTTGGTATTCAAGTTTCCCATAAGTTCAAATTTAATCAAATTCATTTTTAAAGGTTTCAATAAAGAGATATGATAAAGGACACCTATTATCATAGTCAATGGTGGAGAGAGAGTTACTGTTTTAATCACAGTAATCCATGATAGTGATTGAGGTGATTGGAGATGGAAAAGCACGTTTCCTCAGTGATCTGAAAGATTTTTTTATTGAACAAAACTCATTTGAAGTTTTAGATATTGTCATAACTTCTCATCATATTTGTTTACACCAATTAATTATTAATTTGGATTCAAGATAAGCCCTTTTCAAAAGCCATTCTAACCTATATTAAACTGGGTCTTACGAAAGACAATAATAGATTTCATAAGTGACAATCCTGGGCCTAAATGTCTCAGAGATTTTGGGAATAATTGCACAGATTTCTCACCTTGTTGTTTTTCTCTTCCTAGTGCAACCTTTCGTTTTTCATAAGAGTGAAAATTATTGAAGACATTATAAATAACAATGGGAGAGGAGGATAATGAGAAGGGTTGAAAGAAAAAAACAAGTTTCTCTCTCTTTTTTTTTTTTTTTTTTTTTTGAATTTTAAGTTCCAGGATACATGTGCAGGATGTGCAGGTTTGTTACATAGTTAAACGTGTGCCATGGTGGTTTGCCGCACAGATCAACCTGTCACCTAGTATTAAGCCCAGCATGCGTTAGCTTAGCTATTTTTCCTGATGCTCTCCCTCCCTCTGACCACCCCTCAAAGAAAAAACAAGTCTTGAGCAATACCAGACACCAATGAAGTAGGTCGTTCCTTACCATGATTAGATGCCAGTGGGATCAAATGAAACCTATCCCTCACGTGCAGGGTGTAATCCATGCAAACCAAACGTTCCTGGAACTGGGGGAGAAGGGAAAGGAGGAGGTGGTATCTCTGGCTCTTGGTTCCTGCTTCAAGCAAAATAGTTTATGGATCATCTAACCATCATGTGTACAGGCCTTTCTCATCGGGTGTTTCCCACACATGAAACTCAGCACCTCTCACTGCTTGCCACTAAGCAAATAAAGCAATGGAAAGCCCTCACTTGAGACATTTGCCTGTATGGCAGACTTTATATAAATATGGGAAAATGGAGGTATTTTATGCCCCCTGAAACATAAACAACTTAAAACTGATTTCAGTACATACCTGAGTTTAAATATCCATTCCTGCCTTCTTAAGTGTTGTTTAGCCTTCTCACTCTTCCTTTTATCTTCTCTCATAAGGACCAGTTTCCTTCCATTTTCTTTTTTCTTTTCTTTTCTTTTTTCTTTTTTTTTTTTTTTGAGATGGAGTCTCACTCTGTCGCCCAGACTGCAGTGCAGTGGCACGATCTCGACTCACTGCAACCTCCTCCTCCCGGGTTCAAGCGATTCCCTTGCCTCAGCCTCCCAAGTACCTGGGACTACAGGCACCCACTATCACACCCGGCTAATTTTTGTATTTTTATTAGAGACGGGGTTTCACCATGTTGGCCAGGCTGATCTTGAACTCCTGACCTCAAGTGAGGCCTCCCAAAATGCTGGGATTACAAGCGTGAGCCATCACATCCAGCCCCTTCCGTTTTCTTATGCGTAACCATTTAGCTTTTCCTTTGTTCTGCTGTCTCCTTCCAGATGCTGTATTTGGTCTATCCAAATGGACCATTGATATGTTTTTTATGCATTCATTTCTTTCAACAAGTATTTATTGAGCACCTACTATGCGCCAGTGCTGACCTAGGCACTGGGTATTCAAAGAGGTCCCTACCTTTATGGAACTTAGCAGTTAGTTCTCTTCACCAAAGGAGTTCTAGTAGCAAGAGTTATTATAGTAATTCTTCTTAAACCTCGCTACGTTATAAATTGGCATCGGAACTTCCTAATTCATCACGGCATCTAATATTCTGTTATCGTCACAATTTTTAAATGTGTTAAGCCCTCATGGGAATATGGCAGTGGGCTATTCATGTCCCAAGTAAGTTTCTTTACTTTAAAACCAACAATGGGAGAACCAGATCCAGAATAGATATTTAAGGTGCTAAACCCAGAGATTATTGCAAACCCTCCTTGAAGACCGGGTCGCAGGCATAGCTGACCTCAAGGCCATGATGATGAAGGAGAAGGTAAAAGAGCCCAGTCATCACTGCTTAGCCTCCTTCTTTGGAAAAAAAATATATATAAAGGAAGTACCCACCATGTTCCTAGGAGTATAGGTCAGAATAAACAGTGCATTGTGGAGGCATGAAAACAGCATTCTTTAAACATGTTTAGGCTTTAAATTAGAGATTCCCAAGACACACAAGAGTGGAACAAGTGTGAGGGCCAGAAGTTTGAATTAGCTCAATGGGAGCCCTTTCTCTTCTCTTACAAGTACCATGCAGGTGCAACTGAAAGGGATTCAATTGGTGACAGCTAGCGACATGCAAAATTAGAGTCTAAGCCAGGAGGCTCTGGTACTTGGGACTGGAAAAGAAGGTCAGCAGTCAATGGGCAGATTGTGCTGGCTTCTTATCAGGGCTCACAAGCTAAATAGTGCAGGACTTGTCCAATATGCAGATGGGGTAAGAGCAGATTCTTGTTTTCTACTAATGGCCTCATAACTACTGTCAAGTGAGAAGCAATAGCAACAGACAGACAGTGGGGATCTATTTAGAGCAGGAAGAGTGGAATGGCTCATTTTGGCCCAATGTCATGCGACTAGCTCTTCAGCCGCATGCATGGGTCAGGCCTGTCCACCAGAAGCCCAGCTGCTGAGCAGCCTCAGAACACTTACATGGCAGGGAGTCTTTGTTACATGGAGCAGGATATGCTTCTCAGGTGTTTCTGCCCAAGTACCCCACCTGCAGGAGCAAGGAAATGTAACTCCCTGGAAGCCTGGCACTTAGCAGAAGAGTTACTTCAGCGGGAAAATCTGGGTGCACTCTCCCCCTCCGCCATTTTCTTTTGAGACAGAGTCTTGCCCTGTCACCCAGATTGGAGTACAGTGGCACGATCTCAGCTCACTGCAACCTCCGCCTCCCAGGTTCAAGCAATTCTCCTGTCTCAGCTTCCTGAGTAGCTGGGACTACAGGTGTGCACCACCATGCCCAGATAATTTTTATATTTTTAGTAGAGATGGAGTTTCACCATATTGGTCAGGTTGGTCTGGAACTCCTGACCTCAGGTGATCCACCTGCCTCAGCCTCCCAAAGTGCTGGGATTACAGGCGTGAGCCACCATGCCTGGCCCACTCTCCCCTTTTGTGTTAAAAATACATTAGCATGCTATACTTTACTTCATAATATATTGTTTTTAAATAGAAAATTATTCAAATCAGCAATTAAGTCACTTGATATGTCTCAACCCCCAGATCTTTGAGATAAAAGTTGTATTGCAGGAAAATGGGCTTGTTTGTCCCTTGGCTACCAGTACCTGACACATGACTATGTATTGTCAAGGGGGCAGTACTGTGCTTTGGTTTGAGAAACAGCCTCATGGAAACGAGTAGTGATTCCAACAGAAATGTGGTCTTGTGTCTGTGGGGAGAAGGATGCAATCGTCTAATGAGTCATCACTTTATTGCTGCCACCACCACTGCTCCTCCTTTCCATCCTGTGCGCTCATATTGGTATCATTTGAATGGCAGTACCTGCCAATTCTCAGTCATTTATGTACGATAAACAACCATGTGTCTACCCCCTTAATAGATTGAAAAGCTGTGCATTATTGAAACCCACTTGTCTCAGTTTTTCCCAGGCAGAATCGACACAGCCTCTGTCCTCTCTGGATAGAACTATGCAGAACGTTCTGAGACAGAGAAGGTCAAAAGCATTTGGTCACCAACTTCTTCCTTTTTCATTTTGGAGTGGAAATAATGAGCATAAAAGAAGACGGGGAGTTTCCATCTTTCCTTAAGTAGGATAAAAACTGAGAAAAAATTAAAGTAATTCAAGCAAGAAGCTAATCCCTTCTCAACTTCGTAATATGACCAGCTTGGTTCAGGTAATCCATGTGAGATAGACCTGGGAGACTCCACTTGTTTCTAAAAAGCCATGTCTTCAAAGTAAAACAGAATCTAGAGACATATATCAGGTGAAATTCTAGTCTGTTTCCTACATTAACCTAGATGACTCAGACACAGGTGAGATTTTGCCCAAATGGCCCAGATTACCCAATTTCCCATGTCAACGGAGATGACCAAAGACAGCTTGCCCCAAATGAAGAATGTGAATGCAACTGTTTGAAACATACCATGGCCAGAAGAATAATTGGCCAGTTCCTTGAAAAACTTAATTATGAATGTGCTTCCCATTCCATTGCTTTTCTCCTCTCTAGTTGGAAATGTCACTTGAACCACCTGGCAAATTCTAGGAGGCATTCCACCACAAGGCTGAGGATACATTTTCCTGCGGGGATGTCCCGGGAAAGGGAGAACACTTGAGAGGAAATCATAACACCCGCCAAAGCTGAAGACAAATGGCTATGATTTAACCTAGAGGTTCGCCTACAGGCTTGTAGGCGATTCCTACAGGCTTGATTCCTGGAAGCCTTGCTCTTTTAAACGAAGCAAGAGACCCCATGGCTCAGAAGGGATTGCCTCAGTCTGAAATGCTCACCAGCAGGGGTAAGGGCTAGCAGGTGAAAACACTGTCGGGCACGCTGGCTTGCCAAAATCCATAGAAAATGAAAACTCAGCAATCAAACTTGAAATCACTTCTGAAATTCCGGCCGTAAAATCAAGAAGAGAGTTCACATGCCATGTTTTGGAAGTTGTCAATTGGACACTATATTATCAGGAATTTGAAGCATAAAGGAGGCTTCCAGCCCATGCAGCCTGTTAAGGACTAAGTGGGCAGAGCTAACACTTCACTGGGTAAGTAGATCCTACTTACCCAAAAGGTAGCTGGGCAGGTATCAAATTTCCTTTTTTTTTTTTCTTTAATCTTTTTCCTTGCCAAAGTACCAAAGCTGATTCTATCAACCTAACTTGACATCGTACCCAGGGAAAGCCCATACTGGAAACCCAGGGCCGCAGATCAAGATTGTGAGGGGTGCATTCTGAGAGCAGAACTGTTCTGAGTGTGTGTTTAAATGGTGTGCCAGTCTAACAGGCCAGTGAGGAGAAACTAGTCATGGAGTCTTAGAAACCATTGACTGCCTGGACCGAGGAGAGTGACCTGGATGCCTGCTCCCACTTCTTCCATAGCTCCAGTTTATATCCTCTTACTTGGGGCTTGGGCAATATTGCTGATGGAAAAGCCCACCTTTATGCCCTCCCACCTTTCTTTCCCCATGTCTAGCAGCCTGGGCACCTGGGAGCACCTCCTCCCTCCGCCCACCCCCTTCCAGAGGGAGTGATCTAATCAGCAAATTCCCATTGGCTTGTTAATGATTCACGGTGTGGTTTGTTCCAGAAGATGGAAGGCAAAGAATCTCTAATGACGGCATTTCACAGGTGCTGCTGAGCCTGGGAAGCAGTGTTGGTTGGGGATAGGGCCTTTTCATCTCCCCGCAGTCTCTACCACCTTCTCTGACTAGGAGACGATGTGCTCACACTCCCACACTCAGCTTCACACTTTCTGTTGTGACGTGGGTTTGGGCATCTGCTTCCCTGACCCAGAGGAAGCCAGTCTTGCCTGGTGGGTTTCTGTCTAGTATGAGGGAGGAGGAATGGAGTGCCTTTTCTGCAGGCACCTGCACATCTTGGGAGCTTAGAGAGTCTGTGCAAAGGTAAACAGTTACATAAGGAAAGAAAGACTTACTTTAGTCCTGGGTCTTGTGTGGGCCCTGCGGTAGCACGTGGAATATTAAAAAATAATGTGGGGATTACCACCATCTCTTCCGTATTTGTTCTTCTGAGTCATGCTCTAGTTTAAGCAGCAAGAAAGACGATGACCTTTCTCTTCAGTTTACCTTAAAGAGCAGCTGGTGCTTAATGGAAAATTTTGAGAAAGTTGTCGTTATGAACCAATTCAATGGCTGGAGCATTTCCTGCAAAGGCTCTTATCTGGAGAAAGAGGATTTCAGGGTGAGAAAGCTGGCATGACGGGAGGATGAGTCGGGAGGTGGAGGGAAGAGTTAGAATGGCCAAGAGAGCGGGAACAAGCTGCCTGTTGTGGCTGTGGCTCTCAGATTTTCCTTGAGATTTTTTTCTGGACTTTTAACTTGAAGACATGCCCATTTTGAAAGAATTTTTCTTTCTGAAGGATATTTTGGGCTGTAGGCAGGGCAAGAAAGTTCAAGCCCAGACACTGGGGGTTTCTTCTGGCTGTGCTGATAACCTGCTAGGGAAAGGAACAGTTCTATTTTCTTCCCTCGTGTGGAGGTGATAATTCCTGCCTGGATCAGTCTTATAAAAATGTTTGGAAGACTATGTGGTTAATGTTTGGGTGCTAATCTATACCAAATGCTTAAGAAATATGCAGTTAATTCTTAATCTGAAAATTTCTTTGTTGTGATTCTCTTCTCCATGGCAGGTCCGTAATACTGAGTATTAGGATTTGTTAGAAAAAGGCAGCAGGAACAGGTCTCATTATCTATTTAGTTATTTTTCAAAGCTTTCCTTGGGGGAGAAGGCTAATGAATGAGTAAAGACTGTGAAGGAATATACTGTACAGAAGATAGACACTAATTAATCTCCTCCTCTGATGAGGCTGGAGAGAAAAAAAGAAACTTATATTAAAGCAAGAGAGATATAGGTTAGACATAATGAAGAACTTGCCTATTATGAGCATTTTAAGTTGCTGCGCAGGGCAGGCAAAACCATAATTCTGATGGTGGCCAGTATACAAAGCAATGATACCAGCCAAATTTCACAGAAGGAAAGAGTCTATATTATCTGAATAAGTTAGGTCTGCTTTCTGGCATAAGCAGACTTTATTTCCCCACAACCAGCGCTCTAACCTGTGGGTGTGGCAATTATTTTAGAGTCTCTCTCTAGAAAAGTCCCTTTTGGAAACTAGGGCCTTTCTCATCACTGTGTAAGTGAACTCCCTGACAGTTCTAGGAAGACTACAGATTTTTTAAGCTGAGACCGTTTTTTTTCTCTCTCTCTTTCTTTCTTTTAACCTTTTTATTTAGTCTGTTAAACCACCAGAGACACAGATTCCTCCCAAGGGGCTATTTCTGCTTTTCATTTATTGAGACTACCAGGTCATATCACTTGTTTTTGATGAACTCAGAGCTATTTAAAGCTGCTCTTAGGCCTTTAACTGCTTTACTAGATGCCTGCTCTCCCAAGTCACCCTCCTCTTTTCAGTCTGCCCACCCCACTGCCCTTCTTTCCTCTTATATTCTCTCCTGTCCCTCCTGACTGTCTGCAACCCCTTTTATTTTTCCCTGTCCCTTATCTTCTCCTAATAGCTCTCTTTTCTTTCTTTCTCTCTCTCTCTCTCTCTCTCTTTTTTTTGAGACAGGATCTCGCTTTGTCATCCAGGCCGGAATACAGTGGCATGATCATGGCTCACTGCAGCCTCCAACTCCTGGGCTCAAGTGATCCTCCTACCTCAGTCTCCTGAGTAGCTAGGACTATAAGCACACACCACCACACCAGCTAATTTTTAAATTTATTTTTATTTTTATAGAGACAGGGTTTCACTATGTTGCCCAGGCTGGCCTCGAACTCGTGGCCTCAAGCAGTCCTCCTGCCTCAGCCTCCCAAAGTGCTGGTATTACAAGCATAAGCCAATATGCCCAGTCTCTCTCTCTTTCTTTCTTTTCTTTTCTTTCCTTCCTTCCTCCCTCCCTCCCTCCTTTCCTCCCTCTCTCTCTTTCTTTCTCTCTTCCTTCCTTTCTCTCTTTCTCTCTTCCTTCCTCCCTCCCTTCCCCTTCCTTACTTCTTCTCTTTCCTTCCCTTCCATTCCATTCCCTTCCCTTCCTCCCTACCTCCTTCCCTCTCTCCCTCCATCCCTTTCTCCCTCCATTCCTTTTTTCCTTTCTTTCTCTCTGTCTCTTTCTCTCTGTCTCTTTCTCTCTCCCTTTCTTTCTTTCTTTTTCCCTTATGAATCATGTTCTCTGCACCTTCCAGAGCCGTGGTTGGAAAAATTAGATTGCTTCTTGGAATCTACAGTAGAATGTCTGGTTGAAAATCACTTCTGGAAAAGCCAGGATAGCCAGAACAGGCCTTCAGATTTGTTTATTCATTCAACAAATATTTATTGAGCAGCTATTTATGTGCAGACCTCTGAGATTAAAGTTATTGGCAACCTATAAGCCAGAAGAGAGATAGTTTTACCCATTTGACATATAGGCTTAATTGAAGATTAAGGGTTGTCCTAAACAACCTTGTTTTATTCCCTGGCCCTATGTTCATAATCACTAATTATTGCTACAAAACAAAGTGCCCCCAGAGAACTTTTACAAATATTTTAAACATCCTAATGGTCATACTGGTTTGCCTTGGATGTCACTAGATTGTGAATGGTAATTAGTTTTCTTTTTCCAGCTGAGGGCCCCTTAGGCATTGCCATGTCTGGCCCTTTCAAATTCTTTCTGAGCAATTGGTTTCTAGATAATTGTAATCAGTCGTTTCCTATGGGCAAACCCTTCTCAATAATGAGCTCATCATCCCATCAGGTGAAAATGCAGCAGCACAATTAATATTTTGGGGATGAAAACAAATTACTGTTTGCTGAATAATGAGCCCTGAGTCCTGTTTTAGAGCTGAATATGCAGTGCAAGACCAAAATTTAATTCTTTTCATGAGAACTGACAGACTTTACTTCAAACCAACTACACTTCATTAAAACTGTGATAACAGTCTGCAAAGCAGCATAGAAATATTGCAGCTGTGGGCTCTCAGAGAGAAGGAAAGAATCCTTATATTGTTCAAATATGACACAATGCGTTTGTAATGGAGTCACTCCATCCCAGATATATTCGGATTCAATGCACTGATTCTCCTCCCCTGCCACTCGGGTTCACTTAATGGTGAAAGGGAGGCAGCAGCCAAAGCAGCCAATTCTCTTACTTGCTTTAGACTGTACAGAAACTGAGCCACCCGAGTTGGGGGTGCCAGGGTGCAGAAGGATAAGAAGGGTAAATCCCACTGAAGAAGAGTCTGGTACGAGGACCAACAGCAATTTGGGCAGGTCACGTCCAGCCAAGATGTGGAGGAGGAAAATGTGGGTGGAGACTCAATGGGCTTCGTGGAGGTAGAGGTGATGACCACCCTTTGTGACTGCATGAGTCACTCTGCCTTTGGATGAGGGATTTGGGGCCCGAGGCCACTCAGAGAACATCTCCAGGAAGCCTTTTCTAACTCCCCGGACTGTGAGATGGCCTCTCTGTGCTCCCAAGGTGCCTTGAACACACTCCTCTACAGTTCTTACCACCTGCTGAAATTGTCTGCTTTTTCACAGTGGTTGGCACCATGGTCTTTGGAGAAAGGCAGTATGGCTTTGTCACTAATTAGCTGTGTGACCTTAGGCAAGTCACATAACCTCTCTGAGCCTCAGCTTCCTTACAAATAATATTTAATAGGGTAGATGTGGGAATTAAAATGAGTTAGTAAAAGGCCTGGCATATACTAATCGTTATTACCATCATCATTAGTGATATCATCTTTTCTACTCCATCATAAGTTTCTCAAATGCAGGGTTCACATTATTTATCTTCATCTACTAAGAGTTCAGCACACAGATGCTCTCAATAAAGGTCTATTCAACAGATTTCACATCAGCAGCTGCTAGATCATAGTAAGAGGACAGATGTGCCTTTCTTGGGAAGATGATTGCCCTGGAGGAAGCTAACAGTCAACAGTGACTCAGAGATAGTCACCTCCTCCCCTGTGTGTTCACAGTGGTCAGTGAGAAGTGATAGCAATGACCTTTCCTGTGAGAGGTTAGAATAGGAAAGATTTCTTGATAAGAAGATGGTATGACAAATTCAAAGAATCTTTCACCAGAAACAAGCTCTGAGCCAGTGTGACTATTCAGGCCTGTCTCCCAGGAAAAGCTTCCTGATAGAGCCCGGCATTATGTGTGTAGAAAACGTAGCTGTGGGTTAACTTTTTACCCCTCTCCATCTGCACTGCCTTTAGTGGGCTTCCAGTGGTGGGGGTTGGGGGCGTTCTCTGGTTAGCTTGGCTGCCCACACTGTGCCTATGTGTGCTATGCACTCACACGGGCCTCAGTCCTAATGAGAGTTATTGGAAGCCGAAGGCGCTTCTGAGGGAGGATTTCTCTGTACAAACAGCCACATTTGCTCGTATCTGAGATATACAGGTGTGGTCAGGTCTAAGGGGAAGAACATGGATAATTTTCCAGCTCCTTTTTAGACCTTTGAAGGCAGGAAATAATTGGGGTTTGTGTGTTTGTATGTGTGTGATGAGAGAGAGAGAGAAAAAAATAAGAAGATAAGAAGAAGAGAAGGGAAACTCATGGCATTTCTAAGCAAATTGTTTCCACAATAATGTTGCCCCTCTTAAAATTAGCATAGTTCGTGAAATGCAGAGCTGTGTTGTGACTCAGAAATATTTCAGACAGCAGTGTTTCCACCAATTCATCAGAGATGTTATTAAGCCAGAGAATGACTAAAATCTGGTGATATAGGTGAAATAAAAACTGCTTTCAGCAGCCTTTCTCAAGGAGTGAGACTGGCTCGCCTCTGGCACAGTGGACTTCAAAATTAAAGGGGGAGACATTCGTGTGATATGGTAGCAAAAATACAGCTAAGGAGAAAGCCTCATTATGAGCAAGCAATAGAAGAGAAAATGCCAGTAGGCATTGAGACGTCCGAACTGTGGTCCAGAACCTGCTACTAACTAATGTGTGACCTTGGGCAAGTCACTTCATTTCTTTAGACCTCAGTTTTTGCATCTGGCAAATCTCCTCCAGCTCTAATATTGTAACTTATTAAAGCATAGAAGTACATCCAAATGAAATGATAAATAAGACATAGCTATATTATTTCCCTATCTTTGTACATTGGAATTGTGATTGTGTGTTAGTCCATGTTTATCAATGTCTAGACAATATTCAAATGGGCTCTATATCAATTCTCTTTCCAGTGTTTCCTACAATGAAAATTTCTGTATCCTTAAAAAAATGAAAAGATCCCCAAATCGTGGCATCTAATTTAAGAGATGATTTCTACCACTACTTCTTTCATCCAGTTCTTTAATAAGCATGTTTAATACCAACTGTGTGCCCAGTGCTGTTGAAAGGAAGATGGCAATAAGACTGCATTTAAGAAACCACCACAGAATCATGGCCTAACAAAACAATATTAGCAGCATCTTGGCATCTGTCCCAGGATCTGACCTGCACATACATTTTGAAGTGAGCATTTACATGAGTATTTTAGCTGAAGGCAGCTAAAATTCCAGGGCACACCTACCTGCAGCATCATATAAAATGCTTTCTTCAATAGTGTGTCAGCCAGGTTTGTATTGACTAACTTGAATCATGGCTGACATAAAATTCCATCTCCTTTGTCCAGGGGACAACAGAAATGCAAAGGGGAAGTTTCCACCCAAAGTCTAAAAAGACAGGGCCTGAGATCCATGATAATTTTGCAGGGAATAATAAGCATCTCCTTTGTGTTGGGACCATCCATTGGGTTCCATCTCCTAAGAGGTGGTGATGGATGATGACTGGCACCTGGGCATGGAGGCTATCCATTGCACATTTTCCTGTAGACCTTTCTCTGCTTCCCTGGTCTCTGTGTATCACAAAGACCCAAATATTTTAACTTGAGTGGTACCAAAAACCAATGAGGGGGTGATTATCAAAGTGGGAACAGTGGGAAAGGATGCTGTGCAAATACAAAAGTTTTGTAAACATTTAATAGGAGTTCTTAAAACATGGCTTCCAATTTAAACCTTTAAGTCACTAACCTGCTAGTGAGAGAGTGTGTGTGTGTAAGAGATATTTTCTCTGTTCTCCTTTCCTAAGAATTAGGAAGCTCTAGGGTGGGGCCAGAACCGAGGGTCAGATATGATTGGTGGGAGGAATTAAGGCAGTAGTGTGTCCATAAAAGAGTCATTGACTGGTGTACATGGCAAGTCAATACTCAGAGACACCCAGTTGCAGCAGAGAAAGAGGTTTAATTGTGGTGTCACTGAATGAAGAGATGGTAGAAAGCCTCAAGTCCGTCTCCCCAAGGAATTTGGGGTTTGGGTTTTTAGGAGTTTGGGAGTAGGCTGAAATGTGGAGATCATTGACTGGTCGAAGAGTGCAGAGTGGCATCGTGGAACAGGGAGATGAAGAAGCCGTGTTCCCATGCTGATCCCATTCCTGGCGGTTCCTGAGGACTCATAAACCAGGACTACTAAGGGCCGGTGCTGCTGATACTGCCCCCACAGGGTTGACAAGAATTGCATGCTTACAGAAATATAGTAAGACCCTGTGGGAGTCTTCAAACTGGTTGCTGGAATTCAGGTCTAAAAAAACTCTTAAGTGATCCTTCAACAAAAGCCTTATGAGTCTAACGTTAGAGATCCTGTCTGTGGGAACAATGGGGATGCAAATCAATTTTTAAACAGTCTTATGGCCCTAATGTCAGAAATCCTATCTATAGAAACAATGGGAATGCAAATGGTCAGCATCTAGTGACTTTTACTGGAAGTGGGCCACAGTACAGCCTGATTGATGTTAAATTATAACTATATTTCTGTCTAGAACCTGGCATGCAATTCTTGTCAACCCTGTGGGGGCAGTTTCAGTGGCACCCCATCCCTCAGTAGTTCTGGTTTATAAGAGTCCTCAGGAACCTCTTGGATAAAGAATTTGTATGTCTGGGCGTGGTGGCTCACGCCTGTAATCCCAGCACTTTGGGAGGCTGAAGTGGGCAGATTACCTGAGGTCAGGAGTTCGAGACCAGCCTGGCCAACACGGTGAAACCCCACTCTACTAAAAATACGAAAATTAGCTGGGCGTGCTGGCACATGCCTATCATCCCAGCTACTTGGGAGGCTGAGGCAGGAGAATTGTTTGAGCCCAGGAGACGGAGGTTGCAGTGAGCTGAGATTGTGCCACTGCACTCCAGCCTGGCCAACAGAATAAGAAAAAAAAAAATTGTACAAAGTCCTCTAGCAAACTGGAGGAGATCAGAGGGAGAAAGATGCATCAAATACTACATTGCAAGAGCTGTGCAATTCCTAGGAGAAAATTTATCCTGGGGGAAGAAAAATTCTGGCACAGCAAGCTGGGCTTAGCAATAGGACTTAAGGATCAAAAGGAGTAATGACCCTTGGTTCAGCACAAAAGCTGTTATTTGAATCCACCCTGGCCCAATTATCTTTGTGTTGTATGCTAGCCCTGGAGAGAAGAAAAAAAAAATAAAACTGGCAATGCTGTGTCACCAAAGTCTGTAACACCGTGGAGCCCAAAGAACTCCACTGCAGGAGCAGGCCTCTCCCCTGACATAGCATGATGCAAGAGAGAACACCATTTTCTTTCTTTGCAGATGTAAGCTACATGGCCAAGGCACTTAACAAGGCTGGCCTCTAGAACAGAGTACCAGCAGTAGCAGGGGATCATGCTGGAGGGGCCAAGGCTGGCAGTGTAGGAAACAGGATGCATACAGAGGCATTGTCACCGTAAGCACAGGCCCAGAAGGAATCTCAAACACTTTTGAGACATCCTCTGAGGCTCCCAAGATTGCCTACGGGGTGAGGGGCTGTGGAGGGGGAGTCATGCAGATGGAGTCCGTATTAAGAATGGACTCCATATTAAGAATGAAATTGCTTCATTGATTTCTATATCCTGGAGAGAGCTGGGTCACACTTCTTTGGAAGTGTGCTTTTGAGAGGTATATCCAACACTTACGTTTCACTTCAGATATTCTCAGCCTCACTTGTCTTGTTCCACCTGCTACAGCAATGACCAGCTCTGCATAGTCTAACACTGACTAGCCTCATAACTGTACTGTAAACCCTTTACCTTCTTCCTGCAGCTTCCCTGTTGACACAAAGACATAGGACTCCACTGGGTGTCCATGTATGGACAAGAAAATTAACAATCTTGTGGGTTAAACTTTTAACCAGTGGAAAACAAGAGCTGGTGGAGCAATTTTTCTCTCTTTTTTTCCCCCCATTCCAAGACACCAGACCGTCCTTGAGATGTAATTTATACTGTTTCTTAGACGATGGCTCCCCAGATGGAGCAAGAAGATATGGAGAAGAGACATATTGCTTGGCCTATAGGACTGGAGGCAAATTGTGCAGATCTTTGTGTGTAATGTTAAAGATTACTAAAGAATATCCACCACAGAGGAGGATTGCAACAACCGGGGGCACAGATGACTGATCCGGTGAAGATAAGCAAGGGTCTCTCCTCAACAACCCCAGCATTTCTGCAGCGACCTCATAAACAGAGTGACCAAGGTAGCAAGGTTGGAGCCTATCCATGAGCCCAAAAGTATGGGCTGCTTCTTATCAAGGCTGCTGATACTGTCCCCATTGTCACTGCCAGAAATAGAGACTGACATGGATTCCTTGATATGATGCTATTCTTCAGTGAGACCAGCCAGCCATTTCATGGCCAGACGGTTATGTTTTACTCCTTCTACCCTAATGGGGCAGCAATTCATCTTTACTGGAATTGCTGCCTATTTTACATATTGGTTATTTGTTTTTCCTTCCCATAGTGTCTCCACTGGCATAATCATCTAAGGCCTTTCACAATGCCTGATAAGTATAGGTATGGTAGCCTTCAACAGCATTACCTATGAACAGGGGACCCATTTTACAGCAACAGCAAAAGAGTGGTGACAATAGGCACATAACTACAGCATCTACTACGGACCTCGCCATCCAGAAGCAGCCAGTCTAGTAGAATAGTGGAATGGGCTATTGAAAGCTCAGCTAAGACTCCAGCTCAAGGAAAATAGGCCACAAAGTTGGAGCACTCTCCTTTGGGCATGCAATATATGTGTAGAACTAACAGCTAATATATGGGCCCCAGTAGTTAGAATACATGGGTCTGGGAAAAAGGCATGGCTTTGGCCATCATTACTCCCAGTGACCTTCTTATGGAATTTGTGTTTTCCATTTGTACAAACTTAGAATTTTCCAGGCTTAGAAGCACGTGTTCCCAGAGATCAATAAGGTTTATGCTGCACTTAAAACTGCAGCTGCCACAGGGTTACTTTGAACTCATCCTGGTGGATCAGCAAGCAAAGAGAGTTCCTGTCCTGAACACCACGAGGAGCCGTGGTTGCTCTGCACAATGTGAGCAGGGGAGACTATGTCTGGAATCCACCTGATTCACAAGGATGTGTTTTGGTGTATCCATAAAAAATAGGTAATTGTCGCAATTACAGACCAAAGACAAAGCAATACAGACCTCAGGCCTCTTGCTGATGTAGGTCTTGATCATATTACTGGGCAAGCAGTGCAGATCAGTGGCAAAGTGCTGACCAAGGGTGATAGAAATCTAAAATGGGAGGTAGAAGTAGGGGATGGCAGATGTCAATTATGGCCTTAGGATCAGCTATAATGGAGGGACTGCATCTTGCTTCACTAGTCCTCTTGCCTTGGACCTTTTTGGAAATGCAACTACCACAATCTTGAAGGAGACTCTGCGACAGATTATACTCATACCTCCTCCGTCAGGGAAAAATGGCCATCTTGTTCTCAGAAAAATAGAGGCTCCAGAGTGTACCAAGTGAAACAGATAATGAAGGGCACCAGCAGGCTGCGTGGTGTGAGGGGTGGGCTCATTAGACTGTTCTCACTCACCACTTTAGACCTCTCAGCTTCACTCGTCTCTTGTGCCAACTGTCACCTCAGCAAGCAGCTTCCTGAAGGCACAACCAGATGGCACTTTGCCTCATGCCCACCCCATGCACTCTCACCTGTTACTCTGAGGTTTCTCTGTTTGATAACAAGGCATAGAAATTCACAGCAACCCTCACACCTGTACCATCTGGGAGTGCAGGAGAATGGACCCATTAGAATGAGCCTTTGACCAATGAGATATGGGAGCAGGGGATAAATTCTTCCCGTTTTCTCACCGAAAGAGACATTCCTGAGACATTTTTTACATGGCTTCATTGAAGATAACTCTGTGATATCAAACAATCCGTTGTCCTTAGTGGTAGCCAGTTCAATACACTTCCTTGTACCTGTATTGGTTTTATCTCCTTTTCTGTCTCACGTTATTTATCCTTCTCTCCCGATCCTTAATGTATGCTCCCTAACAAAATCGTGGCACGTAAACCCTTGCCTCAGACTCTACTTTCTGAAGAAACCAGCTAAGGAAAAAATGTCTCTAAAGAAAGAAAAATAGAGTAATGTAAAAAATGAAAATATGGGCCAGGCGCAGTGGCTCACACCTGTAATCCCAGCACTTTGGGAGGCCAAGACAGGAGGATTGCTGGAGCCTAGGAGATCGAGACCAGCCTAGGCAACATAGTGAGACCCCACCTCTACAGTAAATTAAAAAATTAACCAGGTGTGGTGGCACATGCCTGTAGTCCCAGCTACTCAGGAGGCTGAAGCTGCAGGTTTGCTTAAGCCAGGGAAATCAAGGCTGCAGGGAGCTGTGGTCACAGCATTGCTCTCTAGCCTGGGCAACAGGGCAAGACTCTGTCTCAAAAAAAAAAAAAAAAAAAAAAAAAAACAGAGGGAGAAAAGAAAAGAAAATATTCCCCTCCATAGAGGGAAAGTAAGTCAAAGTTTAAACCTAACCACAGATAAACAGCCCATGGTCCACAGCATCCCCTGTGGAGTAAGATTTGGGCTTCAGTCCTTAGTATCAAGCAGCAAGAACTACAGAAAGGCAGTTCAACAGCCTTCTTAAAGTGCCATAGGACACCTTCACTGGAGCTTCAGAAATTCTAAATATAGAATTCAAGAGCAGCAAACACTAATATCAGGATTTAGTTTGGCCCAGAGTAACCCTGTAAAGAAGGTGAAGTTGATCTTTAATGCCTCTACAGATCATCTTTCAGCATCTCCCTTTCCTCCCCTAAGACATTTGGTGCTTATGTTCTCTTTCTCCCTCTCCTTTATTCCAAACCTTTTAGCTCTGTATTACTTTGAAGTGATCACTTAAATTGATTTGCAGTAGAGTATTAATGACGAATTGAATTTAATCTGGTAGTTCTCCAAGAATTCCAAGAGGTTTTTACAGAATAAGCCCTTAGCTCAAAAGACTGTGTTTCTAATAGCAGAATACCTAGCATCAACAGTTGGCTAGTAGAGATAGATTTGAGGGTTCTTTAAACACATAACACACACAATTATTACTTTTCATTTATGTCTAGGACTTAGTCCAAGCTTTTTTATTTATGTGTCCTTTCAGATAATGATTTTTAACTATTAGAAGAAAGGGCAACACAAAGAAAACCCTGATTCAGTTTTTTCCCACCATAGTATTATGATATTTTTTGTAGTAAATTTGGAAATTAAAATAATTTTACATGCACAGCCTTATATGTATCATTAATATGTTACTATACTTGCTTTGTCACATATCTACATATCTATCCATCCCTTTACCCAATAATCCATCTTTTTATCGATTTCAAAGCAAATTGCAGGCATCAGCATTCTTCTCTAAATACTTCCCTGACTTGATTTTCCTCTTAGATTGTCTGCATGTCAGGACAAAGCAAAGAAGAATTCAGCAACTGCTGCTTAAAAACTCATTCACTACTTTAGAAATCGAGACAAAGTGAAAGACATGGATGGAATGAATTCAGCCCCTCCTCCTATTGTTTCTCTAGCAAGAAGGTGACCAAAGCTATAAATGTTTGTTTCCTGAAAACTAAAGTCCTGACTTGTCATCTTCATAGTGAAAAGAACCTCAAACGTATTAGTTCTTATGAGCCCACATGCTATAGTTAAACCAGCTCTCAATTGTTTATTTTAAATAATCAAATTGTTTTGTTGGTGTCTTTGTGTTTGTAGGTAAGTGTTTGAAGCTATAAATCATATCTTGAACTAAGTTCAAAATTTGAGTCAAACCAACACAAGTTGTCTGATTGCATTCCTGACCCACATGGATATCCCTTGTGTATAAAACAAGTTGCCCCATCTTGATCCTTTCCAATTTGTGATCTCCCTGACAGAACACCAGCCATGGGGGTTGTGGCTTCTCCACAAACCATCTCTTGACAAGTTCAGTCCCAGTGGTCTCTCATGGCCACCTGGCATAACTCTACTTACAGCCACACAGTCAAACATTTAATTGTTTAATTATTTTGCACAGAATGATCCTGTCTGTCTCCCAGAATCTAAGCTCTAGGAGGGAGTGAGGAGGGTAGGAAGCGTGTCTTCTGAGTTTTCTTCTACATTCAGTGCTCGAGGGCTGGGCACAGTACGAGGCACACACCTAAGACTTTGCAGGTCTTAAAGTCTTTTTACAGAAATGTTCTCACTTAAACTTGATGTATAGTAGGCTGCTTGGCCTACTTGCTTCCAAAAAGCTGGCTCTGGGTTCTTTGAAAGTGTTTCTCCCGGGATACGTGATCGTGGCAGTTAATATCAGCCAGAATACTTTTCTGACAAGTCCCCAGGCAATCATCACGAGCAGGGACTTAGAGACAGGGCTTTTCTGTGTCAGAGCCAGAATTCAGAAAGGCTCTGCTTTTCTTGGTTAAAAGAGAGCCAGGATTTTTTTCTTTTCAGCACCCGTTTGCGCTGACCTCTTTTTCTGGCTTCTCAGTAAAAGGAATAAGGACTCAGGAAGCACTGGGGGGAAAACGGTTGTTTAGCTGGAGAGAGGGCTTAGGCAAGGCTAACACTGTGGGCTGGAAAAGCCACCGACGAGCTTCCATTTTTCTTTCTTATTGTTCTAAAAACCCAGGTTACTGTCCAGCCCTGAGTCATCTCATAGTACATGGAAATATATCTATTAAGTACATTGAGTTAAACTGTTCTCTCAAGGAAGCCCTGCCAGGGAGTTAGCAGGGACATAGGGTGCCCAAACATTGGGACAATTCATTAACCAGCACCCTAATAACCTAAATTATTCATGTCAGCTTGGACCCCAGAAGGGTCCATTCTCTTCTGAGAATGGGGCCCATGGCAATGTGCTGATCCTTACATGCGACATCATGTGGGTGTTTAGCTAAATAATAAATACATTGATATGCTTAAAAAATAAAAACTGATTCAGGCAATAGGTGAATGTATCTTTCTTTCTTCTAAATTTCTCTAGATAACCTTCTTTGTCATTCTGAATTTTATATGATAGAAAACCATCTACAGGTCTACATTGGAAATACTGAAAATAATTTTATTGAAGTCTGATAATGGGTGAAAACTACTGGATCTCATGGCTCATTCCTGACCTGAGCTGGATTTAATTCCAGAACCGAGGAAGGCTATGAAGTGATCCTCTTTTCATTATCCTTATTTTTTACTGTAATTTTGTAGTGGTTTCAGTGAGGAACAGAACCACAGAAATCCTTAGGGGCTTATCATCTAAGTTGGATATAGAAACAGAAAAGTAAGGCACCCAACAAGAAGCCAATTTTCTAAAGAAAAGGGAGTCCCAGAGTTTCTACTTTTATAATTCTTCCTTCCTCTGTCATTCTACAATATCATTGTCTTCAACATTTTTTAGAACAGTCTGCCCAGATATGATCTGGAAAACAAAGAAGCATGGAGAACAAACTTTGCCAGAAGAAACAGAAGTGCACTGGGGGGCACAGGTGGAGCAGCTTTGCTGTGATCTTGGCAAGAAAGCACTTGGGATCCTTAGGGGCCACTCAATCCTCCCCTCCATACCCTCACATGGTGGCCTTGGATTCCCAGCAGAGCCTCTGTGCTATGGCACCTGGAGGTTGAAGATGTTATAGTCTCGCCAATGCACAACAATTTAGCAGTCTCTCATTGTGAGGTATCACCCGGAGTTCTTTGTCTCACAACCAAGAGAATTAAGGAGCGTGGACACAAAGGGTGAGGTTGGAGCAAAAGTTTCATAAGTGAAAGAAGAAAGCTCTCCGCCTCAGCGATAGAGCCCGGAAGAAGGTTGCTGCTTTTACAGTTCAATGTAAAGGCTTTTACAAGAAACTGTTGAGGGCTGGGTGTCTCATTTGCATAAGGCACAGATTTCTGGTAGCTCCACCCTGTCATTCTAGTGCGCATGTGGGCCCTTAGCTTGAGTTACTCCATACTGCTTTGTTCCCTTTACTGAGCATGTGCTAGAGGACAGGATTTTTCCATTGCGGGCATGTCTGGGCAAGTCACCTGTGTAGCCTTTCTTATCTGTGCAGCTGTGGACATATCTTAGGTAAGCCCCCCACCCTGTGCACGTTCCCTTATCTGTGCCTGCAGCTTGAGTTTTCAGGCTGTTCTTTTGTTTGAAAGAATTCAACTGAGGACTCACCCTAACTCCCTTCTTGACCAGTTTCTTTCTTTCTCCTCTCTCAGAGAGATCCCAGTAGCAGCCAGATTGGGACCCCTGCCTCCCATAAGATGTTTACATACTGCAGCCAGCCCTATGGGAGCCAGGAAGGCCTGCAGAACTAGATCCTGCTCAGTTGAAGTAGGACGAGGGCTTAATTACACACCCTCCCCCCATTAAGTCCTGATTTCCACACATGAGGCTGCTATTAGGCCCACAGTCTATTTAAGAATGCTCCCAGGACAGATTAAAGAAAATCAGTCTGAGCCTCTTAGGAGGGAGCATCTCATCTCTACTAGAGGAGGAAGCAGTACATGGTGAACAAAGCCAACAGAGCAGCTAGAACCAGAGAAGGCAGGGCTTAAACCCTGGCTTAATAAGGACAAGATGGCTGAGTGCAGTGGCTCACGCCTATTACCCCAGCACTTTAGGAGGCTGAGGCGGAAGGATCACATGAATCCAGGAGTTTGAGACCAGCCTGGGCAACATAGTGAGACCTCATCTCTACAAAAAGTAAAAATTAGCTGGGCGTGGTGGCTCACACTGTAGTCCCAGCTACTTGGGAGGCTGAGGTGGAGGATCACCTGAGCCCAGGAGGTGGAGACTGCAGTGAGCTGTGAGCATGCCACCATACCCTATCTTGGGTGACAGAGTGAGACCTTGTCTCACAAAAAAATATATATTATATATATATTTTTCATATATATGTATATATATGTGTGTATATATGTATATATATGTATATATGTATATATGTGTATATATACGTATATATGTGTATATATATGTATATATGTGTATATATGTATATATGTGTGTATATATGTATATGTGTGTATATATGTATATATGTGTGTATATATACATATATATATGAAAGAAGGCATGTGATGAGCATTCTGCTTCCTGCTTCTATATAATTTTTATATGTGTGTGTGTATACATATATACATATATATATACATATATATATATATATATATATATTAGATGGGATTGTCCTGCAGCTAGTAACAGAAAATCCACTATATCTATAGTTCGTTTACTTAAGAAAATCTTGAGCTAGGCAGTCCCAGGTCCCCTTTTGGTCACAAAATGGTTGCCATAACTCCAGGCATCCTAACCTCACAAAGCCGTTTCCAAAAGCAGGAAGCAGAATGCTCATCACATGCCTTTTTTTTTTTTTATTAACTATAATAGTAACTAACATTTTCTCGGCATTTACTTTATGTCAGGTGCTATCCTGAGCACTTTGTAGGTTTTAATTCTACAGCCGATTAAAAAAAACAAAGCATAAAAAGCAGAATTAACTTTCTCAGTATGACACAGGCAAGAAGTGATAGAACTGGGACTTAAACTCTGGCAGTTCAGCTCCAGAGCCCTTACGGTGTCAAACCACTTCTCCATTAAGGAAGAAGAGGTTTCCCAGAAGCACCTCAATACACCTTACCTTATGTGTCATTGTTTAGACCTGTGTCACATGACTGCCTGGCAGCAAGGGAGGCTGAGAGAATACAAGTAACTGCCTATTTCAACCTTAAGGAAGATGGGGGCTGTGAAGGTCAGTTGAATAGCCAACCGATAGCGTCCACCATGGTTACAAAAGTAGCAATGGGCTTTGTTACAGGGGAAAGGTCTGGTACACTAAGGACCCTTAGGTGAAAGGCCGAGGTCACTGGGCTATTTGGCTCACTGCCATTGAGAGAAAAGCCAAGATGCCACTGACAACCAGCTAGAAGTGGTGAAAATGCCAGCAGCCTCACAGTCTTATCTTCCATGCAGTCACTGGAGTATCTGTGCATAAGCAGTTTTTACTAAATTCTTCATCCTGATTTAATGGGGAGGAAATCAGATGCAACAGGTATGGTTCTTTGTGCTTGTTGAATGGCTTTAAAACAAGCTTTCAGATACTGGTTGCCATAGGGGAAGGCAGCAGGAGGACAAATCAGCTGTATTTTAAGCTAATTACCAAAATGTTGCAATACCTGTCAGATAGGGACATTTTGTTCCAGTGTCAGTGTTTGTGGAACAAAACACTGGGAAGGAAGGAGGAGTATTACGTAGGCAATTTGTTCTACATATGCTCGAAAAAAGCCTCTCAGATACCTGACACAGTTACATTCCAAGTGTTATTGTACCTGCTTATAAACTTGGGTAGAATCTCATTTTATAAGCTTGAAGAGACTTCCTAATTGCTACATTTAGACCCAAAGCTCATTAAACTTGAAGCCTATTGCTATAATATACTAAAACATACTGTATTGTTTCCTGGGTTTAAAATTCCTTGCACAAAGCAAATGTTAGGTGTACAATTCATTTGCAAGTGACATGTTGGGGGATGGAGGAAGAGGTGGGCACCAAGGGATGTGCTTGGCTTGTTCCAACACATTAAAGCCGGAGAAAGTAAATGATGCTGCATCCTTGCGCAATGACTGTATTTCAATGCAACACAATATTTTAATAAAATATGACACACTTTTCAAATGTTAGGTGGTTATGTCAGAGGCATGTGAACCAGAGCAACTCCATCTTAAACAGGAAGTGGGTAAAATGAGGCTGAAATCTACTGGGCTGCATTCCCAAATGGTTGAGGCATTCTAAGTCACAGGATGAGATAGGAGGTCAGCACAAAATTCAGGTCATAAAGACCTTGTTGATACCTTCGCCCACTTTTTGATGGGGTTGTTTGTTTTTTTCTTGTAAATTTGTTTGAGTTCATTGTAGATTCTGGATATTAGCCCTTTGTCAGATGAGTAGGTTGCGAAAATTTTCTCCCATTTTGTGAGTTGCCTGTTCACTCTGATGGTAGTTTCTTTTGCTGTGCAGAAGCTCTTTAGTTTAATTAGATCCCATTTGTCAATTTTGGCTTTTGTTGCCATTAAAATAGGTTGCAATAAAGGAGCCAGCCAAAACCCACCAAAACACAAATGGCAATGAGGGTGACCTCTGGTCATCCGCACTGCTACACTCCCACCAGAGCCATGACAGTTTACAAATGCCATGGCAACATCAAGAAGTTACCCTATATGGTCCAAAAAGGGGAGGCATGAATAACCCACCCCTTGCTTAGCAGATCTTCAAGAAATAGTCCTAAAAATGGGCAACCAGCAGCCCTCAGGACTTCTCTGTCTAGGAGTAGCCATTCTTTCATTCCTTTACTTTCTTAATAAGCTTGCCTTCACTTTGCACTGTGGACTTACCCTGAATTCCTTCTTGTGGGAGATCCAAGAACCCTCTCTTGGGGTCTGGATTGGGACCCCTTTCCTATAACAGTTATGTTTTGCAGTTTTATAAATTGCAAGGTTGTTCATTTTTGCCCCAATTTTTCTTTCTCTTTTTTGGTCATTATAATAGTACTAACAGCTAAGGAATGCTATAAAATGAGCAGGGTTTTGAACTGCCGTTAGTCTATTCAGAAAATAATTAAAGGTACACTGAAGACAGTTTGCAATGAGAAGACACTGAGAACTCACAAAGCAAACCTATCCAGCTCTGTTTTCTCTCCCGGGCCCTAGTGAGCTATCACCTCCACTGTCACTAATTTCCCTGAGCCTCAGTTTTCTGATCTACAAAATAGGAATCCATGATCCTATGGACTCCATGATCTCTGAAGCTTGTGATCTCCAGGACCTTTGAAGTTCTGAAGTTCTAACGTTCAATGATGCTACACACTCTGAGTCAGGATTTAACAAAATTTCCAAATTTTACTGACATGCTTTTCTGTATGCTGCTAAGAATGTTTAACAAAGAGATAAAACACTATATAATAAGAAAAATATCTTCATTCAAAAAATAGACTATGAAAAGGATAAACGCTTTGTGTGACCAGGACCTTTTTTCTTCATACTGTTTCCTGTATCCTCACTGACAAATAATGCTAATATGTGAAACCCTCTCAAGGCATGGAAATAGCCTTGTTCAGTTGGATGTTAAAATGGCATTTTCCATGCATTATGCATTATGAATGGAAGGTTAATGAAATTGTGCATGTCTCAGTTTTCACTCTGCAGGTTATTTTGCAATAGGGACGAGACTATCCTACCTTTAATTTCGTGTTTTATTAAATTAAATGCATTTCAAAGAAAGGGCCATTTTATTCCACTGTTCTGTCTTTTTTTCACTAGCAAGATGGCATGCTAAATGCTTTTTCCTGTTGATTCTTTTAAAAGTCTGTGGTTTCCAGTGAATTTGATATAAGCACACACTTTCGACATAGAAGAAATAACTATGAATTTATTTGAGTCAGAAGTCCTTAAAACTGAGACAGGAGCTTCCATTTGGACTTTAAACATATCCCTTAACTCAATAGTTCTCACCTAGAGGGCTGTTCCCACTGGGTGGGACAACATTTGATCTGTATGATGGTCCCATGCATTGTATGGTATGAGCATCCCTGGCTCCCACCCACTAAATAATTGCGACAACCATCATTGTGACAACCATCCCAGCTCCGCACACATTTCCAAATGCCAGCTTCTCTGAAAGAGTCCAAATTGGGAGAGTCCCTCTGGAGAAAAGAGGCCCAAGAATAAGAAGTTGATTTTCAAAAGCCTGAAGAGACTCTGTGTGTATGTGGAGAAATGTGGCTTCAAACATTCCAGCCCACGTCTCCAATTAATGCATCTTCACAACGTCATTGCTCCCTGGATGATGACACTTACATGAAGAGAAAAATCATAAGAGAGGACATTTGAAAATCACCTGGTTTATAGCAAATCAAACGCTTCTCCTAGACCTAGGAATGGGACCTCTTGCCATGTTACTTTATGGAAAATGTAGACTAGTTTCTCTTTCGTACTCTGTAGAATAGATTAAGTGTGGTTGACCATAAAATGATTCTTCAGAAGTAAAGATCCTGCATAGGAAACACACACAGGAGAATGAGTGGATTTTGTTTTCATATTCCAGATCCCTCTGTGGCAGCAGGGTTTTGAATTCCAATAAAATTTAACATCCAGGTATTGGGGGCTAAAGAAGACGGATGTGCTCTTGAGCCCTGGCAGTGTAAAGGACGAATAAGTCATGTTCTCTGCCTTTGAGGCTCACAGTTGTGCCTGGGAGACGGACACTTGGATAACCAGGATATAAAATAATCAACACCACCAATGGGGTCTGTTTATGGGGTATGGGGATCTGGTGAAGGGACACGTGATTTCATCCAGCCATAGGGGTGTGTCGGGGGAGGGGGAGGCGGAGACTGGCAGATCAGGGAAAGCTTCTGAGAGAAGGTGTCGATTGAGTTGGGTGTTAAAGGATAGATGGGCATTTACCAAGGGGTGATGGGGTAGGGAATAGCATTCCAACCAGAGAACAGCATATGTGTGATCACAAAAGTGTGAAAGAGAATGGAGAAAATTCAGTGTGGTGGGACATTGGTGGAAGGGTAGTGCACAGAAGGGTAGAAAATGAGTAAGGGCAGCAGGCTCAGAAGTCAGGGCTTTATATTATACCTAGAAAGGAACCAATTCAGAGTTTTAAGTAAGAAAGTAAAATAACCAGACTTACATGGGGATAAGAACTCTGGTAGAAGTGTGGAAGTTGGGTAGATGCAGACAAACTTTTTTTCTTTTTTTTTTGAGACAGAGTATCGCTCTGTAGCCCAGGCTGGAGTGCAGTGGCGCGATCTGGGCTCACTGCAACTTCCACCTCCCGGGTTCAAGTGATTCTCCTGCCTCAGCCTCCCAAGTAGCTGGGATTACAGGCACTCACCATCATGCCCGGCTAATTTTTTGTATTTTTAGTAGAGAGGGAGTTTCATCACCGTATTGGTCAGGCTGGTCTTGAACTCCTGACCTCATGATCTGCCCGCCTCAGCCTCTCAAAGTGCTGGGATTACAGGCATGAGCCACCGTGTCCAGCCCAATGCAGACAAACTTTAGCCAGGGATACCAGTTAAGTGACAGTGACTTGCATACTTCATTTTTTTTTCTTTTTTCAGATGGGGTAAGAAGGTATATACTTCACTTTTAAGCATTCATCCTAAGAAGATTTAGGAAACCAAGCAAATCCATGGCAAATTGAAGGCAGATAATAAATTTGAAGATTTTCACCAGTGAAATGTTTAATGATTTACCTTGTTATTCATATTGTGAGTGTCGGCTCTAAGCACTGTTCCTTTCTCAACAAGGAGGCACTGAAGCATTTTCTTACACCACGTCATGATGTTTGTATGCTATATCCCCACTATGGTAGTCACAGCTTGTTGAGTCAGATTTACACCCGGAAGAAAAGTAACCATTGATATCCTGGGTGGACTGGCTCTGGGTTCTGACCAACGACAGGTGCCCTTTATTGTATAAGGTCTGTCTAACAAATCCTTTCACAGTGTCTGAGCATAAGACATCAACAGAGACTCGCAGAAAACACAATGGCAAAGAAGCCAAGATGCACAAAAAGCTCATAGAAGCTGTGAATGAGAAGAAACCTGGAGATGCTGAGAAAAGCAGAGAGGCCAGTCAGAAGCAGCAGGAAAGAAAGATGCTGAGCCAGAGAAGAGCTGAGTCCTGTGGGTGGGGCAGCCAATGTCCTCTGGACAGGTGCTCCTGAGCTTCCAGGACTATTGTCCCACAATTAGAGCCCTTCATGTCACCTATGCAGTGTTCTGATGCCAATAAGCTGGCTGTTTGGCTGCTTAGATTTTTTTTTCCTGCTCTTATTTTCTGTGTCTCTAAAAAAACCAAATTCAAATTAACTGAGATAACTTGTGTAGTCTCTTGCAAACCGAAGGAAACTGACACATCTCACCGAGTGAGATAGCAGCATTGCTTCATAGTTAATAATGAAAACAGACCAAGCACAGTGTCTCATGCCTATAATCCTAGCACTTTGGGAGGCCAAGGCGGGAGCATCACTTGAAGCCAAGAGTTCAAGACCAGTCTGGGCAACATAGCAAGACCCCCTTCTCTACAAAAAATTTTTTAAAAAAATTAGCCAGATGTGGTGGTGTGTGTCTATAGTCCCAGCTTCTTAGGAGACTGAGGCAGGAGGATCACTTGAGCCCAGGAGTTCATGGGTGCAGTGAGCTATGATTACCCCATTGCACTCCAGCCTGGGTGACAGAGTGAGACCTCATCTCTAATAATAATAATAAACAGCTACCATTTACTGAGCGCTCATTATGTGCCAGGTACTGTGACAAGAGTCGTATGTACACGATCTCATTTAAACCCCATGACAACATTGCGAGACAGATTCTTCCATTATCATCATTTTGCATATGAGGAGAGGGGGTCAGAGAAGTGAAATAATGTGCCCACATTCACAGGGCTAGTCAATGGCATACTGGGGTCTGAATCCAGGTCCACCAGGCTCTAGAACTGGCATTCCTGACAAATGTACCTGGCAGAGATGGCTAGATGCTCCCCTACAGTGGTGCTTCACCTTCCACAGAACACAGTTGTTGCTGGGAAGTCTCTACCTAGCTGGTCACTACATTTCCCAACCCTCCTTGCTTCCAGGGGGAGCCATGTGACTAGTTTTTGCCAGTGGGATATGCATTTTGGTTTTGAGTGTCACCTGTGGGCTGAAAATGCTTGCTTCACAACTTCCTCTTTTGCCAGCTCAATGCCGAGACCACAAGGCTCCAGGGAACAACAGAAGCACATTGTGGAAAAGTCCAGGTCTCTGAGTCACAACAGAAGAAAACTGCTGAACAAGAGCACCTGGATTATATTATCACATGAGCTAGAAATAAACTGGAATTTGGGGGTCTATTTGTTTCCGCAGTTTAACTAATAAAGCTACACTGCCTCCCTTTCTTGCCTTGGGGGCTGAGAGCAGTAAAACAGGCTTACAGCTCAAAGCTCTGGGGCTCTGGTAGGTTACTCAATGAGTTGCTGAAACATTGTGGAAACTACCTCAGCTTGCACTGTTTTCCCAAACCAAGAGTAGCTCCCTGTTTTTATTCAGCATAACAGAAAAACCAGGCATCATAAACACAGAGTATGTTTGTAAACACATTATACTCATGCCTTCGCCAAATCCTTGAAAACTCACGAGAAAAAAATCAACAGAGCACTGAGCGTCGTAGCACCTCTCATCTGTTAGAAGCCTCCTCCATTCTAGTCCGATTTATATTTAGACGTTATTTCCTATTTTACACCCCCGCCTGCCGAATCGCAGCCACCTTTGGTGTGAAACATGGCACCTGCTTAATGGGCGCACAAGAGATGACACAGCTGTTTTCAATAGTAAGCGAAAGAGTAACACACCTGGGAAAAGGCAGAATGACTGGAAAGGAGAAAAGCTGGGAATTTGGAAAGTTTGCCTATACTGCCACGTTGCTCAGTTGTGGCCTATGTCAATGATGTGGGCAACTGGGATTGATCCTACCAGGACTCTCAAAGGACACAGAGTGCGTCTCAGAGTTATCTGCCTGCAGAAGAGGAGAAAACATTTACCCATTAACTTTCATCCTCTTTTGGCCAAGGGTTGCCCTGTAGGGTGTTAAGACCCTTCTACTTCCAGGTTGCACATTCCTGAAGGCTGGCCAGCAGGTATATTACGCTCAGGTGTCAAAGAGGCCCCCATTAACCAAAAAAAGGATATGAGGTGGGTCAGCAGTAGTGTCTGATACAGGCCTCAATGCTGAAAAATGCAGGTGAGATTTAAATTACCTTCTAATGCTGACATACAATGTCACTGCCCACACACCACTCCTCACCTGGCTGGGTAAAGACACAGGCTCGGGAAATGGGAGCTTTGCCTCTAGTTTTGGAATTTCTGCTGCTGGTTACTTGACTTAAGCAAACCATTTAATATCTGGGCATCTTACCTCTAAAATAGGGACATTAGGCTAATTCATTATTTCCCAAAATATGTTCAATGGTACACTAATGTTACAGAATGTTAATTAACAGGTATACCTGGGAAGAAGGGGTTTTGTGGCCAAATAACATGGGTATATGGAGCTAAAAATAAGTTATACCAATTTCTTCCCTGAAGGATATCTCAGTCTTCTTAATATATAACTGCACAAAATCCTTTATTTGAGAAACATCTCACAGAAGTAGGTTGTTTTTTATGTTAATATTTATTGAGCACATACTATTTGCCAGGCATCATGCTAAGAACATTTCATGTACTAGTTTTTTTATTTATGTATTTTAAAAATATTTGTTAAACTCTGCTATGTACACCACATTGTTCCTGGCACTGGAGATACCTCCATGAAAAAGGTAAAATTCCTGATTTTTACCTTGAGGGTGAGGTAGAGGGAAGACAGACAATAAACAAGTAAACAAATACATAAACAAAAAATTGGCATACATTATCTTATTCTCACAACAACTAGCAAGACAGGGACTGTTTTATCATGCTTATTTATAAATAATGAAACTAAGGATCAGAGAGGGTACCTTATTTAAAAATCAGGGAGGTGGAAATGCCAGAGCTAGGACAATATCTGCATTGAAGTCTACTTCACAAATGTTTTTGACATCGTGTTCATGGAACTGGATTAATCGGTATCCTGGGTCCATTGCATACCTTGTCATTGATCCATCTAAAGCTAATGCCCATAACCAATATGGTTTCAATCACTCTGATCTATGTCTCTTCCACCATCCTGAAGGCTAGTACTCTGCATAAAACCAGTTTGAGAAACAATGCCCTAGAGAGTCTGGAGAAAGGACCTCTGGGTCTAATAGGACAAGCAGTCGCAAAAGATTTCAACCATACACAGGGTGGACAATCGGAACTCAAATGATTGAGAGGTGATGGAGTTGCAAAGTACTGCATAATGTCTTGTAAATTATGCCTGTCAACAATTCTGAATAGTCTTACATTATTATTGTCTTCTTACCATAACAATTAAATTTTTTCTATAAACAGTAAATGATGTTTGTGGAAGTTCTTGCAACTTTAGTAGTCTAAAGAGTGACTTGTCAGTGATAAGCTGATTTTAAAAGTGTATACTTTATCTTGATATCTCCCTTTGAAGAATATAAAAAATCCAGGGCCCAATTTTGATGATCCTTTGGTCTGTGTTATCACTATCAGAAATAATAAAGTAGGGAAAGGAGGATTATACTTTCTGCATATGGCCTATTGAAATGGTCAGGATTGTTGAATGTTAGAAAGAACAAAATATCCTTTGAAGGTATAAACCATTTGTATGTAGATAAGCTTTCATAAATGCTTTGTTATATTTTAGCATTGAAAGACTCCCTTAAAACTCAATCTAGATCGAATTTGACTTTAAAACTTCCCAACCAGAAGGAACTTGGGAGTGTTATAGTTTATGTAATGTTCTCTCTTCTCTCGCACAGAAGAGAGAAACATTACACACACACACATACACACACACACACATACACACACACACACATCATTATTTTTCTTCCACTTCTACTGACTGAGTTTCGGCTGGGTCATATTCTTTAGGCATGCCTTAGGGAAATGAATGGGAAATGAAAAAAAAAAAAGAGCAAGAGAGTCAATGTATTGATCATCCACCAGAGACCATGTGTTTTTAAATATATCATCTTGTTTAATAGAGCTGAGGCAGGAATCACGTATCTATGATTTCTGACTGTGACACAGTGAAGCTGACTTAGAATGTGTTAGAGGCCTTGCTGAGAGAATGTCAAAAGTCAACATTTTTATGACTTGCTACTAGCCCCTAATGCAAGCCTCAAAAACGAGTTCCCTGCTTCCCTACAAGAAAATATTGAAATCTGTGTCCACCTATTTTTTAAAAACATAGGTTCCATCAAACACAGAGTAAGTATACAATATTCAAGTAGACGATCAATGGAAATGCATCCCCCGTTCTAAATAGAGCATAACAGAAAGCTAATTGCCGATTATTGCAAAAAGAAAATAGCAAGGTATATGGATAGTGAAATAGAAAAACACATAATAAAGCAAAGGCTATCTCATTTAGTCTTTGAAATTATTGATTCAAGATTTCCAGGCCCTGGTTAAGAGGGAGTAAGCATCAATATCTTACTTCTCATCTGAAACAAGGAGAAGACCATTTGCTACCTCTACAAAAATTCTTTGGATACTCACCCAAGCCAGAAAGAAGGGGACAAACCCTTGCAAAGGAAACATTTATCCTACTAGAATAAAATCAGAATTAGTCTCAGCACATTGAGAGACCAAGACAGGAGGATCATTTGAGACCAAGAGTTTAATACTAGCCTGGGAAACAGAGCAAGACCCCACCTCTACAAAACAAAACAAAAAATTGGCCGGGCGCGGTGGCTCACGCCTGTAATCCCAGCACTTTGGGAGGCCGAGACGGGCGGATCACGAGGTCAGGAGATCGAGACCATCCTGGCTAACACGGTGAAACCCCGTCTCTACTAAAAATACAAAAATTAGCCGGGCATGGTGGCGCGCGCCTGTAGTCCCAGCTACATGGGAGGCTGAGGCAGGAGAATGGCGTGAACCCGGGAGGCAGAGCTTGCAGTGAGTCGAGATTGCGCCACTGCACTCCAGCCTGGGAGACAGAGCGAAACTTTGTCTCAAAAAAAAAAAAAAAAAAAAAAAAAAAAATTAAAAATTAGCCAGGTGTGGTGGCACATGCCCAGAGTCCTAGCTACTTGGGAGGCTGAGGCAGAAGGATCCTTGAGCCCAGGTTTGAGGCTGCAGTGAACTATGATCATGCCACTGCATGCTAGCCTGGGTAACATAGCGAGACCCTGTCTCTAAGACAACAATGACAACAACAACAAACAAACAAATAATAAAATTAGAACGAGAACCATTTTCCAGCCATGACTGGGATAATAGAGATCTGATATTCTCTGTTTTAAAGGAGATTTTGTCCAACTAGGCCTCCTAGGCTTTGATCCTTTCTACCTCGTTGCCACTAAGCTTAGACCTCCCCAGGGTAAGATACCTACTTCTAGTCTGAAACAACCAACATTTTCATCAGGATAACACAAACATTACACTCCCCACTCTAAAAGTCTCCCTTGTTCATTAAAAGGAACTAAAGGAACTACCTGTGATAGTTACAGGTGGCTAATTTTTCCCTTCATTAATTCATCAAACATACATTGAGTAGCTGCCATGTCTCTGCTAGGCCTTCCTTGGGAATACCAAAGTGAATTAATCCTTATCCTCACAGAGTTTCAGTTTAGAGTGAGCAATAGATACAATCATAGGAAACCAGAGCCTGGTAGTTAATGGGGGGAAGTCTGGGAACCCAGAGCGGGAGATGCCTAAGAAGACCTTAGGAAGTCGGTGATAGCTACTACAAGTTACCAAGCAACAATGAGTTGTGAAAAGACGATTTGGAATGGAGTAAAATTATCCCCTTTATGCATGTTGTTCTCTTGGTGTCCAAGTGCACAGAAACCCCTTTTAGAAGCCTACCAGATTTTTTTCACTGAATACCACCACCCTGTTCTGTGGTGAGCTGGATGGCTCTAGCCCGAGGACCTTTTGGTGGCCCCTTGCTTACCTTCACTTAGTCTTACAGGTCACATTGGTGGCGTGCTGCTCTGACTCCTTTTCCAGGCTTGTTACAAAGCAGTGCTGGGCACAGGTCCAGTTGAAAAGCATGGCCTTCACTGTTGTCTTAACCAAAACACATCAGCTTTGTCTCTTTTATTATGCCAGGAGCCTGCACTGATCAAATATAACATTTTTGTCCTTCCTTTCATTTTCCAATGCTGTCATTCTTTTGCTACTTGGTTACCTACTTATTCAGAAGAAACAGTTTTTATCCATGATGGCAGGAGTGGTGGTGTAAAATAAACTGATTGCAAAAGATTTATCTAAGGGAGTCATATAAAAGCGTTTAATATTAATGCAACAAAAATTGAGTCTATTATGTGCCAAGTATAGGCAATTTAAATTTGGGATACATAATTTAACATATATGCAAATAAATGAATGGATGGATGGATGAAAGAAGAGTCAGATAAGGTAAGTGCCTCAGCCCTATAGAATCTCACCAAAAGGAAAATAATTCCCACCCCTCTTGGGATATATGCCATAACTACAGTTGCCATGTTGTCTACATCAAGACTGCCAAGTACTGGCATGCTTATGTGGATGAGCTGACAGGATATTTGAAAGTGAAGTTGCCAGAGAGCTAGGTCTGAAGTTCATTCTATCTGTAACACAAGACAAAACAAAATCTTAAAAGAACAAATTAATTCTGACCAGGAAAAGAGTGATGTCTTTACAAAAGAGTTGCTGCCGTGTGGGTTGTCTCTGAAGAGTGAGCAGGATTATTCCATCGAACCAAGAAGGGCAGAGCATTGAGACAAACACTGAGCAAGGGCATGGAGCTCAAAACACCTGTTACCCAGTGGACTAGAGGTTTCGGGGGTGTGCCTGAGGCACTGGGAGCCAAAGCTCGAGAGAGGGATTAGGGCTGTTCTGAAGGAGTTTTTGCTCTGTGGAAAATGAGGAGCCATAGGTGAAGTGGTGCTTTATACCTAAATGGGAAGGACGGTGAGGAAGCTTAACAATGCATGTTGAGCTCCAGAAGGCCAAAAACCAGGTCTTCTAGTTCAATTGTGGAAGCGAACATTAGAGCTGCAAGGAAGCCTAGATGTGATCTAGTGTCGAGTCCAATGCCCCTCATCTCCAAATGAGAAAACTTAATAATTTAAATGACTCACCTAACTACTTAAATGACCTACATATTACTCAGTGATAAAACCATATTCCTGCCTTTGCCACTCACTATCTCTGTGGCTTTAGGCAAATCACTTAACCTCTCCAAGTCTTAGTTTTCTCATCCGTGAGATGAAAGGCTATTTTGATAATTCTGTGATAATGTATGTAAAGTGCTTAGTCTGACAAATGTCTGACAGATATCTGCAAATGTCTTACAGAAAGAAAACTAATATTAACAAATACTATTAACAGCAAAAATAATAACTACAATATTATTGAAGTTCCCTGATTCTGTCCAGTGCTCTTTTATGTATACTGGTAGTGCCCAAACCTAGCTGAATGTCTGAGTCACGTGGAATGTTATAAATTTCCTGGCCTACCCCAGACCAACTGAATCTGAATCTTGACATGGTTGGGGAATCCGAACTTTTAGAAAGCTCCCTGGATGGTCCTAACAATAAGAACAATAATTAGAAACAACTGTCCATATTTTACTACCGTTCGAACTTTATTTTCTTAGTCTTTGAATGAAAACATGAAATTGATCCAGTGGTTAGTCCTTTAAATGTAGATGTAGGTACAGAACTGGAGGGTGGAGGGAGAGGTATTTTACATAATGCTGCCATCCCAGGAGGTTAGAAACACACATATCTATGCTCAAAAGAAAGGGAGGATTGGATGGCAATATTGGGAAATGGGATATTTATCATTGGTAGAAATGATTAATTATGCCCAATTATATGTACTTTTCCACATAAATTTGCATGCTTCTTAATATAACATATGCAAATACATCTCTAATAGCATGACTTGTTTGCCAATGTTGAGTGCTAACTGTAAATAATTTCTATTTTCTGTAGTGTTTAGGAAACTTCAATATGGCACTTGCTGGCAGACAGTTCCTGTCTTCTGGATTTAGCAAAATATTAAATAATCATTACAAAAATATTTTTCACTTACCACTAACAAAAGCAGTCTAGACAACAATTTGTGGTTGCCTATAGAAACAGAGGATAGGTAAGACAGAAAAAAATTTAACTCAATGGAAATTTTTTAAAACATTGCCTTCGGTTTCCATTTTATTTTCCCCTACGAATTTT